>NC_000016.10:25153152-25456182 GCF_000001405.40 Homo sapiens
TTCCAACCTCTACCCATTACCCAGTTCCAAATCTGCTTCCACATTTTCAGGTACTTAACAGCCACAGCCCTTCTTCTCAGCTTCTCAGTACCAGTTTTCTGGTTTAGCTTGTTTTGTGCTTCTATAACAGAATACCTGGGACTGGGTACTTTATAAAAAGAACAGAGACTTAGTACAGTTCTGGAAGCTGAGAAGTTTGAGGTTGAGGGGCCCACATCTGGCAAGGGCCTTCTTGCCGTGTCATCCCATGGAGGAAGGTAGAAAGGCAAGAGAGCATGACTGTGTGAGAGAGAGGTGAAGGGGTGCAGACTCAGAACACACTCCCAATCCCAATCCCAATCCCAAGCAAGTGGCATTAATTCATTCATTGGGACTGAATCACCTCTTAAAGGTCCTACCTTTCAACACTGTTGCATGGGGGATTAAATTTCCAACACAACGAACTTCGGAGGGACACATTCAAACCATAACACCCTAACACTGGGTATATTGTGATTTAAAAAATTTTCTACCAGTCTGGCCAGGTGTGGTGGCTCACGCCTGTAATCCCAGCATTTTGGGAGGCCGAGGCGGGTGGATCACCTGAGGTCAGGGGTTCGAGACCAGCCTGGCCAACATGATGAAACCCCGTCTCTACTAAAAATACAAAAATTAGCTGGGTGTGGTGGCTGGCGCCTGTAATCCCAGCTATTTGGGAAGCTAAGGCAGGAGACTCTCTTGAACCTGGGAGGCGGAGGTTGCAGTGAGCCGAGATCATGCCGCTGCACTCCAGACTGAGTGACAGCATGAGATGAGAGTCTATCCAAAAGAAAAAATTTCTACCAGTCTGGTAGGCCAAAATGATGCCCTATTATTTTTATTTTATTTTATTTTTTGAGATGGAGTCTCCCTCTGTCACCCAGGCTGGAGTGTGGTGGCTCAATCTCTGCTCACTGCAACCTCTGCCTCCTGGGTTCAAGCGATTCTCCTGCCTCAGTCTCCCAAACAGCTGGAATTACAGGCACGCGCCACCACGCCTGGCTAATTTTTTTTTGTATTTTTAGTAGAGACAGGGTTTCAGCATGTTGGTCAGGCTGGTCTCGAACTGCTAACCTCGTGATCCTCTGCCTCGGCCTCCCAAAGTGCTGGGATTACAGGCGTGAGCCACTGGGCCTGGCTGATGCCCTATTATTTAAAAAAAATTATGTAACTTTGAATGCTAGTGAGATGGAGCATCTTTCCTTCGTTTTATTGGACTTTGGGACCTCTTGTAAATTTTTTTATTTCCTTTTTCCATTAGTTTGTAGTTTCTTTCCTTTTCAGTTTATAGGAACGCTTCATAACACATGGATGTGTTCTTTTTTTTTTTTTTTTTTTGAGAGTCTTGCTCTGTCACCCAGGCTGGAGTGCAGTGGCGCGATCTCAGCTCACTGCAAGCTCCGCCTCCTGGGTTCATGCCATTCTCCTGCCTCAGCCTCCCAAGTAGCTGGGACTACAGGTGCCCGCCACCACGCCCGGCTAATTTTTTTTGTATTTTTAGTAGAGACGGGGTTTCACTGTGTTAGCCAGGATGGTCTCGATCTCCTGACCTCGTGATCCACCGGCCTCGGCCTCCCAAAGTGCGGGATTATAGGTGTGAGCCACTGCACCCGGCCAGATGTGTTCTTTGATAAAGGTCTGTTGTCAACTTTTTTTTATTGAACTTTTTTCTCATTCTTTTACTTATCTTTTAACTTTGTGTCTCATCGGTGAATTTTTTACTCTGGTTCTTTATAGTTTTTGATTGTGCTGAGAAAGGAGAATTTGAATAAAAATGAAATAAAAATGTGAATGAAAATTTGGGCGAACTGATACGTGATCTTAAAACTGACAAAAAATATTTGTTTAAAAATGACCTTGTTTTATCAAACCTACAAGGCTGTTGACAGTGAGAATCACCATTATTTCTTTATCAGTAAGAAAGAAAAAGTGCCGACACTTAAGCTGACACATCACCAACTGTTAGATGCATCCTGATTTCAGGAATGTTAAAATGTGAAAGGATGCATCTTAGAATTGATGATGTTTTTTTTTAAGCTAAAGTCTGCCTAGGGTAAAAAATCAAAAGTGTACAAATGGGCACACAATGAAAAGTCAGAAGGTGTTTTTAAAAAGGAAGGCCGGGTGTGGTGTCTCACACCTGTAATCCCAGTGCTTCACAAGGCTGAGGTGGGAGCATTGCTGAGGGCACCTAGTGAGACCCTGTCACAAAAACATAAAAAAAAAACTAGCTGGGCATGGTGGTGCACGCCTATAGTCCTAGCTACTTGGGAGGCTGAGACAGGAGGATACCTTTAGCCCAGGAGTTGTAGGCTACAGAGAGCTGTGATTGCACCACAGCACTTCATTCTGGGTGACAGAGCATGACCCTTTCTCTCAAAAGAGTGAAAAAGGGAAATTGGGTTCTGTTACCTCCTTGCTTAAAACTCCCTATCGGATAGGACCCATGTTGTTCATTAGGCCTCTGCGTGCCTCCTGATTTTACTTTCTTTTCTTTCTTTCTTTCTTTTTTTTTTTTTTTGAGACAAGGTCTCACTCTGTTGTTGCTCAGGCTGGAGGACAGTGGTGCAATTGGTCACAGCTCACTGCAGCCTTGAACTCCTGGGCTCCAGTGATCCTCCTGCCACAGTCTCCCGAGTAGCTGGGACTACAGCTGTGTGCTGCCACACACAGATGATTTTAAATTTTTTGGGGAGAGACAGGGTCTCGCTATGTTGCTCAGGTTGGTCTCAAACTCCTGGGGTCAAACAATCCTCCCGCCTCGACCTCTCAGTGTTGGGATTAAGGGCGTGAGCCCCCGCACCTGCTCCTGATTTTCCCTTTGACCACAGTAACTATGATCTAGCCACACAGATATCTTACTGTTCTCTGACTGTGCCAAGAATGTTCTTCCCCTCAGTCCTTTTCATTTCCTCTCTCCTCTTTGCTTGATGGGCTCCTTCTCATCTGCTCAGCTGCCGCTTCCTCAGAGGGGCCCTCCCTGACTACGAGGTTAAAGACAGACCCCCTTCCTGCCGCCTTATGTCACACTCTTCTCTTTCAGTTTCCTCATGGTACTGACTGCTCCTTGATATATTCTTGATTACTCATTTATTTAATGATTCACTTTCTCCCTCTTCTGCCATGTAAGCTTCCTGAGAACAGGGACTGCTTCTGTCTTGTTTACCACTGTAATCTCTGCACCAAGAGCAGTGCCTAGTGCACAGACAGTGTTGAATGAATACTCACGTGACTGCTTGAATGGATGAATGTGTTTGTGTTTTTGTAATCCGCTTCAACTCTGGTGAAATTAGGCAGAAAGAGAAAAGAACAGCAAGTGAAAGCACTTCAGAATGTGAACAGGATTTCAGTTGGGCCGTGAGGAGGAGACCCTACTACCTAGGGAACAGATGATCTCAGCCAGGGCACACTGAAGGAAGAGCTGGGAAGGCCAGTGTGGCTGGGGCTCGGGTGGCAGGAGGTGCGTGCTTCAAGATTGAGAAAGATCATAAAGCCGGCTGAGAATTTTGGACTCCATTCTAAAGGGAGTCAGAAGCCTGTTTCACATGCCCCACAATACCCTGAACTTCTCTGTAGAACTTACCACACTTGCCCTTGTTCTCTCTCTTTCCCACTGGATTTTAAGCCCCATGAGGGCAGGGACCATGTCTTCTTGTTCATCAGTTATTCCCAGGACTTGGCTCAGTGCCCCATGAGTGTCAGTTGGGTGGTCAGACAAACTAATCCTCTGTACAGTCCGGAAATCTGCCTGAGGCTGTCTCCATTTTACCTTTTTTTTTTTTTTTTTTTTAATTGAAGGATCCTAGGAAAATCTGTGAACCTAAAAGGTCACTTTGCAATGCTTATCAACAATGATAATTAGTTTGTCATAGAAGATACCATGAATGGGATTGATGGGGTTCACTACAGATCCAACACATCTCTCGAAATGCACCTGGCGGTGATGGAAGAGATTATTAGTCATATGATACACCAGCACTTGTGTGTGTGTGTGTGTGTGTATGTGTTTAACTACTGTGTTACATTGTGTAAGTCTTCAGTTTTCTCATGCCTTTTCACCTCATGACCTAATCACCTCTTAAAAGTGTTTAAGACTGGCTTGGTGGCTCACACCTATAATCCCATTACTCTGGGAGGCAGAGGCAGGAGGATCCCTTGAGCCCAAGAGTTCAAGACCAGCCTGGGCAACATAAGGAGACCCGCCCACCCCCCATCTATACAAATAATAAAAAAAATTAGCCAGGCATGGTGGTGCACGTCTGTGGTCCCAGCTACACAGGAAGCTGAGGCAGCCTGGGGGGTCGAGGCTGTAATGAGCCATGATCGTGCCACCGCACTGCAACCTGGGTGATACAATGCAACGCTGTCTCAAAAAAAACCAGCAACAACAATAAAAAAAAAACTGATTAGGACGATAAAGTATATAAACTTAATGAGGCAGATAATTAAAGCTTGTATCCATTAGCTTCTGCGCTGTAACAAACTGCTGCAAAGCATGTGGCTTAAAACAACAACCATCTATTTAGCTCACAATTCTTTGGGTTGGGTTCATTCAGGTGGAACTTCTCAGCTGGGCTCATTCCAGCACCTGCCTGGATTTAATCACTTGTGGTCATCTTCACAGAAGACCTCTGCTGTGTAGCAGGCATTGGGCTAGGCCAGGGGGTCCCCACCTTTCTTGCTTCCCAGTAATTTGTCTCAGTAATGTTTTCATAGTACCCCTGAGCCAAAAAACACACTCAGCAGTTCTTTTTAATTAGTTGGGTTTAAACAGCTGAAGTATTTATGTCCTAACAACTTATTAGTCATTTGAAAAAAAAGTACACATAAAATGAAATAAAAATACCATTTTTACTTCATTCTTAAACACCCAGAATTGCTTCCTGAGATGCGTGCCCTGTAGGGCACTTTACAGCTTCACCTTGGAATCAGATTGGACACCACCCCTGTGTTCCACATCCACATTGGCACAATACTTGCTTTTTTCTTTTTTTGAGACAGAGTCTTGCTCTGATTTGTCACCCAGGCTGGAGTGCAGTGGCACACTCTCAGCTCATTGCAACCTCCGCCTCCTGGGTTCAAGCAATTCCCATGCCTCAGCCTCTCAAGTAGCTGGCATTACAGGTGTGCACCACCACGCCTGGCTAATTTTGTATTTTTAGTAGAGATTCTGGCCAGGCTGGTCTCGAACTGGCCTTCAGCAATTCGCCTGTCTTGGCCTCCCAAAGTGCTGGGATTCCAGGCATAAGCCACTGCGCCCGGCCGGTCTGTTTCTTTAGAAAGTTCTGTAAGTATCACACAAAATGATTTCAGTTGCCTTACATTTTTCTCTCACGAAATAGAATGTAGGAAAAGAAGGGATTGTAGATCTCATTTTGGCAACCAAGTTATCTTTCCCACCAGCTCTCAGAAGCATTCCAGACAGATAAGGATTTTTCTGTTCTCATGGCCTCTTGCCAGTGCTAGATTTTATACAAATGGCTTTATTTTCCCAGAATTATAAAACTCCTTCGAAACTTGCTCTGAGCCTGTCCTCCACAAATACATTCAGTTCCCTACAAAATAATGATAAAGCATCCTTCAAGGACAGATAATGGACCTGTTATTTCCCTACAGCTTGAGTAGCCCCTGACTTAAGAAGAGCAACTGAATCATGGGATGCTGGTGTGAGTTACTCAAGTCATCAAATTCTATCATTCAAAGGGATCTCAAGGTCGTCTTGTCCAGTGCTTCCCATGTGGTATACCAGTATGCCACCACATACGGCTGGGCCACTGCAGAGTGGCGGGTGAGCCTCAAGTCACTGACTCCCTTCAGCTCAGATGTACCTTGTGTACAACTTACAAGAATAATCATGATGATGTGTGATTTTTGCTTTACATGCTAATGTTAGATCCTAATGTGAGTAAGAGAGATCTCCCCTGAACTACATGGTACTAGACTTCATGTGTTAATATTCTGGTGTATTATTTGTTGTTGTTTGGCCAGGGATGGAAAAACTCATTCCAAATGTGCTTATTATTAATATATTTGTTATTTGCAAGAAGTTACACAGGCATTTTGGAATTATTTTCCTAATAGGGTAGGCAACTACCTTCGTATTCTTTTATTTTGTAGAGACAAGGTCTTTGCTCTGTTGCCCAGGCTGGAGTGCAGAGGCACGATCATAGCTCACTGCAGCCTTGAGCTCCTGGGCTCAAGCCATCACACCTCAGCCTCCGGAGTAGCTGGGACTACAGGCATATGCCACCACACCTAGCTAATTTTTTAAATTTTTTTGTACAGACAGTCTTGCTGTGTTGCCCAGGGTGGTCTTGAACTCCTCATTCAAGCCATCCTCCTGCTTGGGCCTCCCAAGTTGTTGGGATTATAGGCGTGAGCC
Source organism: Homo sapiens (assembly GCF_000001405.40). Lineage (NCBI taxonomy): Eukaryota > Metazoa > Chordata > Mammalia > Primates > Hominidae > Homo > Homo sapiens. Next base: position 25,159,553 of record NC_000016.10, read on the forward strand.
ACCGCACCCAGATACATGCCATATTCTTTATATTACTTTCCTGACTCGTGACACCCTGGGGCCAACTTTGGGTTCCCTGCTTGCCCTTTATTGCTTTCCTGACATCTAGCAGGCTCTTAGGAGGTGTTTCTTTAGCTTATGGTGTGTAGCCATATGTATTTGAATCAGCCAAGTGGAGTTATCAAGATGATAAATGAGAACCTATTTACATGTTATAGGTTAGCCTTTTCAGCTTTTTTGCTGAAGTTCTCAGAGCCAAGAGAACCTGAATTATTAGCAGTAGTATGGGTAGCTGTTGATGTTTCAGCTCCTGCAATGGTTTGTACCCTCAAGGAAGTTGAGTGAATAATGTCTGGAAGTTGAGTGAATAATAAAATCAAGCAATTTTCTTTCTTTAAAAAAAAATTTGTTAACTTTTTTTTTTTTTAACTGAGATGGAGCCTCACTCTGTCGCCCAGGCTGGAGTGCAGTGGCATGATCTCGGCTCACTGCAACCTCCGCTTCCCAGGTTCAAGCCTCGAGAGTAGCTGGGATTACAGGCATGCGCCACCACACCCAGCTAATTTTTGTATTTTTAGTAGAGACGGAGTTTTACCATGTTGGCCAGGATGGTCTCGATCTCCTGACCTTGTGATCCACCCATCTTGGCCTCCCAAAGTGTTGGGATTACAGGCGTGAGCCACCGTGCCCAGCCAATAGAAATGTAAATTTCTGCTAGTGAAAGATGTAGTGAATGAGAAATTTGGGGTGGAGCCTATCAATCTGGTTTAGCACGCCACCCAGTTGATTCTGATGACCACTGAAGCCTGAGAATAATCACTATAGATAACCATTTCATCCCACCTCTGCTGGAGTCTTTCAAAGCAAATGCTGTCATTTTATTTGTAAATACATTAGTACATAAACTGTCTTTTTTAAAACATAACACAAATTGGCGTAACATTTAGAGAGCAGCCTGCTAATGGGTCCCCATATTTAAATAGGCTTACCCTCTGATCTCTTAATTCCACTCATACTATCTACTTTAAAGAAATAACTGGACAGATGCTTCATGATGTCTATACAAGGGTGCTTAAATGCCTAGATGGGGAAAACTTAGAAATACCATGTCTCATAGTGAGGGATTGGCTAAATAAGTTATGTTTTATCCAGTCAATGGAATGCTATGAAATCATTATACAGAAGGATGTCCCTGATGCTGTTGTTACGTAGGAAAAGCAGTTTTCAAACCACATATTGGGTGGTCCCATTTTCTTTTCTCTATTCAGGATGTGTGTATGTGTGTGCGCACCATGTGCATGAGAGGGGATGTGTTTTTGTTGTGTATAATAACTTAAGCACATAGGACAAAAGGCTGAAATGTTACACACCAAAACACGAATAGTTATCTTTGGAAGATAGGATTTTGGTTAATTTTTACCCTCCTCTTACGTATTTTTTTTTTTTAACAATGATGCATGTATTTTTATAGTAAGGAAAAACCATAAGGCTACTATAACTTTGGAAAAGACATATTCATTAAAATTATAGCCTCTGATTGCATTTGCAGATGGACACATACTGGATTCAAAGAGATATGCCGTTATTGGAGCAGATCTCCGAGACCTGTCTGAACTGGAAGAGAAGCTAAAGAAATGTAACATGAATACACAGTGAGATTTTTTTTTTTAAACCTCTTCTGCATTTGTGATTTTATGCTAATTATGAGATAAGGCCAGTCGGAAGTACAGCATGATATTCATGTTCCATTTTTTATTCTTTAAGAGTTTTATCATTTCATTGCTACCTAGTTTTCTGAAAAAAATTCTTTTTTTTTTTTTTGAGGTGGAGTTTTGCTCTTGTTGCCCAGGCTGAGTGCAATGGCACAATCTCAGCTCACTGCAACCTCCACTTCCCAGGTTCAAGTGATTCTCCTGCCCTCAGCCTCTTGAGTAGCTGGGATTACAGGCATGCGCCACCATGCCTGGCTAAGTTTGTATTTTTAGTAGAGATGGGGTTTCTCCATGTAGTCAGGCTGGTCTCAAACTCCCGACCTCAGGTGATCCGCCTGCCTTGGCCTCCCAAAGTGCTGGGTAGTTTTCTGAAATTTTTAAAGCAATACTGTTCAAGTCTGTTTCTACATCAGAATCACCTGTGTTACTTTGTAAAAATACTAGTGCCTAATTTCATATAAAAGTTTGAGAGAAGATAATTTATGGATAGAAACATATTTGTAACATATAAAGAAAAGATTAGCATCCAGAATATATAAAGAACAGCTACTATTAAAAAAAAAAACCTCAGAAAAATGGGCAAAATATAGATTACCAGGCAGCTCAAAGAAGAAACTGAATATCATATGAAACAGGTATTGGGCATCAGTGATAATCAGATGAAATTCTATTTTACTGTCACCAAGTTGGCAAAAATGTAACAGCTGACAATATCAAGTGTTGACAAGGATGTGGGGGATAGGGAATGATAATGCCACTGCTGGCATTATCACAGTACAACTACTGTGAGGAGCAATCTGAAAGTATCTAGTAACATTGTAAGTATGTGTACCATACATAGCAGTTCCACTTTCGTGGGTGTCTCCTTGAGAAGATCTTGCATATATGCATAAGGAGGATGTTCATTGTAGTTCATGAGTCTGGGAACCGAGTCCAGCTGCACAGGTTTGAATCCTGACAGGAATATGCACTAGACCATGACTTTGGATAACTTACTTCACTTCTCTGCATCTGTTTCCTCTTCGGAAAAATGTGAGTTATAGGCTGGGCGTGGTGCCTCATGCCTGTAATCTCAGCACTTTGGGAGGCCGAGGTGGGCAGATCACCTGAGGTCAGGAGTTCGAGACCAGCCTGGCCAGCATATTGAAGCCCCATCTCTACTAAAAATACAAAAAATCAGCTGGGCGTGGTGGTGGGCGCCTGTACCCCAGCTACTCAGGAGGCTGAGGCAGGAGAATCACTTGAACCCAGGAGGCAGAGGTTGCAGTGAGCCAAGATCATGACATCGAACTGTAGCCTGGACAACAGAGCAAGACTCCATCTCAAAAAAAAAAAAAAAGAAAAGAAAAGAAAAAGAAAAATGTGAAAATGTGAATACTAATAGAACCCACCTGTAAGTGTTAGCAGTTGAAGATGCTGAAATCTCTGAGAAATGCTATTCATTTCTGTAGTTTTAATTGTTGCTGATGATTTTGATGGTTCCTCGAAGAGAAGATAAAAATAATTCCTAATCCCAATACCTAGAGATAACCACCTTAAAAGATTTTATCCCAAAATTTGTAAATATATGTTTTTCTTTAAAATGTGATTATGCTATGCGTATAATTTTGGAACTTTTTGTTTGGAGACAAGGTCTTACTCTGTCACCCAGGCTGGAGTGCAGTGGCGTGATCTGTGCTTACTGCAGCATGAATCTCCCAGGCTCAAGTGATCCTCCCACCTCAGCTTCCTGAGTAGCTGGGACCACAGCAGTGCACCACCACACCCATTTAATTTTTGTAGAGACAAGGTTTCACCATATTGCCCAGGCTTGTTTTGAACTCGTGAGCCCAAGCGATCTAACTGCCTTCGCCTCCCAAAGTGTTGGAATTAACAGGCGTGAGCCATTGCACCCAGCCAGTTTTGGAACTTTTAAAAGAATCGGTTGGGCACGGTGGCTCACGCCTGTAATCCCAGCACTTTGGGAGGCCAAGATGGGCGGATCACGAGGTCAAGAGATTGAGACCAGCCTGGCCAACATGGGGAAACCCCGTCTCTACTACAAATACAAAAATTAGGTGGGTCCGTGGTGGTGTGTGCCTATAGTCCCAGCTACTCGGGAGGCCAAGGCAGGGGAACTGCTTGAACCCAGGAGGCGGAAGTTGCAGTGAGCTGAGATCGTGCCACTCCACTCCAGCCTGGTGACAGAATGAGACTCTGTCTCAAAAAAAAAAAAAAAAAAAGAATCTAATATATATGTGTATATGTACACATACAATCATTCATTTGTCTATTCACTCATTTAGCAAATAATCGAGATTCTGTCAAGTACAGGTACTCACTATGAACAAAACAGCTTACACATTATCGTGTAAGGAAAAGAAATATAAAATAGCTAATGACATTCGATTGTTTCATTACTCTTGGGGTATCTGCTTTGAAGAAGTGCCGGGAAGCATCTGATAGGCCACTTGAATCTGGGGACCATGGATAGCTTTTGTGTCAATAAATACAGTCCCTGAAACATCATACTTATGAGCTGCATAGCAGTTCATTGGGTAGGGCATACCATGTTCTTTTCAACCAGTTTCTTGTTGGGCTTAGCTGGGTGTTCTGCAGTTTGGGCTGGGCTTAGCTGGATGTTCTTCTGCAGTTTGGGTTGGCCTTACTTAGCTGGAGGTTCTTCTGCAGTTTGGACAGGGCTTAGCTGGATGGTTCTGCTTGTGGTTGGGTTTAGCTGATATTCTGGAGTTCAGTCAGGTGGACAGTGGGCAGGCCAGCTAGGGTCTGGCTGGCTGTCAGTTGGGATGCCTTCTTCTCTTCCACAGGTCTTCTCCCCCTATAGCAGGCTAGCTTGGGTTCCTTCACACAGTGGTTTCAGTTTTCCAAGTGCAGCAAGAGAGCAAGCACCAATGTGCAAGTGACTTTAAAGCTTCTGCTTGCATCATGTTTGCTACTGTCCTGTTGACCAAAGCAAAAGTTTCATGACCAGCCTAGATTCCAGGGGTAGAAGAATAAACACCTCTCAAATGGGGGAAGCTGCATTGTTATGTTGGCGTGGTGTGAGTGCACAGCAGGGGAGAACTTGAAACCATTTTTACAATCCACCACACATGCTCAACATGTTTTCATTGCCACACAAATCATTTCTCACTGCTCACCTTTTCACAGTAGAAAGCTCGGATTGTGACGGTATTCCACATGTATTCCTGTCCTGACTGGGGCTGTGCTTGCTCAGGCCTTCTGAGTTCCCTGGGGCATGGACCGCCCCACCAATACTGCAACATGTGTACAATTAGAGGGTCCTGACTTGATGATAACAAATTTATGTGCCTTTTTTTCCTTATCTTTAAGATTGCCAACACTCCTGATAGCTGAATGTGTGCTGGTTTACATGACTCCAGAGCAGTCCGCAAACCTCCTGAAGTGGGCAGCCAACAGTTTTGAGAGAGCCATGTTCATAAACTACGAACAGGTAAAAGGAAGCACAGGAGAACTGGATTCCATACAGGATCGCCGTGGTGGCTTCCCTCTCCCAGCACCCTTAGGATAACTTCCCTTATCCTTTTCCTTCTGCCTCCAGCCTCTCACATATCTCCTTTATTCACCAACCAGCAATCTTAGTACTCCTGACCTCTTGACCTCCTGCAGACTTTTAGCCAGTTATTAGAACTTCTGTCTTAGCCTTTACAAAAGATTTTCAAGTTCTTATTTTTATCATTACATGTACCATGGAGTCATAGAACATGAGGAAGAGGATTTTGGCTACCAGCATTTTGGGGTAGCAACTCAGATGCTGTCAGGGACAGGCAGGTGGGGTCAGTGGAGGAAGTCAGCCAGGTGTAATAGTGTAGGGTTTGGGGACTGGTGAAACGGAGCACCCACGTCCCATCTCACAGGAGTGGCCACTGCCCATTTACAGCCAGTTGTTATCATGTAGGCATGTGAGCCTAGAGCTGCCAGAACTCCTGATTTTTGAAAGAAGTTGGAAATGCAGGATTTTAATGTAAAATATTCTAATTTCTAAAATTACCATGTATGATTTACCAGCTGCCTGTTTACTTCTTCTGATTTATTGCAGAAAAAGTTCTGCTTTAGAGCTTTGGAATAGCTTGGGTTGAATCCTGGCCCTGGCTTGTGCTCTCAGCTATGTGAACTTAGGCAGCACAGCTTAGTGATTGGGAGTCCATTCTCTGGAGTTGGGCGTTCCTGCTGTGTGACCTGGGCAAGTTACATAACCCCTCTGTGCCTGTTTCTTTCTTTCTTTTCTTTTCTTTTTTTTTTTCTTTTTAAGCCAGAGTTTCACTCTTATTGCCCAGGCTGGAGTGCAACAGCACACTCTCGGCTCACTGCAACCTCCGCCTCCTGGGTTCAAGCGATTCTCCTGCCTCAGCCTTCCAAGTAGCTGGGATCACAGGCGTGCACCATCACACCCAGCTAATTTTGTATTTTTAGTAGAGATGGGGTTTCACCATTTTGGCCAGGCTGGTCTCGAACTCATGACCTCAAGTGATCTGCCCATCTCGGCCACCCAAAGTGCTGGGATTACAGGCATGAGCCACCATGCCCGGCTGACCCTCTGTGCCTGTTTCTTCATCTGAAAATAATAGTCCCTACTTCATAGCATTGTTGTGAGATATAAATGAGTTAATGTATTCAAAAGCACTGACAGTGTTGCCCAACTGTAAGTAAGCATCAGCTATTTTTTGTTCTCTCTGAGCCCCAGTTCTTTGTTTTGAACTGGGTGGGTGCGGTGGCTCACGCCTGTGATCCCAGCACTTTAGGGAGGCCAAGGAGGGCAGATCTCCTGAGGTCAGGAGTTTTGAGACCAGACTGGCCAACATGGTGAAACCCTGTCTCTACAAAAAATACAAAAATTAGCCAGGCATGGTGGCGGACGCCTATAATCCCAGCTACTTGGGAGGCTGAGGCAGGAGAATCGCTTGAACCAGGGAGGCGGATGTTGCAGTGAGCCGAGACTGCACCACTACACTCCAGCCTGAGTGACCGAGCGAGACGCCATCTCAAAAAAAAAAAAAAAAGAAAGAAAGAAATACCCACTCTCCAGATTATTATGGGGATTCCTGAGATGATGGTCAGTGGCTTATCACATCATAAGCACTGATACATGCTCACTATTTTTATTGTTTATTGCTTTTTATTTATTTGTTTGTTTGAGATAGGGTCTCACTGTATCACCCAGGCTGGAGTGCAGTGGTGGGGATCATGGCTTACTGCAGCCTCGACCGCGGGCTCAGATGATCCTGCCAGGTCATCCTCCCAAGTAGCTGGGATCACAGGTGCACACCACCATGCCCAGCTAATTTTTAAATTTTTTTTGTAGGGACAGGGTTTCGCCATGTTGCCCAGGTTGGTCAGTTTTATTTTTTAAATCTCCTTTTCTTTTTTATTTTATCACACATAAGAGCCATCAGGGGACTTGCCCAGTGTCACGTAATTATGGACAGATCTAGGGCTAGCCCTTGGTCTCTCAGCCTCCTCCCCAGGTCCTTTCCTGCCCAGGTTCCTGTGTAGATGGTTCTCGATTGGTTGATTTTGCATCCTTCCCTCTCTTTAATTGGGAGCGCTCCTCAGACTCTGTCTTCTATCCTGATGGATGGATGTAATGGAAGCTGGCCTCACTGGTCTTTTCTTTTGATGTGAATAAATCCTGGAGACCCATCTTTGCTTTCAGGATAACCACATCTGGGGAAACATTCCACTGTCCATACTCCACATGTTTTGGATTTGTACTGCTGCTTTCCCTTTCCTTAGTTTGTGTATTCTTTTGTTGAACAAGTGTTTATTCAACATCATATGAGAGATGATGGATTCAGTGAATTCTGACCAGAGATCTTGTCACTTTGGAGCAAGCCTGGGAATGTGCCAGTTTTCAAAACGTTGTCCATAGCTGTCCCTAGACTGGTTCTGCTCCCACCCACCACCCTCACCTGGTGAATAATGAACATTTAAGTTAATTCAGTGGTTTCCTAACAAACGCAAAATGACCAGCACCCTCACAAACCATGTATTAATTGCTCACATGCTTTACATTGTTTGCTTTTCCTTTTTTTTGGTCTTTTTTTTTTTTAGAGACAGGGTCTCGTTCTGTCGCCCAGGCTGGAGTACAGTGGTGCCGTCATAGCTCACTGCAGTCTTGAGCTCCCAGGTTCAAGTGATCCTCCCACCTTAGTCTCCCATTAGTTAGGACTGTAGGTGCACACCACCACTCTTGACTTTATTTTTTTGGTAGAGACAGGGTCTTGCTATGTTGTCCAGGCTGGTCTCAAACTCCTGGCCTCAAGCAGTTCTCCAACCCCAGTCTCCCAAAGCCCTGGGACTGCAGGCATCAGCCACCATGCTCAGCTTGTTGCCTAATTAGTAGTTTAAGATGACAAAACTACATGGATGATAATAATTTCAATAATAATTCTAAAGCAGTGGTAGCAAATTCTTAGATTTTGCTTACTATATAGCAGGGACTATTCTATGAATTTTACATATATTAACTTATTTATTTATTTATTTATGTTTTGAGATGGAGTCTTACTCTGTCACCCAGGCTGGAGTGCAGTGGCACGATCTTGGCTCATTGCAACCTCCACCTCCCAGGTTCAAGAGATTCTCCTGCCTCAGCCTCCTGAGTAACTGGGATTACAGGCGTGTGCCACTATTCCTAGCTAATTTTGTATTTTTAATAGAGACAGGGTTTCATGTTGGCCAGGCTGGTCTCAAACTCCTGACCTCAAGTGATCCGCCCACCTCGGCCTCCCAAAGTGCTGGGATTATAGGCGTGAGCTACCGCACCCAGCCTTTTTTTTTTGAGACAGAGTCTCGCTCTGTCATCCAGGCTGGAGTGCAGTTGCGCAATCTCAGCTCACTGCAGCCTCTGCCTCCTGGGTTCAAGTGATTCTCCCGCCTCAGCCTCCTGAGTAGCTGGGATAACAGGCACGTGCCACTGCGCCTGGCTGATTTTTGTATTTTTAGTGGGGATGGAGTTTCACCATGTTGGCCAGGCTGGTATTGAATTCCTGGCCTCAAGTGATCCACCTGCCTCAGCCTCCCAAAGTGCTGAGATTACAGACATGGCCACCATGCCTGGCCTAAAGTGAGTTTTTGAAAAAGCAATAGTGTATATACTACAATGGTGTACACTAATATTGTTTCCTGGCCTTTTTCATATATAATTTTGGGTTTTTTAGATTAGTTTTTGTAATTTAAAAAGTAATACCATATGTAGAGTACAAAAATTAAAAATAGAACAGGGTAGACAAGGAAAAGTAAATCTCTCTCCTGCCCCAGACTTTGGTCCTCTAATCTGGGAAGCAAGGCTGCCACATTCCAGAATTTTTCTATGTACATAGAGAGATTCTTTTTTTCCTTGAAGACAGATGGGCTCATACTATCCATATTCCTCTGTACTTCACTTTTCAAGAGTTTACCCTAGAGGTCATTTCATGTCTATATCTGTCTTCTCTGTTTTCATGGCTATATATAATTTCATTATACAAACATGCCAGGAGTTATTTCCAGATTCTTCCTATTATACCTAATGCTGTGATAAACATTCTTGCATCTTAGCATACATGTGGGAGTGTGTCTGTAGGATAGATTGCTTTTGGTGGAATTGGTGGATCACAAGTTGAGCATTTAAAATGGTTGTATCCTGCCCAGTTTCCCTTCCAGGGCTACCCAAGTTTATGCTCCCGCCAGCACCGTGCTGGTGCCCGCCCCTCAGTCCGTTTCCTATGCTGGGTGTGCGTCATCAAGCGTCAGCCTCGGCTGCTTAAAAATAGGATGAATGATGTTTTATTTTGCATATTTAGGAAACCCTTAGAGTAATATCTTACCTTCTCTTTCCCTCCTAGGTGAACATGGGTGATCGGTTTGGGCAGATCATGATTGAAAACCTGCGGAGACGCCAGTGTGACCTGGCGGGAGTGGAGACCTGCAAGTCATTAGAGTCACAGGTCAGAGAGCAGGGACTGGGATATCCATTTGGACCCTTAGTCAACCAAGATATATAAAGGTCTTTCTTTGCAGATGTGATCATGGAGAAGCCCTGTTCAGTGCCTGTCAGCAGCACAGGCTGCTGAGCCTCCATGTGGGCCGCTAGTTCATGATGCTGGGAAGACCAAGTCCTGCTTCACCATCACATTTCCTACACCCTATTATTTTGACTTTGTATTACGCAAATTTTCAAACAAACATAAAGGTAGAGGGAATGGTGAAATAAACACACACGTCTCATCACCTAACTTCAGTATTTCTTATATTATCAGTGTTATTTCCTATATTCCCCCACAATTTTTTTGTAGATGTTGGAATATTTTCAGGCAAATCCCAGACAGCACATGATTTCACCCCTAAATACACATGTGAATCACCTTCCAATAAGGACTTTCTTCTCCCAGGATGATGATAATACCATTTCACAGATCATACAAGTTGACAACTCCTTCATAGCATTTAATGCCCAGTTCATGTTCAGTTTCCCCAGTTGTTTAAAAAACCTTTTTTTTATAGTTGATGTGTTTGAATCAGGATTTAAACATTGTCCACACTTTGCAGATGATTGATATGTCCCTTAAACCTCTTTGACTCTATGTTAATGCCCCCTCCCTTTAAAAAAGTCATCTATTTTTTCTCATAACACCTCCCACCCCGCCCCCATATAAGTAGGTTCATTTTTTTGGGCGGGCGCGGTGGCTCACACCTATAATCCCAGCACTTTGGGATGCTGAGGCGGGCGGATCACCTGAGTTCAGGAGTTCGACACTAGCCTGGCCAACATGGTGAAACCCCATCTCTACTAAAAATACAAAAATTAGCCGGGTGTGGTGGTGCACACCTGTAATCCCAGCTACTTGGGAGACTGAGGCAGGAGATTTGCTTGAACCTGGGAGATGGAGGTTGCAGTGAGCCAAAATCAAACTACTGTACTCCAGCCTGGGCAACAGAGTGAGCCTCCGTCTCAAAAAAAAATTAAATAAATAAATAGGTTCATTTTTACATATCTTTTGTCACATAACAATTAGAGTGCTTTAAAAAACTGTCACTCATAGAAAAGTTCTTCCTTTATTTCTCTTTGGAAGTACTTTAGTGAACTTCCCCCCATTATAACAATGCTTGTTCAATATGGAAAGTTGGAAAGTTAAAAAAAGGTGTTAGGGTCTAGGATGGGCTTTTGAGAAAGGAGTCGTCTCAGAGGAGGTCTGGTGTGCTTAAGAGCATTTCAGTACCAAGCACACTGGCTCACACCTCTCATCCCAGCACCTTGGGTGGCAGAGCGGGGAGGATCGCTTGAGCCCGGTGGGTCAAGGCTGCAGTGAGCTGTGATCACACCACTGCACTTCAGCCTGGGCAACAGAATGAGACCTTGTCTCTTTAAAACAAAACAGTGTCTTAGATTTGTAAGCCGGTGCCTGGTAGTTCTCTAGTTCTCCATTTCTCTTCGTTGCACATTTTAGAAAGAACGGCTCCTGTCGAATGGGTGGGAAACAGCATCGGCCGTCGACATGATGGAGTTGTACAACAGGTTACCTCGAGCTGAAGTGAGCAGGTATGGGGTTGGTGAGCGTCAGCTTGATGGGCATTCATTGTGAACTCAAGGCATGATTGCCTGTATTCTTTCATGCAGAAAAACAGAACAATATGTGGAGATTTCATTAAAAAACAAAAAACAAACAAACAAATAAAAAACAAGGCCAGGCACGGTGGCTCACACCTGTAATCCCAGCACTTTGGGAGGCATAGGCGGGCAGATCACTTGAGGTCAGGTCAGGAGTTCGAGACCGGCCTGGCCAACATGGTGAAACCTTGTCTCTACTAAAAATGCAAAAATTAGCCAGGTAGGGTGGTGCACATTTATAATGCCAACTACTTGGGAGGCTGAGCCGGGAGAATCACTTAAACCTGGGGCGGGGGCAGAGGTTGCAGTGAGCTGAGATCGTGCCGCTTCACTCCAGCCTGGGCAAAAGAGCAAAACTCTTGTCTCCAAAAATAAATAAAAATACAAAAATTAGCCGGGTGTGGTGGCACACATCTGTAATCCCAGCTACTAGGGAGGCTGAAGCAGGAGAATTACTTGAATCCAAGAGGCGGAGGTTGCAGTGAGCTGAGATGTGCAATTGTATCCAGCCTGTGCGACAGAGCAAGACTGCTTCTCAAAAAAACAAACAAACAAACAAACAAAAAAAAACCCCAAAAAACAAGACCCTAACTAGACCTATTTTGAAACAAGTTAAACACTGATAGCAGCTTGAAAGTAACTCATTAGCTATTAGCTGAGATAGGGCTTATGCCCAAACTGATTATTTTAGTGAAAACAAGCAATGACACCTGGAAAACTCCCAGAGCAACCTTGGCAGTGGAAATTTTACATAATCCCTGCTTTGGAGAGGGAGGAAAACGACGTTGTTCAAGGACGTATAAGGGGCTGGCGGGTTTTTAAATGGACTTTTCTCCCCATTATAAAGGAAATCTATGCTTCTTGTTCTAAAAAGTTCCTCAAGCATTCTAAAGTGCATGAAGTATAAAGTAGTTGTCCATTCTGTAGTCACACCTGGGAGGTAGCAGTTCTTAACATATTGGGGAATATTCTTTTCCTACATAGATAGATAAATATTTATTGATACATAGATTTCTATTTTTTGAATCTGTGGATTCATACTACACATACTGGTCTGTAAACCACCATCCTTTTTGAAAACAATAGATTGTATTTGCCTTTACATATCAAAATATTGAGGGTTGCCATATCCCATTTAAGGGTACATAGGGCCAGGTGCGGTGGCTCACACCTGTAATCCCAGCACTTTGGGAGCCCAAGGCAGGTGGATCACCTGAGGTTAGGAGTTCGATACCAGCCTGGCCAACATGGTGAAACCCTGTCTCTACTAAAAATACAAAAAATTAGCTGGGCATGGTGGCGGGCGCCTGTAATCCCAGTTACTTGGGAGGCTGAGGCAGAAGAATTGCTTGAACCTGGGAGGCGGAGGTTGCAGTGAGCCGAGGTAGCACCATTTGTACTCTGGCCTGGGCAACAAGAGCGAAACTCTGTCTCAAAAAAAAAAAAAATAGGGTACATAGTATTTATATTGATTTACGCAGATACAGTATATTGATGATAATTTTTAAGTAATTAAAAATGTCTGTAGCTGGGCATTTAGTTGCGGTGTCTTGTTTATTCATCATGTTTTCATTTGCCTGTTATAAACAACACTGGAGAGAACATCACCAACGTGCATCTGTGTACAGCGCTAGTGCGCACTTCAGCTCTTTTTTTTGTAATCACTCTGTGCTTCCTGATTCATGCTTCCTTCTTGCCTTTGGAGACCTAAGATCAATAGCCTTTGGTCTCTTACAAGATCATGAGAAGAATTTTGGCTTTGCTTTTCCATATAACTTATTAACATTTAGGCATATCACTGTTTTTCCCAAATATGTACATGAATAATTGGCAATGAAAGCCTAGAGGGTTTGAGAAAGTGCTGTCTCCACGTGATCAGGTCAATGCTTCCTGGATTCTTCCAGAAGCATCCTTCCCCACAGGCTGGTTTTCATTTGCTACATGTCAAGACGACTGTTTTGAACATCCCTGATCTGGCCCCTGAAATGGGGATGCTCTGGCACTGCTTCTAGATGCCCAGAAAGGAGCCTCTGACTAGCATCAACCACAAGGAAAGTCTCTTGCCTCCAGGCAGTCATTTGTCTCATGTTTCCAGGACCTTCTGTAGATAGCAGCGTGTAACCCTCACGGGGGAGGCGGGTAAGGAGATTGGAAGGCCTTTGTCTATGCCAGGTCGAACAGCCTTTCCAGCTCTGTGAATGCCACGTAGTTTGTATCTGCTTTTGCCGGAAACTGTAGAGTATAATAGGAAGTCTAAGGCGAGCCTGTTCATTGAACAAATGCTGAGTTGAGTGTCTGCTGTGTGCCCGGCACTTTTCTAAGCACCAGAGATACAGCAATGATCAAAACAGGACAAAAGACATTCCTGCCCTTGGGAGTGCTCATTCTAGTGAACAGCTTAATAATTAGTAGTGTCTCCTGATAGCTGTTCTTGGTAATAACCATCCTGGAGCCTTCAGTATGGTACTGGATTTTTCTAGAACTTGGTATCAGATCTGCTTTGGATGTCTCCTGGTAGAATGACTTGGGAAACAACCACATTACTTTATGTGTAGGCATTCTTACTTCAGATTTGGTCCTGAAGCCTGCATACCAAGACGGGAATGAACTCACAAATACAGAAACATGCACAGACACACACGTGTTCACACCTGGGTGTACGTGCACACATATAACAGACAAGGCCTGGGCAACTGGCAGGATTCATATGTTAGCAGTGGCTATTGTGAATAGTAGGAATATGGATCCTGTTTCTTTTTTTATTTTATTCTGTATACTTTTTGAAAATGCCGGACTTTTCCTCCATAGTGTGTACCTATTTTGACAGAAACTTTTTTTTTGTTTTTTTTTGATAGAGATGGAGTCTTGCTATGTTGCCTAGGCTGGTCTCAAACTCTGGGCCTCAAGTGATTCTCCCACCTTGGCCTCCCAAAGCTCTGGCATTAGAGGCGTGAGCCACTGCTCCTGGCAAACAGAAACTTTTTTAAAACGCTATTTCCATATGTTTGTGCATGTTTCTCTGTGTGTGTATATAGTTATTTATTTTTATTTTTTTGAGACCGAGTCTCGCTCTGTCACCAAGGCTGGAGTACAGTGGCGCGATCTCTGCTTACTGCAACCTCCGCCTTCCAGGTTCAAGCAATTCTCCTGCCTCAGCCTCCCAAATAGCTGTGACTACAGGTGGGCACCACCATGCCAGGCTAATTTTTGTATTTTTAATAGAGATGGGGTTTCACCATGTTGGCCAGGCTGGTCTCGAACTCCTGACCTCAGGAGATCCACCCACCATGGCCTCCCAAAGTGCTGGGATTACAGGCGTGAGGCACTTCACCCAACCTGTGTATGTATGTTTAAAAGTTTACATTTAAAAGGCTTTTTGGGAAAAGTCATACATGCATATAATTTTTTACAAAACCAAAATGAAGTAGTATAGAGTAAAAACAACCCTCCTCACTACTGGTCTACTACCTTCTCTCTTAAGAGACAACTACCATTTCTAGTTTCTTCTGTATTTTCCAAAAGTCTGTACATATACAGACAAATTTGTCTCACTTTTTCTTTACATAGAGAGTGGTGTAATATGCACATTACTTGCTTTTTAAATTACGCAACTTGCTTTTTAAATTCCATGATATATATGTCTTGGAGGTTATTGCATATTAATACGTATGGACCTACCCCATTTTTAAAAATGGCTGCATAGTGTCCTGTTTTGACAGTATGAATCTGCTTCAATTTACTCTGCCTGTCTCCTCCAGTTGCCACTAGTTTTTCTTACTGAAGTTTAACAGCTCTTTATATAATAAGGAACTCAGCCCTTTGCCACTTGAATTGCAAATATATGTTTCTAGTTTGGCATTTGTATTTTGACTTTGTTTATGGTATTTTTTCTTCTTTTCAGTGAAAAGACATTAAAATGGAGCCACACCATAATTACTATTTTATAGCCGCCTTCTTTCCACTTAATCTATCATAAACATTTTTTCATATCCGTAGCTATGGGCCATGATCTTCATTTTCAATGCAGACACTTGCATCGTTCTATTTTAATTCTTTCCACAGGATAGAATCACTTGAATTCCTGGATGAAATGGAGCTGCTGGAGCAGCTCATGCGGCATTACTGCCTTTGCTGGGCAACCAAAGGAGGAAATGAGCTTGGTGCGTGATTGTACTTTTCTTGCCTTGACCTGGAAATAGTGAACTTTTCTTTTTCCTATTCTTTCCCTTTCTCTTTCTGTTTTTTGTCTTCCCTCTTTCTCTCTCTGTCCCTTCTTTCTTGTTTTGAGACAGGGTCTCGCTCTGTCACCCAGGCTAGAGTGCAGTGGCACGGTCATAGCTCATTGCAGCCTTCAATTCCTGGGCTCAAGTGATCCTCCTGCCTCCTGAGTAGCTGGGACTACAGGAGCCTGGCTAATTTTCTGTAGAGGTCTCTCTAAGGCTGGTCTTGAATTCCTAGCCTCAAGTAGGCTGGGCGCGGGGTCTCACACCTGTAATCCCAGCACTTTGGGAGGCTGAGGTGGGCAGATCACTTGAGGTCAGGAGTTTGAGACCAGCCTGGCCAACATGATGAAACCCCGTCTCTACTAAAAATACAAAAAAAAAAAAAATAGCCAGGCGTGGTGGCAGGCACCTGTAATCCCAGCTACTTGGGAGGCTGAGGCAGGAGAATCACTTGTACCTGGGAGGTGGAGGTTGCAGTGAGCCGAGACTGCACCATTGCACTCCAGCCCGGGCAAGAAGAGCGAAACCCTGTCTCAAAAAATAAATAAATAAAGAATTCCTGGCCTCAAGCAATCCTCTTGCCTCAGCTTCCCAAAGTGCTGGGATTACAGGCATGAGCCACTGTGCCTGGCCGGAACTTTTCTTCTTCCCAAAATGAAAGATGTATTTGGAACTTTGGGCCCAGAAAGAACTAGAGGATGATGTACATGTATCCGTGAGCATATCCAGAGAACTTGCTGTTATATCTTTTGTGCTTTTATAGCACAAAAACCAAGAGAACTGTTTAAGCCTTGTAGCCCAAAACAACCCTTGAGAGATGTACTGTGGAGTTCCCACAGCTGGAAGGTAAAAGAGCTTGAGAGTTTAAAAATCTCTAGAAAAGTAACCGGCGTTTGTCTTTTCCATCCACTTACAACCAGGTTCACTGGATGTTAAACGCACAGATCAGTACATCTTGCTTACAAACCCATGCAGCTAGGGGCTGAATTTTCCCTCTTCTCATTAAGGTGCACATGCCTGTCTGTGGCCGAGTAGGGCCACGGAGAACAGGCGTGGATCTATCTCTGTTTCTTGTTACCTTTGTCCTGGTCCAGCTCCTTTTCAGCTGCCCCCTGCTGGGCTTGCCTCCCCCAGTGGTTAGGCTTTGAGTGTCTCTCCAGCCCGATGGAGGCCACTTTAGATCCCAGTTCCGGCCTTCAGTGGAATAGCTGCCCTTCAAGCTTCCCGCAGATGTAATCCACATGACATGTGGTCACAAGCGGGCAGCTGATCCGAAACAGAACTTGACAGAGGCAAGGACCATTCCCTATGCAAAAATTCCAGGTTGACATGAGACTGATAATCAGCCCCTTTGGACCTGTCATTCCACACAGATTTGCCTAGCTATGCAGCTCAGCCCACACAATCCTTTCACATTTGTTTTGTTTGGTTTTGGTTTTTGTTTTTTTTTGGCTTTTTTTTTTTTTTTTTTTTTTTTTTTTTTGAGATGGAGTCTTGCTCATTGTCCAGGCTGGAGTGCAGTAGCATGATCTCGTCTCACTGCAACCTCCGCCTCCTGGGTTCAAGTGATTCTCCTGCCTCAGCCTCCTGAGTAGCTGGGATTACAGGCGTCCACCACCATGTCCAGCTAATTTCTGTATTTTTGGTAGAGATGGGGTTTCACCATGTTGGCCAGGCTGGTCTCGAACTCCTGACCTTAAGTGATCTGCCTGGCTCGGCCCCCCAAAGTGCTGGGATTATAGGCATGAGCCATTGTGCCTGGCCTTCACATTCCTTTTGGATTTAAAGTCATTTATTGTGAATTGAGCGCAGTGGCTCATGCCTGTAATCCCAGCACTTTGGGAGGCTAAGGCAGGCAGATCACCTGAGGTCAGGAGTTCGAAACCAGCCTGGCCAACATGGTGAAATCCCGTCTCTACTAAAAATACAAAATTTAGCTGGGCGTGGTGGCACATGCCTGTAGTCCCAGCTACTTGGGAGGCTGAGGCAGGAGAATCTCTTGAACCCGGGAGGCAGAAGTTGCAGTGAGCTGAGATGGCACCACTGTACTCCAGCCTGGGCAACAGAGCGCGACTCTGTCTCCAGAAAAAAAAAAAAGTCACTTATTGGGGTATTTGTATGTTATCCTCCTCTTAATTATATTAAAAAATACTTCTTAGTAGGAAACTTAAAAGCTTCTAAAAAGTATGACTAAGAAAATCCACCTGTATGCCTGTCAGTCAGAGATGACCTCTTGTGACTTTTCCCTTCCCCTCTATTTCTAAATAGTGTTTTGTTTGTTTTTATAATAAGAGTTGAATTTTTATATTTATGCAACTTTGATTTCAAGTGTTTTCAATTTAATGTTATAACATTAGCATTTCCCCCTGGCAATTAAAAATGCTCAATGAGCATAATTGTAATGGCTTTATAATATTGTATTATGTCACTATGGCTGAATTAATATTTCCATATTTTTGGAAATGTAGGTTATTTGTAATACTTTTAAGTGAACTCTAGTTCTCACAAAGGAACAATATATTGAGCATTTTAATGTCAGGAATTTACTTTGTCCCCACTGACCCGTGACTGCTTTGGGACATCAGTGCTTGTCTGTGTGTGTGGAAGATCCGTATCTGCCTTTGCTCAAAGTTCAGCACATAAAGGGTAGATTTTTGGCGTTAACTGCAGACAGTCCATAAACTGTTATAATGTTTTCTTAATCATTTTAAAACCACCCATAAACACAGTCTTACCCAACCTTTTGTTTCCTTGCGAAACCTCATTTTATGTAGCAGGAGGGCGGTGCTACAGTGGTCAGCAGTGTGGCTGGTGCCCCTGAGCCGGTCACTGGGGGTCCTCTAGGGGCCTCTGCTCCTGGCCACCAGAGTCTCCTAATGGTGTCTGTGTGTCTCTCCCCTCAGGGCTGAAGGAGATAACTTATTAATCTGTCGAAGGCTTATGCCGAGCCAGAAGCCGAAGCCACTTGCCCTCCTGGAGGAGACCTGCAAGCTCCCTGAGCGGTGGGCGGGCCTCGTCCGCAGGTCTCATCCCACACTCTTGAGAAGCCTTGGTCACTACAGTGGTCGCACATGTTCCTCTTCCTGTTCCTGTTGACATGTCGTTGTTTAAATAAATCTCACTTGCCACCAGTCGCCTGTGGTTGGACCTCTGCTGGCTGCCGCTGCTCGTTCCGTGCCCCATGGCTTGGGCGGGCCAGGGTTCACCTCTGTGTTAGCTAAAGCCAAGGACCCCAAGTCTGCTTTGACCTTGGCTTACTCCCTGTGAGTCACACCCGGCCCATGACCTTGAGTCCATTTTAGGATCTACTCCCTCACATGCTGTTTGTTGCAGCACATGACATTGTGCCTCACTCCCTGACCCTTGTCCTCCACCAGATGTGAGGCTAGTGCTCTTCTCGGGCTCCTGTCTCCGCCCTGGCCACACTGGCCTGCTCAGTTGCCTCCTTCATCTTGGTCATGGTGGCAGGCTGAAGAATGGCCCCTAAAGTGTCCATGTCCTGATCCCCAGAACCTGTGAGTGTGTGTTACCTTCTGTGGCAAAGGGGCTTTGCAAATGGGATTAGGGGTTTGAGATGAAGAGGTGGTCCTGGGTTATCCAGGTGGGCCTGATAGGATCACGGGGTCCTCATTAGAGGGACAGACGAGGCGTCAGAGTCAGAGGGGCCCAGACAAGAAGCAGGGGCAACCAGGGGATGCTACCTAGGGCAATAGCAGCAGACCCTCCCTTGGCCTCCAGCTGGAACTGCCTGCCAACACCTTGATGTTAGCCCAGAGAAATCGATTTCAGATTTCTCACCTCCAGAGCCGTAAGAGAATACATCTGTGGTGGTGGTTTTTTTTTTTTTTTTTTCTTTTTTTTAGATGGAGTCTTGCTCTGTTGCCCAGGCTTGGAGTGCAGTGGCGCGATCTCGGCTCACTGCACCCTCTGCCTCCCGGGTTCAAGTGATTCTTCCGCCTCAGCCTCCCAAGTAGCTGGGATTACAGGTGCATACCATCATGCCTGTCTAATTTTTGTATTTTTAGTGGAGATAGAGTTTCACCATGTTGGCCAGGCTGGTCACGAACTCCTGACCTCAAGTGATCCGCCCGTCTTGGCCTCCCAAAGTGCTGGGATTACAGGCATGAGCCTCTGTGCCCAGACTGATCTGTGGTGTTTTGAGCCACCAAGTTGGGGGCTTAAACTTACAGCCACAACTAGAAGTCAATGCAGTTATGAGACAGGTTCATAGGGCCCCTGAGTGATGACCTCATATTTCAGAAACATAAGGCTTGTCCCATACCTGTCTGCTGAACTCCCTGAGTGATGGGTAGACCTTGTCTACAGGGACTTCTTAAGTTATGTGACTGGCGCTGCGAGCCTGAACCTGCATGTGCAGGGTGGCACTGCAGAAGTCCCCAGCGCTCTCCTCTGCTGGAGAGGTAACAGCCTCTCTTCTACCATTCAGAATCCTTAAATCAGTGTCCCCTAGAGTGTGGGCCCTGCACCTCTAGTGGCATGCCAGTTGATGGGATGTGTTCCTATCAATAAATACCTGTGATAAAATGTATAAATTAGGTGCAGTAAGACTAGCAACAATTTAAAAAAGAACAACTATAGCAATATGTTAAGGTTATGTGAATGTGGTCTTTGAAGATATCTTAACTGGCCGAGTGCAGTGGTGCACGCCTGTAATCCCAGCACTTGGGGAGGCCAAGACAGGTGGATCCTGAAGTCAGGAGTTCGAGACCAGCCTGGCCAACATGGTGAAACCCCCCCCCCACCGCCCCGCCGCCTGTAATTCCAGCTCTTTGGGGGGCTGAGATGGGCAGATCACAAGGTCAGGAGTTCAAGACCAGCCTGGCCAACATGGTGAAACCCTGTCTCTACTAAAAATACAAAAAAAAAAAAAAAAAAATCCGGGCTTGGTGGCAGGCATCTGTAAGGCAGGAGAATTGCTTGAACCCAGGAGGCAGAGGTTGCAGTGAACCGAGATTGCGCCACTGCACTCCAGCCTGGATGACAGAGCAAGACTCCATCTTGGAAAAAAAGAAAATATCTTAGCTATACTCACTTATTTTTGGACCTCAACTGACCTCAGGTAACGGAAACCTTGGAAAACAAAACCACAGGAAAGGGGTAACTCTGGTATATGTATAGCATTAGCAGAAACAATGTTTACTTTTTTTATTGAGACGGAGTCTTGCTCTGTCACCTAGCCTGGAGTGCAGTGGCGCGATCTCAGCTCACTGCAAGCTCCACCTCCCGGATTCACGCCATTCTCCTGCCCCAGCTTCCCAAGTAGCTGGGACTACAGGAGCCCGCCACCATGCCCAGCTAATTTTTTTTGTGTTTTTAGTAGAGATGGAGTTTCACCACGTTAGGCAGGATGGTCTCTATCTCCTGACCTCGTGATCCACCTGCCTCGGCCTCCCAAAGTGCTGGGATTACAGGCGTGAGCCGCCGTGCCTGGCCCCACAATGTTTACTTTTTGTTGTTGTTGTTTTCAGAAAGGGTCTTGCCCCATCTCCCAGGCTGGAGTGCAGTAGTGCAGTCATAGCTCTCTGCAGCCTCAACCTCCTTGGGCTCAAGTGATCCTCCTTCCTCAGCCTCCTGAGTAACTGAACCACAGGCACACACCAGCAAGCCTGGCTATTTTTAACTTTTTTTGTGGAGACAGGGTCTCCCTATGTTGCCAGGGGTGGTCTTGAACTCGGGTTCAAGTGATCCTCCCATCCGTCCTATTCCAAATTTGATATTGAAATTAGGCCAGTTAATAACCCTACAATGGCCTCTACATGCTCAAGTGAAAGGAAGAGTCACAAAGAGTCACATGCCTTTCACTTTAAATCAAAGCTGGAAATGATTAAGCTTGGTGAGGAAGGCACGTCAAAAGCTGAAATAGGGTCGGCTGTGGTGGCTCATGCCTGTAATCCCAGCACTTTGGGAGGCCGAGGTGGGCGGATCACCTGAGGTCAGGAGTTTGAGACCAGCCTGGCCAACATAGTGAAACCTCATCTCTACTAAAAGTACAAAAATTAGCCTGGTGTGGTGGCAGGCGCCTGTAGTCCCAGCTACTTGGGAGTTTGAGGCAGGAGAATCGCTTGAACCTGGGAGGCAGAGGTTGCAGTGAGCGAAGATGGCACCACTGCACTCCAGCCTGGGTGACAGAGTGAGACTCCATCTGAAAAAAAAAAAAAAAAAAAAAAAAACTGAAATAGGCCGAAAGCTAGACCTCTTGTGCCAAACAGCCAAGTTGTGAATGCAAAGGAAAAGTTCTTGGAGGAAATGAAAAAGTGCTACTCCAGTGAACACATGAATGATAAGAAAGCGAAACTGTATTATTACCGATATGGAGAAAGTTTGAGCGGTCTGTATAGAAGATCAAACCAGCCACAACCTTCCCTTAAGCCAAAGCCTAATCGAGAGCAGGGCCCTAACTCTCTTCAATTATGTGATGGCTGAGAGAGGAGAGGAAGCTGCAGAAGAAAAGTTGGAAGCTAGCAGAGGTTGGTTCCTGAGGTTTAAGGAAAGAAGCCGTCTCCATAACATAAAAGTGCAAGGTGAAGCAGCAGGTGCTGATGGAGAAACTGAAGCAAGTTGTCCAGAAGATCCAGCTGAGATCATTGATGAAGGAAGGTGGCTACACTAAACAACAGATTTTCAATGTAGGCAAAACAGCTTTCTCTTGCAAGAGGATGCCATCTAGGACTTCCAAAGCTAGAGAGGAGAATTCAATGCCTGGCTTCAAAACTTCATAGGAAAGCCTGACTTCTTAGTGTCTAGTATGAAATGCAGCTGGTGACATTAAGTTAAGGTCAGTGCTTATTTACCATTCTGAAAATCCTAGGGCCCTTAAGAATTATGCTAAATCCACTGGGTGCAGTGGGTCATGCCAAGGCAGGCGGATTGCTTGAGGCCAGGAGTTCGAAACTAGCCGAGCCAACATGGTGAAACCCCATCTTTACTAAAAAATACAAAAATTAGCTGGGTGTGGTGGTGCATGCCTGTAGTCCCAGCTACTTGGGAGGCTGAGGCACGAGGATTGCTTGAACCTGGGAGGTGGAAGTTGCACTGAAGCAAGATTGTGCCACTGCACTCCGGTTTGTGTGACAGAGTGAGACTCTGTCTCAAAAAAAAAAAAAAAAGGTGCCAAATCTGTGTGCTATAGAAATGGAACAACAAAGCCCAGGTGACAGCACATCTGATTACGGTGTGGTTTACTGAGTATTTTAAGGCCATTGTTGACACCTACTACTGAGAAAAAAAATTACTTTCAAAATATTATTGCTTATTGACAGTGCACCTGGTCACCAAAGAACTCTGACAGAGATGTGCAAGGCGATGAATGCTGTTTTCATGCATGCTGACACAACATTCATTCTGCAGCCCCACGGATCAAGGAGTAATTTTGACTTTCAAGTCTTACTATTTAGAAATGTATTTTGTAAGGCCAGGTGCAGTGGCTCACGCTTGTAATCCCAGCACTTTGGGAGGCCGAGGTGGGTGGATCACAAGGTCAAGAGTTCCAGACCAGCCTGGCCAATATGGTGAAACCCCGTCTCTACTAAAAATACATAAATTAACCCGGCGCAGTGGCGGGCGGCAGTAGTCCCAGCTACTTGGGAGGCTGAGGCAGGAGAATCGCTTGAACTTGGGAGGCAGAGGTTGCAGTGAGCCAAGATCACGCCACTGCACTCCAGCCTGGGCGACAGAGTGAGACTCCATCTCAAAAAAAAAAAAAATAATAATGAAATACATTTTGTAAGGCTGTAGCCACCATAGGTAGTGATTTCTCTGATGGATCTGGGTAAAGTACATTGGAAACCTTCTGAAAAGGATTCACCATTCTAGATGCCATTAAGAACATTAGTAGCCGAGCACGGTGGCTCATGCCTGTAACCCCAGCACTTTGGGAGGCCGAGATGGGCAAATCATTTGAGGTCAGGAGTTCAAGACCAGCCTGGCCAACATGGTGAAACCCCCTTCTCTACTAAAAATGCAAAAATTAGCCGGGTGTGGTGGGACATGCCTGTAATCCCAGCTATTGAGGAGGCTGAGGCAGGAGAATTGCTTGAGCCCGGGAGGCGGAGGTTGCAGTGAGCCGAGATCACGCCATTGCGCTCCAGCCTGGGCCACAGAGCTAGACTCCGTCTCAAAAAAAAAAAAAAAAAAAAAATTAGTAATGCATGGGAGGAGGTCGAAATATCAACCTTAATGGGTTTGGATGAAGTTGATTCCAGCCCTCATGGATGATTTTGAGGCATTTAAGACTTCAGTAGAGGAAGGAATTGCAGATGTGGTGGAAATAGCAAGGTAACTAGAATTAGGAATGGAGCATAAAGATGTGACTGAATTGCTGCAATCTCATGATCAGACTTCAACGGATGAGGAATTGCTACTTATGAATGAGCAGAGAAAGTGGTTTCTTGAGATAGAATCTACTCCTACATCCTTGAAGATGCTGTGAACATTGTTGAAATGACAATAAGGGATTTAAGATGTTACACAAATTTAGTTGATAAAGCAGCAGCAAAGTTTAAAAGGAATGACTCCAATTTTGAAAGAAGTTCTACTGTGAGTAAAATGCTGTAAAACAGCCTCTCTCGCCACAGAAATCTTTCGGGAAAGGAAGAGTCAACCAATGAGGCAAACTTCATTGTTGTCTGCACAGCCATTCACTGATCTTTCAGTAACCACCACCCTGCTCAACCAGCAACCATCAACATCAAAGCAAGACTCTCCACCAGCCAAATGATGATGACTTGCTGAAGGCTCAGATGATCATTAGCATTTTTAAAGCAATAACGTATTTTTAAAGTAAGGCATGCACATCTTAAAGACATAATACTATTGCACACGTAATAGAATACAGTATAGCATAAACATAACATTTATATGCACTGGGAAACCAAAAAATTCATGTGATATTCACTTTATTGAGATGATCTGGAACTAAACCTGCAATATCTCTCAGATATTCCTGTACGTGAAATCTTTCGAAAGAACAATATTTGTTCTTTTTTTCTTTTCTTTTCTTTTCTTTTTCTTTTTCTTTTTTTTTTTTTTTGAGATGGAGTCTTGCTCTTGTTGCCCAGGCTGGAGTACAATGGTGCGATCTCTGCTCACTGCAACCTCCGCCTCCCAGGCTCAAGCGATTCTCCTGCCTCAGCCTCCCGAGTAGCTGGGACTACAGGTGCACAACACCGCACCCAGCTAATTTTTGTATTTCCAGTAGAGACGGGGTTTCACCATGTTGGCCAGACTGGTCTCGAACTCCTGACCTCAGGTGATCTGCTTGCCTTAGCCTCCCAAGGTGCTGGAATTATAGGCGTGAGCCACCACGCCCGGCCTGGATTTCTTATATATAAGATCATGACAGACATAATGTTACTTCTGTGCCATTTTGGATGCCTTCTCTTTGTTTTTCTTGCACAATTTCTCTGTCTACCTTCAATCCGATATTGAATAGAAGTAGTAAAAAGTGGACATCCTTGTCTTATGCCTGCTATTGGAGAAAAAGCTTTTAGTCTTTCGTTGTTGAGTATGATATTAGCTGTGGGTTTTTTTATATGGTCAGGTTGTGTATGGTGGCTCCTGCCTGTAATCCCAGCAGTTTGGGAGGCTGAGGTGGGAGGATTGCTTGAGGTCAGGAGTTTGAGATCAGTCTGGGCAACATAGGAAGACTCTTTGTTTACAAAAAACTAAAAAATTAGCTGGGCATGGTGGTGCATGCCTAGCTACTTGGAGGCTGAGGCAGGATGATAGCTTGAGCCCGGGAGTTTGAGGTTACAGTGAGTAATGATCATGCCACTGCCCTCCAGCCTGGACAACATAGCAAAATCCTGCCTCATAAATAAATAGTCTTTATTATATTGAATTAATTTCCTATTTCTAATTTCGTTGAGTGCTTTTTAAATCATGAAAGGATATAAATGTTCTCAAATTTTTGTTTATATCAATTGAGATGATTGTGTGTGTGTGTGTTTTTTTTTCCCCTTTGGTTAATGTGGTACATTACATCGGTTGATTTTTGTACATTGGGCCACTCCAGGAATAATTCCACTTGGTCATGGCATATAATTCTTTTAATATACTGCTGAGTTCAGTTTGCTAGAATACCAAAAAAAGCCAGGCGTGGTGGCAACATGCCTATCATCCAGCTACTGAAGAGGCTGAGGTGGAAAGATCACTTGAGCTGGGGAGTTGGAGGCTGCAGTGAGCCGTGATCAAGCCACTGAACTCCACGCTGAGCGACAGTTTTCTAGAATTTTCGTTGAGGATTTTTGTATCCATCTTTTTTATTATTGTTGTTGAGACAAGGTCTCACTCTGTCGCTCAGCATGGAGTTCAGTGGCTTGATCACGGCTCACTGCAGCCTCCAACTCCCCAGCTCAAGTGATCTTTCCACCTCAGCCTCTTCAGTAGCTGGGATGACAGGCATGTTGCCACCATGCCTGGCTTTTTTTGATATTTTTTCTGTAGAGATGAGGTTTCGCCATGTCGCCCAGGCTGGTCTCAAACTCCTGAACTCAAGCAATCTGCCTGCCTCAGCCTCCCAAAGTACTGGCATTACAGGCTTGAGCCACCACAACCAGCCTAGTAATGTTCTTTTCTTTTTTGAGACAGAGTCTCACTCTGTTGCCCAGGCTGGAGTGCAGTGACACAATCTTGTTCACTGCAACCTCCACCTTCAAGGTTCAAGCGATTCTCGTGCCTCAGCCTCCTGAGTAGCTGGGATTACAGGCATGTGCCACCACGCCCGGCTAATTTTTTTTTTTCGAGATGGAGTTTCACTTTTGTCACCCAGGCTGGAGTGCAATGGCACCATCTTGGCTCACTGCAACCTCTGCCTCCTGGGTTCAAGTGATTCTCCTGCCTCAGCCTCCTGAGTAGCTGGAATTACAGGCGCCCGCCACCACGCCTGGCTAATTTTTTGTATTTTTAGTAGAGACGGGGTTTCACTGTGTTGGCCAGGCTGGCCTCAAACTCCTGACCTAGTGATCCACCCGCCTTGGCCTCCCAAAGTGCTGGGATTACAGGCGTGAGCCACCATGCCTGGCCAATTTTTGTATTTTTAGTAGAGACGGGGTTTCACCATGTTGGCTAGGCTGGTCCTGAACTCCTGATCTCAAATGATCCACCTGCCTCGGCCTCCCAAAGTGCTGCTGGGATTACAGGCGTGAGCAACTACACCCGGCCTCAATCTTTATATGAGATATTAGTCTGTAATCTTCTTCCAGGGTCTTCATTTAGCTTTGGTACTGGGGCCATGCTTTTAGAATCAGTTAGGAAGTGTTTCCTCCTTTTTCTTTTTTCTTTTGAATTAGTTTGAGAAGAATTGGTATTAATTAAACATGCATTCGCTGCATGTGTGTGGAGTGTCCTGCACATGTCTGTTAGGTCCAGTTTGTTCACAGTGTTGTTCCTGTCCTCTGTTTCCTTATTCATCTTCTCTCTAGCTGTTCTCACCATAGGCTTCAGACTCCAAAGCTTATCTGAGACCTTGATCTTTTTTCTTTTTTTCTTTGAGGCAGAGTCCTGCTCTGTCACCCAGGGTGGAGTGCAGTGGCACAATCTCAGCTCACTGCTACCTCTGCCTCTCGGGTTCAAGCAATCCTCCCACCTCAGCCTCCCTAGTAGCTGGGATTACAGGCAAGCGCCACCATGCCGAGCTAATTTTTGTATTTTTAGTAGAGATGGAGTTTCTCCATGTTGACCAGGCTGGCCTCGAACTCCTGACCTCAGGTCATCCACCCGCTTTGGCCTCCCAAAGTGCTGTGATTACAGGTGTGAGCCACCGTGGCCGGCCTGAAACCTGGATCTTAACCCTAATTAACCAAACAGAGGGAAAAGTCTGATGTCTCCTAGATGGAATTCCCAGGAGCCTATCTTAACCTCCTCTTAGGTGACTCACCAGCTTCTCAAACAACATTTCTAAAACCAAATACATCTTTCCCCCTCTCCTAAATAACTTTACTTTTCTTTTCTTTTTTTTTTTTTGAGACGGAGTTTTGCTGTGTCACCCAGGCTGGAGTGCAGTGGTATAGTCTCAGCTCACTGCAGCCTCCACCTCGCAGGTTCAAGCGATTCTCTTGCCTCAACCTCTGAGTAGCTGGAATTACAGGCATGAGTCACCACATCCAGCTAATTTTTGCATTTTTAGTAGAGATGAGGTCTTGCCATGTTGGCCAGGTTGCTCTCGAACTCCTGACCTCAGGTGATCCACCCTCCTTGGCCTCCCAAAGTGCTGGGATTACAGGCATGAGCCACCACGCCTGGCCCTAAATAGCTCTTCTTTAATGAGCTTTGAATTCCTTCCCAGCAGGACCTCCACTCCACTCAGCATCCTCAGAGTCATCGACTCCTTGCTTCTCCTTGTTCTCCTCACTGGCTAGGAGGCCATGTTTGGTTCCTTTTCCTCAATCAGCGTGTTTATCATAACTGTCTCTACTGTACTGCTGCCACCCAGACTCAGTCTTCTGTCTCACAAGAATCTTTTTGGCCTTTGTTCTCAGCCTCCTGCATTCCTGTAGACAACAAACCTGTCCCCTGAAGCCCTGAGCACATCATTCCAGTGACCAAAGACTGTCAAAGCTGCCTCTTTGCTTAATGCCTGAACGCCCAACTCTTAACAAGGCAAGGAAGATGCTCTGTGATTGGGCCTCATCTTACATGTAGTCTTATTTTCTAGTCAAAAAACCAGGTGCCGCCAGGCTGTATCTAATGCCAGCCTCTCTCCTTGGCCTGTGCTTTCCCCAGAGTTCATGCCTGCAACCCTGCCCACCTTCAAAGCCCACCCCAAATGCAAACTTCCTTGACCCTTTCATTTTTTTTTTTTCCTCGAGATGGAGTCTTGCTCTGTTGCCCAGGCTGGAGTGCAATGGCATGATCTCAGCTCACTGCAACCTCTGCCTCCCAGGTTCAAGCAATTCTCCTACCTCAGCCTCCTGAGTAGCTGGGATCACAGGTGTGCGCCACCACACCCAGCTAATTTTTGTATTTTTAGTACAGACGGGGTTTCACCATGTTGGCTAGAGTGGTCTTGAACTCCTGACCTCAGGCAATCTGCCCTCCTCGGCCTCCCAAAGTGCTGGGATTACAGGTGTGAGCCACTGCACCTGGCTCCTTTCATTATTTTATTATTTTATTCAATGAAAGATAAGCACCTACTGTATAAGCAAGACAGACATGACATATGCCCTTAAGGAGCTTTCATTCTTTTGGAGGACTGTCAAATATGCCTTACTGTAAGGTATGGCAACCTTTATGTGGGAAAGCCATGGATTCACCTAACAAAAGCAGCTTATTGGCTGGGTGCAGTGGCTCATGCCTGTAATCCCAGCACTTTAGGAGGCCAAAGCAGGCGGATCACTTGAGGTCAGGAGTTCGAGAGCAGCCTGGCCAACATGGTGAAACCCTGTCTCTATTAAAAAAAAAAAAAAGAAAATTAGGCCAGGCGTGGTGGCTTACGCCTGTAATCCCAGCACTCTGGGAGGCCGAGGCGGGTGGATCATGAGGTCAAGAGATCGAGACCATCCTGGCCAACATGGTGAAACTCCGTCTCTACTAAAATACAAAAATTAGCTGGGCATGGTGGCACGTGCCTGTAGTCCCAGCTACTCCAGAGGCTGAGGCAGGAGAGTTGCTTGAACCCGGGAGGTGGAGGTTGCAGTGAGCCGAGATCGCACCACTGCACTCCAGCCTGGCGACAGAGTGAGACTCTGCCTCAAAAACAACAACAACAACAAAACTAGCCTTAGCGCGGCATGGTGACGCACACCTGTCATCCCAGGTACTCAGGAGGCTGAGGCACGAGAATCACTTGAACCCAGGAAGCGGAGGTTGAGCTCTCAGTGAACTGAGATCGCACCACTGCACTCCAGCCTGGGCAACAGAGCAAGACTCCGTCTCAAAGAAAAAGAAAAAGAAAAAAAGAGAAGCAGCTTTTCCATTTAAGCTGGCCGAGGAAGCTTTCCTGAGACTGTCATACAAAGTCCCCTAGGCAGATGGATTCGCATTCGCAAGAGAGCATGCCTGTATACCCGTGTCTTCCGTCATTACTAACCAATTGCATATTTGTGCTTCTAATTGCTTGTGTTAATTTATTCCGTCCCTATAACAACTCCACGTCAGTTTGTTTTAATCCTCACTTTTTTTTGAGACCGGGCCTCACTCCTGTCACCCATGTTGGAGCGCAGTGGCATAATCGCAGCTCATTGCAACCACTTTGGGCTCAACGGATCCTCCCACCTCAACCTCCCAAGTCTAATTAGCTAGGACTACAGGCATATGCCACCATGCCTGACTGATTTTTTATATTTTGTATAGATGGGGTCTCACCGTGTTGCCCAGGTTTGTCTTGAACTCCTGGGCTCACGCCGTCCTCTTGCTTTGGCCTCCCAAAGTGTTCGGATTACAGGCGTGAGTCACTGTGCCCAGCCTTATTCTCATTTTAAACATGAGGAAATAAGGGTATGTGGAAATTGTGTAATTTGTCCAAGGTCATACAGCCAATCAATGATGGAACTGAATTTGAAACCAGGCAGGTTGGCTTTAGAGCCTGTGCTTTTGACTGCTATGTTATATGTGTCTCCTTTCTCCCTGCCCTTAATAGCACATAAAATCTTTTTCTTTTCCCCCAGCACCACCATTACATGAAGGTGTGGGGTCTCATTTCTTCCCATTTGTCAGGTTGGCTTATTTCTCCTTTTCTGGGCACCCCTTGATGCTGTTGATGAAGAATGACCCTCTCCTCAAAAGTCTTACAGTTCTTAGTGAGGCTTTTGAATACTTAGTTGCAGAAACGGCTTTTGAAATGCACTATCTAAATGGTTTCAGGAATACGCCATTAATTGATGAATGCCACCAAGAGCTTGGATTCATGCCTTCTGCTCTGTCTTCCTTGGCATGTTGACTTTTTTTCTTTTTTTGGAGACAGGGTCTCACTCTCTCGCCCAGGCTGGAGTGCAGTGGCGTGATCTTGGCTCACTGCAACCTCTGCCTCCCTAATATAATCGGTGAGTTATATTACCCACAGATGTGCACATTTTATTGTCTCGCACAGATGCTGGAAGTAGACCACAAATTTGACTTCCCCCCAAGTCCTCTCAAGGATTGAAACATGATTCAAGTGCCTCAACTTCCTGAGTAGCTGGGATTATAGGCATGCGTCAGCATGCCCAGCTAATTTTCATTGTTTTTTCTGTGTGTGTTTTGTTTTATTTTTCAGTAGAGATGGGATTTCACCCTGTTGGTCAGGCTGGTCTCGAACTGCTGGCTTCAAGTGATCCACCTGCCTCGGCCTCCCAAAGTGCTGGGATTACAGGGGTGAGCCACTGCGCCTGGACAGCATGTTGACTTTTCATCTTCAGCTTGTTGCCTCATGATCACAAAGTAGCTCCCAGAGTGCCAGGCATCATAACTGCATTCATGGCAGGAAAAAAGATGGGTCTTTTTTTTTTTTCAGTGGTTTCTGTCTTTTTTATCCAGAATAAAATTGTTCCCAAATATGCCTAATAGACTTCCCTCTGTATCTCATGCTAAGAACTGGGTAGGGTTGCCAAATGAAATACAGAATGCCCAGTTAAATAGAATTTCAGTAAAGAACACATAATTAAAAAAATATATAACTGGGACCCATGTAATATTTGGCACATGCATACACTAAAGAAATAATGTGTTGTTTACCTGAAATTTGCAGTATACTTACACTAAAAACATTATGTGTTGTTTACCTGAAATTCAAATTAACTGGGCGTTCTGTATTTTTTTTTTTTTTTTTTTGCTAAATCTGGCAACCCTAGAACTAAATCTATTTGGAAGAGACGGTGGGAAATAGAATATCTGGCTTTCGAGCTTTTATAATACAAGATGGGCAAAATACACAGGACTTTTAGATCATCGGCTACCCAGTGTGAAGTCATTTTGGTTGTGTTCACTGTAGCGTGCAGAGAATTGGTTTGTTTTGTGTTTTGTTTTGTTTTGAGACAGAGTCTCCCTCTGTTGCCCAGGCTGGAATGCAGTGGCGCAATCTCAGCTCACCAAAACCTCCTCCTCCCAGGTTCAAGCGATTCTCCTGCCTCAGTCTCCCGAGTAGCTGGAATTACAGGTGCCAACCACCATGCCTGACTAATTTTTGTATAATTAGTAGAGATGGGGTTTCACCATATTGATCAGGCTGGTCTCGAACTCCTGACCTCAAGTGATCTGCCCTCCTTGGCCTTCCAAAGTGCTGGGATTACAGGCGTGAGCCACCGTGCCCAGCTGAGAATAGGTTTCTATAACGTCAGAAAATTTATGAAGTTTGAGGCAGGGTCAAACGATATTTTTTCATCTTATTGTTATTTTTTGTTTTGTTTTCTTAAGAGATGGGGTCTCACTGTCTCACCCAGGCTGGAGTGCGGTGGCATAATCACAGCTTTCTGCATCCTCAAACTCCTGACTCAAGGGATTCCATCTTAGAGGCTTTTATGCCTTTCATTTTTGGGTGGGAGAAGTGGATATCTGATCATGAATAAAGCATCTGTTATGGGCAGGAGATATATTTATATTTTGGTTTATTTCTTTATATCCCTCCTTGTTCTACAAGGGGAATTGAGATACCTGATAAAACTACAGCAACAGGATGGGCATGGTGGCTCACTCCTGTAGTCCCAGCATTTTGGGAGGCTGAGGCAGGCGGATCACAAGGTCAAGAGATCGACACCATCCTGGCCAACATGGTGAAACCCCATCTCTACTAAAAATACAAAAAATTAGCCGGGGGTGGTGGCTACTGCCTGTAATCCAGCTACTCAGGAGACTGAAGCAGGAGAATCACTTGAACCCAGGAGATGGAGGTTGCAGTGAGCTGAGATTGTGCCACCACACTCCAGCCTGGCGACAGAGCGAGACTGTCTCAAAACAAAACAAAAAAACAAAAAAAACTATACAACAGAAAAACAAACAAACAAACAAATGCTCGGGGAAGTTTGAACATGAGGCTTTTTTTGTTTGTTCATTTTGTTTTGTTTTAAATGCCAGGAGTTATTAGCCCACGGATGTGCACATTTCATTGTCTCGCATAGATGCTGGAAGTGGGCCATAAATTTGACTTCCCCCAAGTCCTCCCTCTCAAGGATTGAAACATGATTCAGTTTCCATAAAATTACAGCCAGCCACATGCTCAAGAGAGGCACAGCTGTTCCTGCAGGAGACCCTGGAGAAGCTTCACCCAGAAACCCTCAGTGAGATCCCTGTGATTCGCATGTTCGTGGACCTGGGTTTGTAGCTGATGCCCCAGGGTCCTTGGATGCAACTGATGACTTAATGCCGAAGTGAAATTCCATGAAGGTGATTCTATGAGGCCAAAGCAATGCGGTCTGATTATTTAGCTCTGGGAAGCTGGATTTAATGACAGAGTAGAATTTAGAAAATCTGGAAGGACTGAACCGGGAATGGTGGCTCACGCCTGTAATCCCAGCACTTTGGGAAGCCAAGGTGGGTGGATCACTTGAAGTCAGGAGTTCGAGACCAGCCTGGCCAACATGTTGAAACCCTGTCTCTACTAAAAAATACAAAAATTAGCCAGGCGGCTGGGCACAGTGGCTCAAGCCTGTAATCCCATCACTTTGGGAGGCTTGAGGTAGGCAGATCATGAGGTCAGGAGTTCGAGACCAGCCTGACCAATATGGTGAAATCCCGTCTCTACTAAAAATACAAAAATTAGCCGGGTGTGGCGGTGCACGCTTGTAGCCCCAGCTACTCAGGAGGCTGAGGCAGGAGAATGGCTTGAACCTGGCAGGCAGAGGTTGCAGTGAGATGAGATCGCACCACTGCACTCCAGCCTGGGTGACAGAGTGAGACTCCGTCTCAAAAAAAAAAAAAAAGTACAAATAGCATACCAACATTTTCTTGTACTCATAAGTTAGAATACAGAATTATTCAGAAATGTTTGTTCAAAGTTACCTTTGTGATTGCATTTTTCTATTACATTTGGATTTTTTTTTTTTTTTTGAGTCGGAGTCTTGCTCTGTCACCCAGGCTAGAGTGCAGTGGAGCGATCTTGGCTCACTGCAAGCTCCGCCTCCCGGGTTCACACCATTTTCCTGCCTCAGCCTCCTGAGTAGCTGGGACTACAGGTGCCCGCCACCACACCCGGCTAATTTTTTTATATTTTTAGTAGAGACGGGGTTTCACCATGTTAGCCAGGATGGTCTCGATCTCCTGACCTCGTGATTCGCCTGCCTCGGCCTCCCAAAGTGCTGGGATTACAGGCATGAGCCACCGTGCCCGGCTGGGGTTGTCCTTTTCTTAATAATATATGAATACTCTTTGTCAGTTAAGAAATTAATTAGAACTATGTCTGTCATATGTGTGGCAAATATTTTCCTAGTTGACTTTCTGTCTTTTATCATTGTGTGTGTGTCGGCTTTTTTTCATCTATAGCTGCTTTAGAATTTTTATAAAATCTTATCTTTAAAATAAAAAGCAATTTTTTTGGCTGGGCACAGTGGCTCACACCTGTAATCCCAACACTTTGGGAGGCCAAAGCAGGCGGATCATTTGAGGTCAGGAGTTTGAGACCAGCCTCACCAACATGGCGAAACCCCATCTCTATTAAAAGTACAAAAATTGGCTGGGTGTGGTAGTGCGCTCTTCCCAGCTACTTGGCAGGCTGAGGCAGGAGAATTACTTGAACCTGGAGGCGGAGGTTGCAGTGAGCTGAGACTGGGCCACTGCACTCCAACCTGGGTGACAGAGACTCTGTCTTAAAAAAAATAATAAAAAATAGAAAAATGTTTTTGACTGGGCACAGTGGTTCACACCTGTATTCTCAGTGCTTTGGGAGGCTGAGGCTAGGATTACAGGTATGAGCCACCGCTCCTGGCCCCTCATTTAAAAATTTATTCAATAATTTATTTTTATCAGTATGGATTCATGGATGCTTGTTGTATACCTTGGGTTATAATCCGTTACTGCTTTATTTATTTTGTCATGTGTAGGTTAAAAAAAAAAAAACTATCACTGGGTGCAGTGGCCCACGCCTGTAATCCTAGCACTTTGGGAAGCTGAGGCGGGCAGATCACTTGAGGTCAGGAGTTTGAGACCAGCCTGGCCAACATGGTGGCCAGCCTTGGCCTCCCAAAGTGCTAGGATTACAGGCATGAGCCACCGGGCCTGGCCCCGTGTTCTGTATTTTCTTTTTATTTATTTATTTATTTATTTATTTATTATTATTATACTTTAAGTTTTAGGGTACATGTGCACAACGTGCAGGTTTGTTACATATGTATACATGTGCCATGTTGGTGTGCTGCACCCATCAACTCGTCATTTAGCATTCTGTATTTTCTCTGGTTCAGATGATCAATCCTTCTGTTTATGAGAAGTGTCTAGTATTCATGTCAAGCCTCTCCCTCTCATGACTACAAAGACATCCACCCATGTTTTATTTTAGTGCTTTTATGGTCCCTATTTTACATTTTAACCTTTGGTTCATTTAGAATTTATTTTGAGCTAAAGAAGGAGGCAGAGATCCAACTTTAGTTTTTTTTGTTTGTTTTTTATATGAGGTTACCTAGTTTTCCTAACACGATGTAGCGGCCAAAGGAAAACTTCCCCTTTGCCCTCTGAAGGTTTGCTGAAAATCACTGACAAGAGGCAGATGAGTAGGGGAAAAGGCATATACAGCTATTTGATCATCGCTTTATGTGACATGGGAGCCTGCGGAATGAAGACCCAAAGATACAGGGGCAATTGTCCATTTTTAAGCTTAGGTTCAACAAAGTATGGACAGCCGTATAGAAATAGGGTTGGACAAAAAGGGTCTGATGTACTGCTAATACACTGAGTGGGGAAACCCTGCACGGCCTGTCTGTCCGGATTCTCCTTAGCCTCTCTGAGCAGCTCCTTCCTTGTTGATGTGGGGCGCGACCCTCTCTGGAATGGGGGTCTTATGAGCTACACTCTAACAAGAGAGGTCAGATAAATTCTGGGTCAGTTTTAATACCGAAAGGCAGAGTAAAATATAGAGTAACACTTTTAGGTTTTATGGCTGGCTTGGGGGAAAAGGGGATCTGGTTTCTATCACCAGCCTTAGGGAAGAAGGATTCTAGTTTCTATGACTTGCCTCGGGTGGAGGAAGAGGGGCCAGAGACAGGAGGGCAAGAGGGCAGAGAAAAACTTTTATTTCTGAGGCCTTCATTTTAGGGTATCATTTTCTGAGCTCCAACAACTGTTTAGACATCTTTTTTTTTTTTTTTTTTTTTTTTTTTAAGATGGAGTCTCAATCTGTTGCCCAGGCTGGGATGCAGTGGCACGATCTGGGCTCACTACAACCTCTACCTCCCAGGTTCAAGCGATTCTCCTGCCTCAGCCTCCCCAGTAGCTGAGATTACAGGCATGTGCCACCGCGCACGGCTAATTTTTGTATTTTTAGTACAGTCGGGGTTTCGCCATGTTGGCCAGGCTGGTCTCGAACTCCTGACCTCAGGTATCCACCGGCCTCGACCTCCCAAAGTGCTGAGATTACAGGCATGAGCCACCATGTCTGGCCTTATTTAGACATCTTTAACTCACGAGTGTAAACATCAATATAAATTTCCATGTGAGTGTATGAGTCTAAAAGGACTCCTTTAAAAAACCTATGGGTTATCAAAGAACTGTGTATTTTGATTCTTGCGAAGTATTCACTCTTGGCCATAAATGAAGAATCACTTGAAAAAAACAAGGTATGCCTTATCTTTAAGAGGAAACTATTTTACCCAGTAGTGATTTGTATACACCTGTAATATACACCAGTAGCAATTTGTATACACCTCCCAGCACTGTGAGAGGCCGAGGTGGGCGGATTGCTTGAGGTCAGGAGTTCGAGACCAGCCTGGCCAACATAATGAAACCCTGTCTCTACTAAAAATACAAAAAATTAGCTGGGCGTGGTGGCAGGCACCTGTAATCCCAGCTGCTTGGAAGGCTGAGCCAGGGGAATCACTTGAGCCCAGGAGATGGAGGTTGCAGTGAGCCGATATTGCTGTTGCACTCTAGCCTGGGCAACAAGAATGAAACCCTGTCTCAAAAAAAAAAAATTCTTATGATTTAGGTCAACAGGATTGTTTGTATTTCCCCTAAACAGAAGGATATGATTATTTAGAATTTAGACATATAGCTATACTAATGTGCATTTCTACTCTATCTGTATATATGTGTAATCATGATTGTGGAAATAAAATAGTTTGCAGTGAGTTGCCAAACCAAAATATGTATATATATATAACCAAAAATATATATATATAAAAAACCTATATATATAAAACATATATATATATATATATTAAGATGATATTTTACCACGTTTGAAGAATAAAAAGAAATAAGGTACTGGGGCTGGGCATGGTGGCTCACACCTGTAATCCCAGCACTTTGGGAGGCTGAGGCAGGCAGATCACGAGGTCAGGAGTTTGAGACCAGCCTGGCCAACATAGTGAAAACCCATCTCTACTAAAAACACAAAAATTAGCCAGGCATGGTGGCGGGCGCCTGTAGTCACAGCTACTCGGAAGGCTGAGGCAGAGGAATCGCTTGAACCCCGGGAGGCGGAGGTTGCGGTGGGCTGAGATCGCACCATTGCACTCCAGCCTGGGCAACAAGAGTGAAACTCCATTTCAAAAAAAAAACAGTACTGGCTGTGAAAACAGACTTACAGGCTTGGTTGAATTCCATCTCCACTACTCATGTGTGTGGTCCTTTACCTCTCTGGGTCTCAGCTCCCTTGTCTGTAAAATGGGGGTGATAATTATGATCCCTACCTCACACAGTTGTTGGGTGGACTAAATAAAATAAAGCCAGAATCCACTGTTCCTGGGGCTACCATTGACATCCAGACCTGTGTTCTTAATTTAAACCCCACCCCAACTCACACTGATACCTTCAATTAGCTTTCAGCTTCTGGGTGGCCTTATTATTATTATTATTATTATTATTATTATCATTATTATTGTTTTTGAGATAGGGCCTCATTCTGTTGCCCAGGCTGGAGTGCACTGGTGCGATCATGTCTCACTGCAGCCTCAAACTCCTGGACTCAAGCGATCCTCTTGCCTCAGCCTCCCAAGTTGCTGGGACCACAGGTATGCACCACCATACCCGGCAAATTAAATTTTTTTTTTTTTTTGAGATGGAGTTTTGCTCCGGTTGTCCAGGTTGGAGTGCAATGACGTGATCTTGGCTCACTGCAACCTCCGCCTCCCAGGTGCAAGCAATTCTCCTGCCTAAGCCTCCCAAGTAGCTGGGATTACAGGCATGAACCACCATGCCCCGCTAATTTTTGAATTTTTAGTAGAGACAAGGTTTCACCATGTTGGCCAGCCTGGTCTTGAACTCCTGACCTCAAGTGATCCACCCGCTT
Organism: Homo sapiens; assembly: GCF_000001405.40. Classification (NCBI taxonomy): domain Eukaryota; kingdom Metazoa; phylum Chordata; class Mammalia; order Primates; family Hominidae; genus Homo; species Homo sapiens. Next base: position 25,197,464 of record NC_000016.10, read on the forward strand.
TAGCCTCCCAAAGTGCTGGGATTACAGATGTGAGCCACCACACCTGGCCAAAATTTTATTTTATTTTTTTTTTACATGGATGGTAGGGTCTTGTTATGTTTCCTGGGCTGGTCTTGAACTCCTGGGCTCAAGTGATCCTTCCCTCTCAGCCTCCCCCAGGCGTAAGCCACCATGCCCGACATCAGCTTCTGTTTTTTATTTAATGAGCCAGCTCCTGACTACACAGTCACTTGGCTGAAGTCTTAACCCTCTGCCTTGTTTCTGTCCACCCCATCCATGACTCCTGTCTGGGATCCCACTGCTCCCATGAGAAGCTGGTGCCACTAGACTTCCCTTCTTCTTCTAGCTAAGAACGTCCTGCCCACCTATGGGTATGACTTTGTACTTTCAGCCAGAGGCTAGCAATGCAGCGCCCTCTGCACTGGGCTGATGGCTGGGGTCCCACTTAATCATGCCACTGTTTTCTTCTCATTGGCCTATGGTATCAAGGTCCTAGCGGGTCTTGTAGAAAACTAGGATACTTAATTCTCACTGGGACAATTGCATTCCCAAAGAGGATGACTGGGAATGCAAATGACTCCTTCTATTGTCAGAATTTCTGGCATTGTGACAAAAAGACATTGTTAACAGACAGGTACACCCTATCTCTTGGACCAGAGTTGGGTCATCAGTGGTGGCCACATAAACCCCAGGGCAGCTTACTGGAATGTGGCTTTTGCCTTCACGTTCTGCTTTTATGGGATAGTTACTGATGCATCTGACACATCTCCCCGATTTGACTGTAAAGTCTTTGTGACATTATCTGTTACTCATCTATATTCTGGGCGTGTCATAAGATGACTAAAGTATTGCCCTGTCCACATTCACGAGCAAAAGCCTGGGCTTCAGAAACACCAAGGACATGTCTTCTTGCTGTGGTGTCTCTGGTCCAGCATCTCCTAGGAATTCTGAAATCTAAAAAGCAAATGGTATCTTGGCAGAAAAGGGAGTTCAGCAAGCAGGATTCTCTTTTTTGAGTAAGGGACAAAAATCTAGCTCCAACTGGCTTAAGAAAGAAAAAAAACCTGAAAAAGACCAGGGCTAGGCCGGCCGCGGTGGCTCACGCCTGTATTCCCAGCACTTTGGGAGGCCGAGGCGGGCGGATCACGAGGTCAGGAGATTGAGACCATCCTGGCTAACAGGGTGAAACCCCGTCTCTACTAAAAATACAAAAAATTAGCCGGCGTGGTGGCGGGCGCCTGTAGTCCCAGCTACTCGAGAGGCTGAGGCAGGAGAATGGCGTGAACCCGGGAGGCGGAGCTTGCAGTGAGGAGAGATCGCACCACTGCACTCCAGCCTGGGCGACAGAGCAAGACTCCGTCTCAAACAACAACAACAACAACAAAATATATATATATATATATATATATATATATATATATATATATATATATATATATATATATATATATATATAAAGACCAGGGCTAGTTCAGGCACAACTGGACCCAGGTCACAATATGGATTCATCAGTCTTGCTCCACCTCTCAGCTCTGTTTTTCTCTGACTGGCTCCCTTCTCTTCCGGCCCATCCCTTCTGGTGGTGAACATGGTGGCTGGCAGCCTCGGGTCTAAATCCTCACCCTCAGCAATCCCATTGAAAGGGTATGTTAGCCGGAAGCGGTGGCTCACACCTGTAATCCTAGCACTTTGGGAGGCTGAGACCGGTAGACCACCTGAGGTCAGGAGTTCAAGACCAGCTTGGCCAACATGGCAAAATCCTGTCTCTACTAAAAATACAAAATTAGCCAGACATGGTGGTGCATGCCTGTAATCTCAGCTACTTGGGAGGCTGAGGCAGGAGTATCACTTGAACCTGGGAGGTGGAGGTTGCAGTGAGTAGAGATCGTGCCATTGCACTACCACCTGGGCAACAAGAATGAAACTCCATCTCAAAATAAATAAATAAATAAAAATACAAAACTTAGCCAGGTGCAGTGGTAGGTGACTATAGTCTCAGCTACTCAGGAGGCTAAGGCAAGAGAATTGCTTGAACCCGGGAGGCAGAGGTTGTAGTGTGCCGAGATGGCACCACTGCACTCCAGTCTGGATGACAGAGCCAGATTCTGTCTCAAAAAAAAAAAAGGCGGGGGTATGTCTAACTCCTCAAAGTCTCCAGATTCCCAGATTGGCCTGACCCTGATCACGTGCCCATCTCTGAAGTATGAAGTATGGCCTGGGAGAGGGAGTGTCTGATTGCTGGACCCGGGTCTGATGTGCAGCCTTCGAAAGGGCAGGGCGGTTGAGGTTGGGGAGCTGAATGATGGTGGGGAAGAGGATCTGCTCTACCCAAATCATGTGAACTTAGAGTGGAGGAATGGTGGCTTCCCCAAGGAAAATCAAGATGCTGTCACCTAAGGAAGGAGGAATGAGATCTTGAGCAGATATTCATGCGAGATATCCATGGACCATGGGACATAGCCAGAGACATAGCATCAGAGAGGGAGAGGGAGAGCCAGAGCCAGATGGACCGTTAGGGAAGCCAACCACTGACACAGGGGAAAGAAAGAGAATTTTGTAATTTTAAGAAGAAAAGTGACTTGTTTTAGTAATCAAGAAACAGAGCTGGGCGTGGTGGTTCATGCCTATAATCCCAGCACTTTGGGAGGCCGAGGCAGGAGGATCACTTGAGCCCAGGAGTTCGAGACTAGCCTGGGAAACATAGCGAGATCCCCATCTCCAAAAACAGTTTTAAATTAGCTGGGGGTGGTGGTGCATGCCTATAGTCCTAGCTATTCAGGAGGCTGAGGTGGGAGGATTACTTGAGCCCAGGAGTCCATGACCAGCCTGGGCAACATAGGGAGACCCCATCTCATATTTTAAAAAGGAGAAAATAAAAAGAAACAGTTATTACATGGATGTTCATAGCAGCATTATTCACCACAACCAAAAGGGGGAAACAACCCAAATTTTCATCAACAGATAAATGGATAAACAAGGGCTGGGCGTGGTGGCTCACGCCTACAGTCCTAGCACTTTGGGAGGCTGAGGCGGGTGGATCACCTGAGGTCAGGAGTTCGAGACCAGCCTGGCCAACACGGTGAAACCCCATCTCTATTAAAAATACAAAAATTAGCCGGGTATGGCGGTGGACACTTGTAATCCCAGCTTCTTGGGAGGATGAGGCAGGAGAATTGCTTGAACCGGGGAGGTGGAGGTTACAGTGAACCAAGGTGGCATTACTGCACTCCAGCCTGGGCAACAGAGCAAGACTCCATCTCAAAAACAAACAAACAAACAAACAAAAAATGTGGTCTATACCTACAATGGAATATTATTCTGTCATCAAAAGCAAGGAAATTCTGACACATGCTGCAACATAGGTGCCCCTTGAGGACATTATGCTAAGTAAAATAAGCCAGACTCAAAAAAGTATATATCGTGTGATTCTCCTAAAGTAGTCAAATTCATGGAGACAGAAAGTAGAACAGTGGTTCCCAGGGCCTTGAGGGAAGAGGATTAGGGAGTTAATGGTACAGAGTTTCAGTCTGGGAAGATGAAAAAATTCTGGAGGTGGGCGGTGGCAATGGTTGCACAACAATGTGAATGTATTTAATGTCACTGATTTGAACTTAAAAATGGTCAAAGTAGTAATTTTTATATTATGTATATTTTCCCACAATAAAAATTAAATTAAAAGAAAGAAACAATTGCTATTGGGACTGAGAGGAAGAAAGCCATTTGCCCCACACCTTCTTGGCAATACACTTAACTCAGACTTTGTCTAGTGCAGTGCCCTGCAAATAGAATAAATAAATAAAAATTTCCTGGATATATCAATAAAGCAACTTGAGATGTTCTGCCCCCATCACGAAGCCAGCGATAGTTTCTTTTCTTTTTTCTTTTTTTGAAAGGAAGTCTTGCTCTGTTGCCCGGGTTGGAGTGCAATGGCACAATCTCAGCTCACTGCAACCTCTGCCTCCTGGGTTCAAGTAATTCTCCTGTCTCAGCCTCCCAAGTAGCTGGGACTATAGGCGTGCGCCACCATGCCCAGCTAATTTTTTGTATTTTTAGTAGAGACGGGGTTTCACCATGTTGGCAGGCTGTTCTCAAACTCCTGACCTCAGCTGATCCACCCACCTCGGCCTCCCAAAGTGCTGGGATTACGGGTGTAAGCCACCTTGCCAGGCCACCAGCAATAATTTCTGAGCAAATGTTAAGATCATCATCCTCTGGCCCAGCACTTTGGGAGGCTGAGGTGGGCGGATCACCTGAGGTCAGGAGTTTGAGACCAGCCTGGCCAACACGGTGGAACCCCATCACTAGAAAAAATGCAAAAATTAGCCAGTCATGGTGGTGTGCACCTATAGCCCCAGCTACTTGGGAGGCTGAGGCAGGAGAATCACTTGAATCTGGGAGGCGGAGGTTGCGGTGAGCCGAGATCCCACCACTGAACTCCAGCCTAGGCAACAGAGCAAGACTCTTGTCTCAAAAAAAACCAAAACCAAAAACAAACAAACAAAAATTATCCTCCACATGTCACATCATGGCCCTAATGCTTGAGTCTTTGTGGGAACCTCCACATTGTCTCACGCAGACCTGATCATCAGCATGTGGCTGTCAGCATTCCCCAAATAGCCCAAATCCCCTTCAGTTCTCAACCCTTCTTGCCCATAGAGCACATCAGGCAATATCTAGAGACTTTTTTTGTTTGTTTGTTTGTTTAGATGGAGTCTTGTTCTGTTGCCCAGGCTGGAGTGCAGCAGTGCCATCTCGGCTCACTGCCACCTCTACCTCCCAGGGTCAAGCAATTCTCCTGCCTCAGCCTCTTGAGTAGCTGGGATTACAATTTTTGGTTGTTATAACTGGGGGAGCAGGGAGATTTAATGGATAGAAGCCAGAGATGCTGCTAAACATGTCAGAATGCACAGGACAGATCCCCAAAACAAAGTTATTCAGTCCTAAATGTCAATAGTTGCCAAGGCCAAGCCCGCCCGGGAAGTCCTCTTACCTGTCCAAAAGCTCAAACACACACGTGCACACACACACACCCTCACCTATGTCCTCCTAGGTACCTTCGTGGTCTGTGTTAATTTTCAATGAATCACAAGAAGTTTACAGCATAAAAATACACTTCTAAAATTAACTTCTTACTCAATATCCTTTACAGCAAAGGGCCACGTAATAAATTTGCCTTGGGTTTAATCCCATGCTTGGGATTCTGCATGAAAGGGTACGGGCAGGAAGAGGAAGGGAAAGGGAGGGGCATTGAGATGCACCCATAGCACCAACAATAAGGACCAATGCCCTCTCCCGCCCAGCTGGGCCCCACTGAACCATCCTGACCTCAACACACAGATGTAGATCACCAATCAGGTGCAACACACAGAACAGACTTTCTGGAGGTTGCAAGGAGGATTAAGGGGTAAAGAAGGGAAATGTATGCTGTTTGAAAAAATATGTTTAATATAATCATACAGCCAGGTGTAGTGGCTTGTGCCTGTAATCCCAGCACTTTGGCAGGCCAAGGCGGGCAGATCACCTGAGGTCAGGAGTTTGAGACCAGCCTGGCCAACATGGTGAAACCCTGTCTCTACTAAAAATACAAAAAAATTAGCCAGGTGTGGTGTAGTCCTAGCTACTCAGAAGGCTGAGGCAGGAGAATCGCTTGAACCCAGGAGGCGGAGGTTGCAGTGAGCTGAGATCGTGCCACTGCACTCCAGCCTGGGCAACAGAGCAAGACGCTGTCTCAAAAAAAATTATATATTATGTATATATGTAAAGTAAAACTGTATGATTTTATATATATAATAAAACTGCATACATATATAAAATATATATTACATATATAGTATAATATATGTAATATATAATATATATATATAAAATCATACAGTTTTATTTTAAAAAACGAATACATATTGGCCTTTCTGTGTTTCTCGAGAGGTGGTTTAACTTACAGAATGTTGCAGTCTGACACTTTTTATCAGGCCAGAAGTTAAACTTTCTACTTGATTGACAAAAATTCTTTTTGTGAGACAAAGTCAGAAAAATAAAAACAAAAGCAAAACAATCCAATTACTCTACATATTCCTCTCCCTGCTTTTTTTTTTTTTTTTTTTTTTTGAGACAGAGTTTCGCTCTTGTTGCCCAGGCTGGAGTGTAATGGCACGATCTCGGCTCACTGCAACCTCCTCCTCCCAGGTTCAAGCCAGTCTCCTGCTTCAGCCTCCCGAGTAGCTGGGATTATAGGCATGAACCACCATGCCAGGCTAATTTTGTATTTTTAGTAGAGATGGTATTTCTCTACGTTGGTCAGGCTGGTCTCAGACTCCCGACCTCAGGTGATCTGCCCTCCTTGGCCTCCCAAAGTGTTGGGATTTCAGGCATGAGCCACCACACTGGCCCCTCTCTCTACTTTTAAATGTTTTGTATCCAGACAGCTTCTGGGTGGATGAATTAGCCTTGGCAAATTTTTTCCCCCTAGGTGTTTTGTTTTGTTTTGTTTTGAGTCTTGTTCTGTCACCCAGGCTGGAGTGCAGTGGCTCGATCTCGGCTCATTGCAACCTCCACCTACTGGTTCAAGCTATTCTCATGCCTCAGCCTCCTGAGTAGCTGGGATTACAGGCACCCACCACCACGCCCAGCTAGTTTCTGTATTTTTAGTAGAGATTGGGTTTCACCATGTTGGCCAGGCTGGTCTTGAACTCCTGGCCTCAAGTAATACACACGCCTCAGCCTCCCAGTGGTGAGATTACAGGCGTGAGCCACCACACCCAGCCAATACCTCTAGGTTTTAAATGTATACTATTGTGTATTTACATTTTTTTCTGTTACATTAAATATAATAGAATTACACATTTAACTTATGGATGACTATATAACTTACGTTTGTAAAATCCCACTCCATTAGACCAATGACTAGAAGTATAAGAGCGATAGTTATTCAATAGGATTCCAACAAAAAATGCCAAATTGGCCAGTCTTTTCTACAATTTTTCAAAGAACAGAATACATGTGGCTCTGATTAAGCAAGATGTACATTCTAATTCAACAAATATGTATTGAACATATAGTATAAAGAGTTGTTAAAGTTCTATGCTAGGTGCTGTCATATGTATTTGGCTTAGTAATCAAAACAATAAAACATCTTATACAGAATATTTTAAAACCCATAGAAATAATCCTTGTAAACAACTAGGAGCACTGCATAATTTTCCACCCTTTCTTTTATACTTATTGAATGGTTTAGATGACCGGACAGGTTTTTCTTTCTTTCTTTCTTTCTTTTTTTTCCTGTCTTTCCTTTAGTCTAGCTTAGAGGGTCTCAACTGTAATGTTCATAAGAACTGTGAACATTAGGGCCAGCGCGGTGGCTCACGCCTGTAATCCCGGCACTTTGGGAGGGCGAGATGGGCAGATCACTTGAGGTCAGGCCTTCGAGACCAGCCTGGCCAACATGGTGAAACCCCATCTCTACTAAAAATACAAAAAAAGTAGCTAGGCACATGTCTGTAATCCCAGCTACTCGGGAAGCTGAGGCAAGAGAATTGCTTGAACCCAGGACGCAGAGGTTGCAGTGAGCCATGATTGAACCACTTTATTCCAGCCTGGGCAACAGAGTGAGACTCCATCTCAAAAAATAAATTAAAAAATAGGCCAGGTGCAGTGGCTCACATCTGTAATCCCAGAACTTTGGGAGGCCGAGGCAGGTGGATCACTTGAGGTCAGGAAATGAGATCAGCCTGGCCAACATAGTGAAACCCCATTTCTACTAAAAATACAAAAATAAGCCAGGTGTGTGGTAGGCACCTGTAATCCCAGCTACTCGGGAGGCTGAGGCAGGAGGTTTGCTTGAACCCGGAAGGCGGAGGTTGCAGTGAGCCGAGATTGCACCATTGCACTCCAGCCTGAGCAATACAGTGAGACTCTGTCTCAAAAAGGAAAAATAAATAAATAAATAAAAGTCTGAATGTTTTTCTCTAAGTTCTGAATAGAATTTTTATGTCCTTATTCTATTATCTTTTTTTAAAGTCTTAATACTTAACATTTAATTTAAAAAATTACTAACGTTTCCTTATCTCTAAGCTCACTATTCAATCTTTTTCTCCTATTATTGGGGTCAAATATGCCTCTGAGTTTTTGATGAAAGCATATTTTTCTAATTAGACTAAATTATTTGTTTTTTCTGAAGACATTAGAAATTCTTTCAGACTGGGCAACATGACCATACGCCATCTCTACAAAAAATTAAAAAAATAGCTGGGTGTAGTGGCATGTGCCTGTAGTCCCAGCTACTCGGGAGGCAGAGGTGGGAGAATTACCTGAGCCCAGGAGGTGGAGGCTGCAGTGAGCTGAGGTCACATCACAGCACTCCAGCCTGGGCAACAGTGAGAATTTGTCTCCAAAAAAAGAAAGAAAAAAAAAAAGAAGAAATTTGGGAGAATAAGAAGGAGAATGAAATAATTTTGGAGAAGATTCTTAATTAAGACCAACATCTGTTCCCAAACTCTGCCCAGGGTTTTTTTCATCCAGAAGTCAATTTTCACAAGTGAAATAGAACCAAATGACTTTGTCAAAAGGTATTGCTTGTTCCTGTTTTCCGGTGGTTTCTCTCCTGTAGAGATATTTTACCTGTTAAAAGCAAAATTTTCAGAGTTTGCAAACTGATTCAGATCCTAATTATATAATATATGACCTTTTGTGAGTCACCAGGTCTTTGAACTTTAGTTTCCTGCAAAATGGGAACAATACCTACGTGACAGGTTTGTCACGAGGAGTAAGTAGGATGGTGTTTGTTAAATGCTCTGTGCAAGGCCTGGGCTAGGACTTAACTGCATGTTAACCTTTATTGTCTTTGATAACAATTTCAATTGCTGTCATTACAAAGAGCATAGTAGAAGCTCCTGTTTTTTTTTTTTTTTGAGACGGAGTCTCGCTCTGTTGCCAGGCTGGAGGGCAGTGGCGCAATCTCGGCTCACTGCAACCTCTGCCTTCCGGGTTCAAGAGATTCTCCTGCCTCAGCCTGCTGAGTAGCTGGGACTACAGGTGGACACCATCACGCCCGGCTAATTTTTGTATTTTTAGTAGAGACGGGGTTTCACCTTGTGATCCGCCCGCCTAGGCCTCTCAAAGTGCTGGGATTACAGGCGTGAGCCACCGCGCCCCACCTTCTGATTTTTTTTCTTTTTTCTTTTTCTTTTTTTTTTTTTCGAGGAGGAGTCTTGCTCTGTGGCCCAGGCTGGAGTGCAGTGGCGCCATCTCGATCTCCGCTCACTGCAACCTGCGCCTCCCGGGTTCAAGCGATTCTTGTGCCTCAGCCTCCCGAGTAGCTGGGATTACAGGCGCCCATTACCATCCCAGGCTAATTTTTGTATTTTTAGTAGAGACAGGGTTTCACCATATTGGCCAGGCTGGTCTCAAATTCCTGACCTCAAGTGATCCGCCCTCCCCGGCCTCCCAAAGTGCTGGGATTACAGGCATGAGCCACCACATCCAGCCAAGGCTTCTGGTTTTTAGAGGCAATTTCCAAATGTGCTTATTTATTTGTTTAGACACAGAGTCTTACTCTGTCGCCTAGGCTGCAGTGCAGTGGTATGATCAGGGCTCTCTGCATCCTCCTACCTCAGTCCAGCCCCAACCCCCAGCCCCAGTAACTGGGGCTACAGGAGTCTGCCCCTAGGCCAGTCTAATTTTTTTTTATTTTTATTTTTTTTGTAGAGACTGGGTTTTGCCATGTTCATATTGCCCAGGCTGGTCTTGAGCTCCTAGGCTCAAGTGATCCGCCCACCTCAGCCTCCCAAAATGCTAGGATTACAGGCATGAGCCACTACGACTGGCTCATATTTATATTTCATGGTGATAAAATGTTAAAGCTGACAGCATGAAGTTTGAATTCAGTATTATCTTCAGCATTCTCTTCTTTGGTACCAATGAGTCACCTACAGATTTCCTCTTATGTCCAGCAGGTAACTGTCTGAGAACAGTTTGGTTTTAACTTTTTATTCAAATGTACCATACACACAGAAAAGCACACATATTGTAACAGCTAGATGAATTTTCACGAAGTGAACTCACCCACGTAGCCAGCATCCGCACCAAGAAATAGAGGTAGCACCCCAAAACTCTCCATGTGCCCTGGGCAGTAACTAACTCCTAAAGCTAGTAGTGTGGCCAGCTTTGCTTCTTTCTGGGTTTTAGAATCCACAGTATGTACTCCTTTGTGTCTGGCTTCTTTCACTTTATGTTTGTGAGATCCATCCAATTGCTAACCAATACACGTGATTTGCATTTCCCATGATGCTTTCTCTCTTTCTCCCTTTCAAAACATTATCATTTCTTGGTCTGTAATCCCAGCACTTTGGGAGACCAAGATGTGCAGATCTCCTGAGCTCAGGAGTTAGAGAGCAGCCTGGCCAACATGGGGAAACCCCATCTCTACTAAAAATACAAAAATTAGCTGGGTATGGTGGTGGGCACCTGTGGTCCCAGCTACTCGGGAGGCTGAGGCAGGAGAATCGCTTGAACCCAGGAGGCGGAGACTGCAGTGAGCCGAGATCGCACCACTGCACTCCAGCCTGGGCGATATGGTGAGACTCTGTCTCAGAAAGAAAAAAATCATCATCTTTTTATCCTTTTATCTTATGTGCAGTATATCAATTATGTCTCAATAAAGTTATTAGAAAAAAAACAAGAAAATCATATATATATATTTTTTGTTGTTGTTTTTTGTTTGAGACAGGCTCTCACTCTGTCACCCAAGCTGGAGTGCAGTGGCCCAAACATGGCTAACTTCAACCTTGGCCTCCTGGACTGAAATGATCCTCCTGCCTCAGCCTCCCATGTAGCTGGGACTACAGGCACATGCTACCAAGCCTGACCAGCTTTTTAATTTTTAATCTGTAGAGATGGGGTCTCACTTTCTTGCCCAGCCCCCAAAAATTATTTTTTCTTAGTTGAGACTTGAAAGATGGGTAGGTTGTCATCAGCATTAGGGAGCAGTTTGGGTAAAAGAAGTAGACTGTCTGAAGACTTGAACAGTGGGAGAAACTATGGGATGTTCAGGACACTGAAAGTAGACATTCATCTTTTTTTTTTTTTTTTCCTATGATGAACAATGATGAAGTTGGCCAGGTGTAGTGGCTCATGCCTGTAATCCTAGCCCTTTGGGAGGCCCAGGCAGGTGGATTGCTTGAGCTCAGGAGTTCAAGACCAGCCTGGAAAACATAGTGAGACCCTGTCTGTACAAAAAATACAGAAACAAAATTAACCGGGCCTGGTGGTGTGTACCTGTGGTCCCAACTACTCGGGAGGCTGAGGTGGGAGGAATGCTTGGGCCCAGGCGGTGGAGGTTGCAGTGACCCGAGATCACACCACTCCACTCCAGCCAGAGTGATGGAAGTGAAACCCTATCTCAAAAAAATAAAATAAATAAATAAATAAATAAAAAGATGAAGACAATGTACCTGTAATTATATTCTCACCTACTGGAGCTTTTATTTCTGTAGCTAGAACTCCCAGTTTGAGGTTTGCTGGGTCAAGGGTGTGTATATCTAAGTATTTAACAATAAACATTTCAAGATGGTGTTACAAAATATTGTAGCAATTCCCACTTCCACCAGCAATGTATAAGTTTTCCTGTTTCCCCATCTTTTTTTTCTTTTCTTTTTCTTTTTTTTTTTTTTTTTTTGAGATGGAGTCTCACTCTGTTGCCCAGGCTGGAGTGCAGTGATGCAATCTCGGCTCACTACAACCTCCACCTCCCAAGTTCAAGCAATTCTCCTGCCTCAGCCTCCCAAGTAGCTAGGACTACAGGCGTGAGCCACCACGCCTGGCTGATTTTTGTATTTTTCATAGAGACAGGGTTTCACCATGTTGGCCAGGCTAGTGTTGAGCTCCTGACCTCAGGCGATCTGCCAGCCTCGGCCTCCCAAAGTGCTGGGATTACAGGCATGAGCCACTGCGCCTGGCCTGTTTTCCCCTTCTTTGTCAGCACTGTATGTTAATCAGTTAAAAAAGTCTTTCTACCAATCTAATGGTGAAAATGTTATTTCTGTTGCTTTAATTTGAATTTTTTTCTGGCTATTGCAGAGATTAAGGTTTTTTTTTGTCTGTTTATTGATCATTTGGATTTTTTCTTCTGTAGAGTTATTTAATTTGGATGTAGATAAAAAGGATAAAAGAGATAGAAAAGGAAGACGGAGTGCCAAGCTCTCAGTAGGTTCTCAGAAAGTGGTAGTCATTTTTATTGTTCAAAACATGCAGATGAAGAGAAGCTGGACCCTTGCTGATGAGACTTAGTGGACTTCTTCCTTCGTTCAAGGACTTTTTGGCTGTAAAGCATTCTGAAATAGCCAATATAACTGGTTACTCGTGACTCGAAAGACGTTCAACACCTTGACCTTGACACTGCAGGGGAGAATAGAAAGAGCTGGTGACTTCTCTGAGGAAGGAAGTTGCTCAGGTGCAAACTTCCATCCATCCATCCATCCATCCATCCATCCATCCATCCATGGGTGAGTTCTTTAACTTCTTTGTGCCTCGTTTTTATCATCTGAAGATGGTGATAATAAGTGATAGGACTTATCTCAAAGGGGGGTTACAAATACATACCGAGTGTTTAGCATGGTGTTGGAGATGTAGTGAGTAGTTGAGAAATGTCTTCTCAATCTTGCAGTTTGAGAAGACAGAAAGGTGAAAACTAGACTTACTTCCAATGGCTAGTTGCCCTGAGCTCCAAGTGGTAATACATTGAATACAATTGCAAATCTACCGAGATGGAAAGAAAGCAGTTTCAGAAGAGAATGACAGGTTCTGCTTTAAGTTTCTGTGGTTGTCCACAGAGCACAGCCTAAATTGTCAAGTCTCTGCATTATAAATGGTGTCTAGCTTTGAGAAGTTATTAACCTGAAACCCAGTATCTCTGGAATTTGGGGATGATGTATCTGCAAGAACTGTTCTCTTCTGCAAGTACTTGAAATACAAGAACATAAATTCTTTAATTCAGAGGACCCCAAACTTTCTTGGTTCACTCTGTGCGGAGGCCCCCCCCAAAAAAAATACCTAATAGCTCTATTTATTAAGGAATTAGGTGCAAAACACTTAAAAAGTTCTTATGTTCTAACAACTTAGTAGCCATTTGTAAAAAAACCCCACATGTACACAAAACATTCACATATATTGTACAGACAATAATACACATACACTGAATAAGACAAGTACATTAAAAACATATTTTATTTATATTTGTATTTCATTCTTAAATAATTACATAACCTCCCAGCAGGTTCACCTTGCCCGCTGCCTAGACAGAGCCAATTTATCAAGATAGGGAAATTGCCATAGAGAAAGAGTAATTCACGCAGAGCTGGCTGTGCAGAAGACCAGTTTATTATTACTCAAATCAGTCTCCCCAAGCATTCAGGGGTCAGAGTTTTTAAGGACGACTTGGTGGGTGGGAGTAAGCCGGTGAGTCAGGAGTGCTGATTGGTCAGAGATGAAATTATATGGAGTTGAAGCTGTCTCCTTGCGCTGAGTCAGTTCCTGAGGGAGCCCACAAGATCACATGAGCCAGTTTATCCATCTAGGTGGTGGTGCTAGCTGATCCATCAAGTACAGGGTCTGCAGAATAGCTCAAGTACTGGTCTTAGGTTTTACAATCATATATATATATATTTTTATATCTATATATTTTATATTATATATATATTTATTTTATTTTATATATATATATATATATATATATATATATATATATATATATATATTTTTTTTTTTTTTTTTTTTTTTTTTTTTTAAGATGGAGTCTTGCTCTGTTGCCCAGGCTGGAGTGCAATGATGTGATCTTGGCTCACTGCAATTGCTGCTTCCCAGGTCCAAGTGATTCTCTTGCCTCAGCCTCCTGAGTAGTTGGGACTACAGGTGTGTGCCACAACGCCCCACTAATGTCTGTATTTTTTTTTTTTTTTTTTTTTTTTTTTGAGACGGAGTCTCGCTCTGTCACCCAGGCTGGAGTGCAGTGGCGGGATCTCGGCTCACTGCAAGCTCCGCCTCCCGGGTTCATGCCATTCTCCTGCCTCAGCCTCCCAAGTAGCTGGGACTACAGGCGCCCGCCACTACGCCCAGCTAATTTTTTGTATTTTTAGTAGAGACGGGGTTTCACCGTTTTAGCCGGGATGGTCTCGATCTGCTGACCTCGTGATCCGCCCGCCTCGGCCTCCCAAAGTGCTGGGATTACAGGCGTGAGCCACCGCGCCCGGCCTAATGTCTGTATTTTTAATAGAGACGGGGTTTCACTATATGGCCAGGCTGGTCTCAAACTCCTGACCTCAGGTAATGAACCTGCCTCGGCCTCCCAAAATGGTGGGATTACAAGGGTGAGCCACTACATCTGGCCTATATATACGGTCCAAGATGGCTGCCACAGCAGCAGCGTCACATCTGGCACAACAGTGCAGCCATCAAGGCAAGAGAGAAGGGAAAGGTGAGATGCCAGGGTAAAATGTGACCTGTTTCTACACTCCATCTGGACCTGGTGGGGGATGGCAGACAGGTATAGATGCAGAGAAGTCTTGCCAACCAAACAGGGATAAAGATTAGAAGCCTTGGTCCTGTTAACCAGACCTGGATTTGGAAAACTAGGAAGTTTGCCAGCCAAAGAATTTTTTAGGAAGACAGTATCTCCTTAGCCCACTAGGTTTTTCAGTGGTTTTGAGAGACAGTATATTGTGTATGAGGACATCAGGACATACTCTAAAACTCTCATGTAGTGGAAATATGTTGTTTTGTCTGAATGGCATTCAGGTTTTCCCTGGAAGCCACTAGTTTTCTTTTTCTTTCCTTTTTTTTTTCTTTTTTTAATTAAGACGGACTCTTGCTCTGTTGCCAAGGCTGGAGTGCAGTGGTGCAATCTTGGCTCACTGCAATCTCCACCTCCCGTGTTCAAGCAATTCTCCTGCCTCAGCCTCCTGAGTAGTTGGGACTACAGGCGCGTGCCACCATGCCCGGCTAATTTCTTGTATTTTTAGGAGAGATGGGGTTTTACTGTGTTAGCCAGGATGGTCTCGATCTCCTGACCTTGTGATTCACCCGCCTTGGCCTCCCAAAGTGCTGGGATTACAGGCATGAGCCGCTGCACTGGCCTAGTTTTGGAGTTATGGAATCCAACCTTGCCTTGAGCAAGGGAAGGGTGTTTTTAGAGGACCAATAGGTAGTTTGCCCAGGCATCAGAGAGGACATAATATCTGATCTGAGATCTGAATGAGGAGTAGAAGTTGGCCAAGAGGGCAAACAAGGACTCCAAACAGAGGGACTGGCATGGACAAGGCCGGGTGAGGGTACATAGCTTATCTGATAAATTGTTTAGGGTTCATGTGGCAAGAGATGATTCAGGGGCTAGGAACTGAAGTCTCTGTGGCTAGCTAAGGGAGTCTGGGTTTGTCTTGGAACCATGGGACACACTGAATGATTTAATTCAGGGAAAAACTCAACTAGAACCATGGTCTCTGGGAAAGCAACAATTTCTAGTATGTGGCAGAAATTGCTCGATATTCATAAAATGCCTTTCTTTTTCCTCCTGGGCACAGGGCTAGACTACAATTCCCAGGCTCGATTGCAGTCAGGTGAAGCCACGTGACTGAGTTTGAGCCCATCAAATATAGGTGAGAGGGATATATGGTATTTCTAGGCCTAGCCCATAATAATTTCCTGCACAGCCCTCCACATTCTCTTTTTCCCATTTTGCTGGAGAAGATCTGAGGACCTAGATGGGGCAGCTCCAAGATGGAAGTGGCCTGGATCCCTGAGTCACCATTTGGAGACGAGCCTGTCATGGACTATTATGTGAGCAAAGAATCCATTTTTTGGGGGGTGGGGGGGTGGGATGGAGTGTCGCTCTGTGGCCCAGGCTGGAGTGCTGTGGTGTGATCTCGGCTCGCTGCAACCTCCGTCTTCCAGGTTCAAGCGATTCTCCTGCCTCAGCCTCCTGAGTAGCTGGGATTACAGGCGTGTGCCACCATGCCCAGCTAATTTTTGTATTTTTGGTAGAGATGGGGTTTCACCATGTTGGTCAGGCTGGTCTTGAACTCCTGACCTTGTGATCTGCCCGCGTTGGCCTCCCAAAGTGCTGGGATTACAGGTGCGAGCCAGTGCATCCAGCTTAGTTTTTCTTTGTTCAAGGGACTAAGCAAGAACAGATGAAGGCATGGGTGAAAACAAGAGAGAATTATTCTGGAAGCAGTACTGGCAGGATTTGAGCAAATAATGAGGGGGATGGGGAAGCCTTGGGTCAGACTATCTTATGTTGCTATTTATAGGATGTGGAAGGAAGGGTCTAAGAAACATCTTGTATGATGTGCTGTGGGATATGGAGGAGGTAGAGAACAGGGCTAAAAATAACCTTCCTAGAGGTGCAGATATTTGGCAGAGACCCTGTATTCCTGGGCCTCTCGCTGACATGGGCTGTCAACAAACTGTCACGCTCTTCTCTAGATATGTCCACTTCTGTCCTGAAGCAGATATTTTTATGTACACAGCCATGGGTGAGTTCTTAACTTCTTTGTGCCTCGTTTTTATCATCTGAAGATGGTGATAATAAGTGATAGGACTTATCTCAAAGGGGTTTACGAATATATACCGAGTGTTTAGCATGGTGTTGGAGATGTAGTGAGTAGTTGAGAAATGTCAGAAATGAGCATTAAAATTCCGTTAGCTCTAGCTTGACTTCTCTATCAGTGCATACAAACACTCAAAGATAAAGCTATGAGACAGAGCAGGATTTTGCCTGTCTTGTTCACTGCTACATCTCCAGCCAGCTTAGAACAGTGACTGGCTTGCAGCAGCTATTTAAATGTTTGGTGAGTGAATGAATGAATAAGGAACTCATCTCATTTTCTTTCCTTCCTCCTTCCTTTCTCCCTTCCTTCCTCCCTCCCTTCCTTTCTTTCTTCCCTTCTTTCCAACCATCCATCCATCCATCCATCCATTCATCCATCCACCCACCCATCTATCCATCCATCCATCCATCCATCCATCCATCCACCCACCCACCCACCCAACCATCTATCTATCCATCCATCCATCCACCCATCCATCCATGCATCCACCCATCCATCCACTTATCCATCCATCCATCCATCCATCCATCCATCCATCCATCCATCTCTCTTAGAAAGGCAGTAGAGTGTAGTGGGTTAGCTCACAAGTATTTTTTTTCAATTGTGGCAAGATACACATAAAATAAAATATGCCATTTTAACCTTTTTTTTTTTGAGATGGAGTCTCATCCTCTCACCCAGGCTGGAGTGTAGTGGTGTGATCTCAGCTCACTACAACCTCTGCCCCCCAGGTTCAAGCGATTCTCCTGCCTCAGCTTCCCAAGTAGCTGGGATTACAGGCGTGCACCACCACACCCAGCCAATTTTTGTATTTTTAGTAGAGACAGGGTTTCACCATGTGGCCAGACTGGTGTCAAACTCCTAAAATCAAGTGATCCTCCTGCCTTGGTCTCCCAAAGTGCTGAGATTACAGGTGTGAGCCAAGCACACCCAGCATTTGGAACCATTTTTAAGTGTACATTTCAGTGACATTAAGTACTTCACATTGTTGTGCCACTGTATCATCCATCCCAAAACTTTCCTCCCAAACAGGAAATCTGTACCCGCTAAACACAAACTCTTCATTCTCCCTTCCCCTCGGGCCGTGGAAACCACCATTCTACTTCTGTCTCTATGAATTTGACTAGTCTAGGTACTTCATACAAGTGGAATCAGATACAGTATTTATCCTTTTGTGACAGCCCACAAGTTCTGTGATCATATAAGCTGTGTAATCTTGGGAAACTCAATCTTCCTGACACTCCACTTCCTCGTCTGTGAAATGGTTGTAATAATAGTACCTGCTTCACAGGGTGGCAGTGAGGTTTAAATGAGATAATAGAAGGCACTTAGCCCCAGTGCCTGGCACATAGAAAGTGCTCACTATTAGCTATTAGTTACAGCTAAGCATGTATTGTAAATTAGTGGACACTGGTATTGTGTGTCTAGCACTGTCCTGAGCACTTTACCCGTATTATCTCATTTAAACTTCCCAACGACCCTATGACATGGTGAAACCACTAACATCCACACCTAACAGATGAGAAAACAAAGGCCCAGAGAGGCCAAGTCATGTGCCCAAGGGTTACATAGCTAGTTTACAGCAGAGCTGGGATTGAACGCCAGGCAGCCTATTTCCAAAGTTCATGGGTCTTGCCGCTGCATTGCATTACCTCTTGCCAGTCTCTGCTGCCTCTGTCTGTGAAGGATCGTCATCTATACACTCAGTCCTGGCTCAGGCTGTCACGGTGACTGCAGGTGTTTGAAGCTGTGGGACTCATTGGAAAAATAATTGAAAATGGGATTGCTGTTTCTTTCTTTTCTTTTTTCTTTCTTTCTTTCTTTTTTTTTTTTTTTTTTTTAGACAGGGTCTCACTCTGAGGCTGAAGTGCAGTGGCGCGATCTTGGCTCACTGCAACCTCTGGGTCCTGGGTTCAAGTGATTCTCATGCCTCATCCTCCTGAGTAGCTGGGATTACAGGCAAACACCAACACGCCCTCTCTTTCTTTCTCCTTCCTTCCTTCTTTTCTTTCTTTTTCTTTTTTCTTTCTTTCTTTCTTTCTTTCTTTCTTTCTTTCTTTCTTTCTTTCTTTCCTTCCTTCTTTTCTTTCTTTCTTTTTCTTTCTTTTTCTTTCTTTCTTTCTTTCTTTCTTTCTTTCTTTCTTTCTTTCTTTCTTTCTTTTTCTTTCTTTCTTTCTTTCTTTCTTTCTTTCTTTCTTTCTTTCTTTCTTTCTTTCTTTTCTTTCCTTTCTTTCTTTCTCTGTCTTTCTTTCTTCTTTCTCTTTCCTTTTTTTTTTTTTTCAGAGCCTTGCTCTGTTGCCCAGGCTGGAGTGCAGTTGCACAATCTTGGCTCTGCGCAATCTTCGTCTCCCAGGTTCAAATGATTTTCCTGCCTTAGCCCCCCAAGTAGCTGGGATTACAGGCGTGCACCACCACGCCCGGCTGAGTTTTGTATTTTTAGTAGAGACGGGGTTTCACCGTGTTAGCCAGGATGGTCTCAATCTCCTGACCTCGTGATCCACCTGCCTCGGCCTCCCAAAGTGCTGGGATTACAGGCGTGAGCCACTGCACCTGGCTGTTTGCTGTTTCTTAACATGTGAGGTTCCAACCCAGTGGGGCCCACTAACATGTGCTGTTCTGCTTTGGACCGTGGGGAGCTGGGGTGCTGGACCCATCTCCCACCTTCTACAGCCTGGAGTGTGCTCCCAGATGACACAGCCAAGCTGGCGTGTTTTTCCCTCACTGGCGGAAAGTTCAGCAATCCCTGACTCCCTCACCCTGCCCTGTTGAGATTTAAAAAAATTTCCTCTTCTGGGCCTCAGAGCCGCCTCCTACCTGAGGTTTATTGCTTTCTCTGCACCAGCATTGAGCCTCTGCAGCCCTTTAAAAGGGGCAGAGCCCATAGTGTGATCAGCAGGTCCTGTCCCTAGGAGATAAGAGTATCTTGCACAGCAGGTGCAGGTTTCCCAGCAGCTCAGGCAAGAGTCCGATGTTTGTGCCATCTGATCCTGATGTCTGGAGAGGTGAGCCCTCTGTCGGCATCTTCCTCTCCAGGCTGGCAGAGCAAGGGGGGCTGTGAATTAATTCAAGGTTGGGGGTCGGGGCCTTCTATATCTGGACTTGCCTCCCACCCGTGTCCTCTGTCCCTTTTTCCCTACGGCAGATAGCCATGTGTGAGCCTGAATTTGGCAATGACAAGGCCAGGGAGCCGAGCGTGGGTGGCAGGTGGCGAGTGTCCTGGTACGAACGGTTTGTGCAGCCATGTCTGGTCGAACTGCTGGGCTCTGCTCTCTTCATCTTCATCGGGTGCCTGTCGGTCATTGAGAATGGGACGGACACTGGGCTGCTGCAGCCGGCCCTGGCCCACGGGCTGGCTTTGGGGCTCGTGATTGCCACGCTGGGGAATATCAGGTGAGACCAGCTCTGAGGATTCAGCCTGATGCTGACTTGGGGCACTGGGTGTGGAAAGCAAAGGCGTTGTCAAGGACCCCTGGGCGCATACGTATTCGGGATTTCAAGGAGCGCTCTGGATAACTATGGGGTTGGGAGTCAGACTGGGGTCAACTCCAGACCCCGCAGCCTGTGAGCTTGTGACTTTGAGCAAGTCATTCTCTTTTTGAGTAGCTGGATCACAGGCATGCGCCGCAGCACCCAACTAATTTTTAAATTTTGTTGTAGAGATGGGGTCTCACTATGTTGCCCAGGCTAGTCTTGAACTCCTGGTCTCAAGCGATCCTCCTGCCTTGGCTTCCCAAAGTTTTGGGATTACAGGCATGAGACACCATGCCTGGCTGGCAAGTTACTCTCTAAACCCAAAGTTCCCCGCCTATAAAATGGGAATAGTAGCTTTTAAATGTTTTTTTTTTCAAGCCAACATATCTATATTGCTAACCATGTACCAGGCACTAGTCTAATTACTTTATAGATATTAGTTATTTAATCCTCACAAAAGCCTTGTGGGGTAGGTCCTGTTATTAGCCCCATTGTACAGCTGCAAAAGTGAAAGGCCATGTAATCTGTCCAAGCTTAGAGGGCCAGAAAGTGGCAGAGGCGGGAGTCAAGAACAAGCTGTCTGGCTCCAGCGCTCAAATCCAAGTGCCTCATGCGGAAGTCATGAGAATTAAATGAAGTAGAGCGCCTGGCACACACCAAACATACAACAGGCATTGGTTGCTGTGTTATTGTTACCACTAGAAGGGGGTTTTAGGGAAAGCAGAAATGCATAGAAGACCTGAGCCAGGTTTTCCCACCTGGGTATGCAGAGATCTGCAGTGGTCCTGGCTTGTCAAGAGGTGATCAAGAAGGAGGGGCAGGGAAAGGGACAGGCTTCTCTGGCTTAGCTCTCGTCTGGGTAGAGGCTCAATGGGGAGGTCTGTGGACATGGCTGCTGGTTCCCAGGAGAGCCAGCCATCACGACGAAGATCTTGAGTGGGGTGCCTGGCAGGGTGATCTGGGACATGGTTGGTCTGTATTAAATCTCACTCAAAAAATAGATCTGAATGAGGAAACAGAAATACTATTTCTGAGAAAACCAGAATGGAAAAGAGCTTTAACATCTCTTTAGGCCGGGTGCAGTGGCTCACGCCTGTAATCCCAGCACTTTGGGAGGCTGAGGCGGGTGGATCACCTGAGGTCAGGAGTTGGAGAGCAGCCTGGCCAACAGGGTGAAACCCTGTCTCTACTAAAGATACAAAAATTAGCTGGGCGTGGGGGCAGGCACCTGTGGTCCCAGCTACTTCGGAGGCTGAGGCAGGAGAATTGCTTGAACTGGGAGGGAGAGGTTGCAGTG
This sequence comes from Homo sapiens, assembly GCF_000001405.40. Taxonomy (NCBI): domain Eukaryota; kingdom Metazoa; phylum Chordata; class Mammalia; order Primates; family Hominidae; genus Homo; species Homo sapiens. The sequence goes on from NC_000016.10 coordinate 25,218,824, forward strand.
AGCCGAGATTGTGCCACTGCACTCCAGCCTGGGCAACAGAGTGAGACTCCATCTCCAAAAAACAAACAAACAAACAAACAAACAAAAAACAAACCACATCTCTTTAGACGTCCAAGGGAGGCTGCAAGTGAAACAAAAAGTACATGATCTTCCCTTTGGACGGATCTGAGATTGAAGGCAACCTTTATCACTTCTTAGCAGGGTGACCACAGCAAGTTGCTGAAGCCTCTGTGTGCAGTGGTATAAATATGAGTAATAATAATAGCTGATGTTTTTTGAATGCTAACTACATAGATACTACTATGGGCTGTACAAATATTAATTCTTAATATCTTTGCAATAGCTTTATCAGGCAGAGATCATTGAGGCACAGAGAGGTTATGTAACTTTGCCAATGCCACACAGCTCTTCAGTGGCAGAGTTGAGCTTTGAACCCAGGCCAGCTGGCTGGAAAGACCATCTCTTTGGCACTGCAAATACTGCCTCTCTGTTTGGCTTTTTTGACAAATATTTATTCAGCACCTATTGCGTGCCAGACACTGACTTTGAGGTTGTTCACTGGATCCAGGATAAGCTATGTATGTAAGTTATAAGCACCCAGCACAGCCCCTGGCACACAGTAAGTGTCAGAGAAATATATGCTGAGTGAACAATGAATGAATGAATGAATGTGTCTTGATTGTTTTATTGCTAATGAGTGTAAACCAGGAAATGTGTGGTTTTCGTCACCTGGCCCTCCTGATAGAGCCATGCTCTGGGTGACAGTTTCTCTCCCCTTTGGGGCTCCCCTGGGAAGCCGCCTCACCCTGACTTCATCTGTGTATCTCAGCAGAGCCCAGGCTAAGCTACTTGAGGCCAAGTAGGCCTGGCTGCCCCTCTTCCCAACCTGTGGAGTCTGAGCACTGGCTGGTGCTTTCAAACCATGCATGGAGGTCAGGCGCAGTGGCTCACGCCTGTAATCCCAGCACTTTGGGAGGCCGAGGCAGGTGAATCACCTGAGGTCAGGAGTTCGAGACCAACCTGGCCAACATGGTGAAACCCCGTCTCTACCAAAAATACAAAAATTAGCCGGGCGTGGTGGCAGCCCCGTTATCCCATCTACTTGGGAGGCTGAAGCAGAAGAATCGCTTGAAACCAGGAGGCGGAGGTTGCAGTGAGCCGAGATTGCACCATTGCACTCCAGCCTGGGTGACAAAGGGAGACCCTGTCTCAAAAAAAAAAACAAAAAACAAAAAACAAATCAAATCAAACCGTGCATGGAGCTTATCTGAGGGCCTGGGCCCAGAGCTGAGCCAGACAAGTTGGGGTAGCTGGTCTCGAGCTATCAGGGTGTTGGACAAAGTCCTTTTGGGCAGAGCTGAGGTCCTCTGCCCAGTCTCAACTGAATGTCCTATGTCCTTTGGAGGATGGGTAAGCTCATTGGTGGGCTCTTTACATTAGGGGGGCACTTTGGTTCTCAAGTGACATGGGGAGTCTTGGGGTCCCTTTCTCTCTCATTGGGGAGTATCCATTCCTGGAAACCAGATGGATTCAGGAGGCCAAACTGTGACAATATTTCCTCCATCAGAGTGGGACTGGTTGGGACACTGATGTGAGTGCAGCCACCCTGGCTCTGGGGCCTGGGCTGGTTGAACATCTTGGTGAACACGAAGGCTCTTTACCCATGAGCCAGGGGGTGGCTGATCAACTGCAACCTGCCCTTTGACCTCAGGTTCTGACTTGTCTAATTCCCTTCCACACCCCAAACTCCCAATCCCAATCCCTAACCTGGTCATGAACCTCCAACTCCACCCCGTGATTCTCAATGCCATTTTCAGCCTGAACTCCAAATCTGCATTTTACACCCATCACACTTTCAGACCACAAGTAGGGTTTTCACTGGCTGAGCAGTTCAACCAATCAGGAGGTCTTATTCAGGGCCTAGCTACTCATAAAGGGAGACCCGGGCCGGGCACGGTAGCTCGTGCCTGTAACCCCAGCACTTTGGGAGGCCGACGTGGGTGGATCGCTTGAGGTCAGGAGTTTGAGACCAGCCTGACCAACATGGTGAAACCTCGTCTCTACTAAAAATACAAAAATAAGCCAGGCGTGGTGGCACACACCTGTAGTTCCAGCTACTTAGGAGGCTGAGTCAGAAGAATTGCTTGAACTCAAAAGGTGGAAGCTGCAGTGAGCCGAGATCACACCATTGCACTGCAGCCCGCGCGACAGAGCAAGACTCCGTCTCGTAAAATCAAACAAATCATAAGGGGAGGCCTGGATACCGCTCTTGGGCTACTAACTTGGAGCCTTGGTATCTCAATCTGACCTGTGGCCACATCTCTGAAGGGCTGGAGGGAGGCTTGGAGGGAGTCAGGGAGGAGTTAAGGGATGGTCTCCCTACACGCTCTTCCTCCAGGGCCATCCTGGGGGCTGGGCTTTGGACTTAGAGGCTGCCCTTTATCTCTTACCCTCTGCCTGGCATCTCAGGGAAAATGGAAGCAATTTGGTGCCTCTTTGTATTTGAGCTGGGCCCCGGACTGACTCTTGCCCTGAGAGGCCAGCCTGGTGGGTTGGCTGGGACACACTGTCTCAAGTGCCAGCCATGTGGTCAGCCCTGGGCTCATGACTTCCTCTGCTCTTGTGGGTTACAGTGGTGGACACTTCAACCCTGCGGTGTCCCTGGCAGCCATGCTGATCGGAGGCCTCAACCTGGTGATGCTCCTCCCGTACTGGGTCTCACAGCTGCTCGGGGGGATGCTCGGGGCTGCCTTGGCCAAGGTGGGTAAACCCCAGGGGCTGGGCTAGTCTTCCTCTCTGATGGGGCTGCTGGAGGTGCATATGTGGGTGTGTGTGTGGGACAGTGGGGAGTGGGGAAATGTCCAATCTTTTGCTTGTTTCTGCCAGTGGAATTGGTGGACGTTTTTCTTCTCTCTTTCTTTCTTATTGCATTTTATTGTATTTTTTATTTGTTTGTTTTTTTGAGATGGAGTCTTGCTCTGTCACCCAGGCTGGAGTGCAGTGGCCTGATCTTGGCTCACTGCAACCTCTGCCTCCTGGGCTCAAGCAATTCTCCCACCTCAGCCTCCTGAGTAACTGGGATTACAGGCGCATGCCACCATGCCCAGCTAATTTTTGTATTTTTAGTAGAGACGGGGTTTCATCATGTTGGCCAGGCTGGTCTTGAACTACTGAGCTCAAGTGATCTACCTGCCTTGGTCTCCCAAAGTGCTGGGGTTACAGGCATGAGCCACTGTGCCCGGCCTCTCTTTTTTATTTTAGAGATAGGGTCTCACTCTGTTGTCCAGGCTGGAGTGTGGTGGTGCAATCATAGCTCACTGCAGGCTCGACCTCCTGGGCTCAAGTGATCCTCCTGCCTCAGCCTCTTGAGTAGCTGGGACTACAGGTGTGTGTCACCACACCCAACTAATTTCCTCTGCCTAGGAAAACCAGAGACCTTTGTTCACTTGTTTATCTGCTGACCTTCCCTCCACTATTGTCCTATGACCCTGCCAAATCCCCCTCTGTGAGAAACACCCAAGAATTATCAATAAAAAATAAATAAATTAAAAAAAATTTTTTTCTGTAGAGGTGGGCTCTCGCTGTGTTGACCACATTGGCCTCCAACTCCTGGCCTCAAGTGATCTTCCTGCCTTGGCCTCCCAAAGTGCTGGGATTACAGACATGAGCCACCGAGCCTGGCCAGCCACAGAGTTTTCATAGCTTTATGCATAAATCCATGGATAGACTTTCTCCCTTCATCCCTCTTTTTCTTTTTTTTCCCTCTCTTTCTTTCTTTTCTTTTGCCCTTAAGTCTTGGTTCAGCCAGGGATACTTCAAGCCCTTCAAGATGTGGGCCTTGCTTGGTGTGTGTGTGGGGGGTGGTGGATGGGGGAGCTCTGTCAGCTTGGCTGTGATAGGGTCTGAAGCTGTAAGTGCTGACCCACCGCAGACTTTGTTCTCAAGCCTCACTTTACTGTCATCCCCTGCTGTGGTCTCTCCATGTCCCAATTTGAGAGCCACAGCCTGTTCCCCTGTCTATGGAACACGCCCGGGACCTTCCTTCTCGGCTTCTGCTCTGAAAAGCAGTGGCCAGACTCGAGCTCAAGCCCTGCCACTTAAAACCTGTCAAACATGGTTCTGACAGCTGCGGGGCAGCAGGGTTCCCTAAGCACATTCTTCCTGCTAAATGTTTTACACATATTCTCTTATTTCATCTCCCAGCAACTTTATGAAAAACCATAGTCAGTTCATAGAGAGCGCTTACCTTGTGCCAGGCACACCAACGGCCTTGTCTGTGAGCTGGGAGCTGTCAGTATCATCCCTATTTTATAGATGAGAAAACAGAGGTGCAGAGAAGCAGGTAACTTGCTCAAGTTCAGACGTGCCTGTAAGCAGCACAGCCCCGACTGGATCCAGAGTCCAGAAGCTTGTGCACTGCACTGTCTTTCCCCTTCGGGGCTGTGATAGCCCTGAGGCCGATCGCCCATAGAAATAATTGAGCTCAGGCTTCAGGGCTCTCCTGCACATGCCCCTTCCACGGTCCTGTGGGGGCTTAGCAATGAGTTCACCTGATCATATGTGTTTGTAAAGTTTCTAAGAGTAAGGTATTTTTAGCCACGCATGGCGGCTGGTGCCTGTAATCCCAGCATTTTGGGAGGCAGAGGCGGGAGGATCACTGGAGCCTAGGAGTTCCAGACCAGCCTGGGCAACATAGTAAGACCTTCCATCTCTACAAAAAATTTTAAAAAAAACATTAGGTGGGCATGGTTGGTATGTACCTGTGGTCCCAGCTACATGAGAGGCTGAGGTAGGAGGAACACTGGAGCCCAGGAGGTCCAGGCTGCAGTGAGCTATGATCGTGTCACTGCACTCCAGCCTGGGTGACAGAGCTAGACTCTGTGTCAAAGAAAAATAAAAAGATAGTTTATGTTCTTTTTCTCAAAGAGGATCATCTAAGTTACATAAGTTTTAGGTCTGTAACCTGGAGCCATGACTGGGTTATCCCCATTTTTCTTTTTCTTTTTCTTTTTTTTTTTTTTGAGACGGAGTCTTGCTCTGTTGTTCAAGCTGGAGTGCAGTGGTGTGATCTCAGCTCACTGCAACCTCTGCTTCCAGAGTTCAAGTGATTCTGGTGCCTCAGCCTCCTGAGCAGCTGGGATTACAGGTGCCTGCCACTTCACCCCGCTAATTTTTGTATTTGTAGTGGAGATGGGGTTTCACCATGTTGGCAAGGCTGGTCTCAAACTCCTGGGCTCTAGTGACCCACCCATCTCAGCCTCCCAAAGTGCTGGGGTTGCTGGCGTGAGCCACCACGCCTAGCCCCATTACTATTTTTCAGCTGAACAAAGTGAGGCTCAGAAAGGTTCAGTAGTTCACGCAGGGTCGCACAGTAAAATCTGGCAGAGCTGGGATGTGGATGCAGGTATATCTAACTGAAATTGGACATAACCCTTCACTGGCTCTTAAGGTGGGTAGCATGCGTTTTTTAGGCCCTCTCCCCTCAGTTTCCAGCTGTCTCTCTGCCCCACTGTGAGGCTCAGCAGCTTCTCTGTGCAGGCGGTGAGTCCTGAGGAGAGGTTCTGGAATGCATCTGGGGCGGCCTTTGTGACAGTCCAGGAGCAGGGGCAGGTGGCAGGGGCGTTGGTGGCAGAGATCATCCTGACGACGCTGCTGGCCCTGGCTGTATGCATGGGTGCCATCAATGAGAAGACAAAGGGCCCTCTGGCCCCGTTCTCCATCGGCTTTGCCGTCACCGTGGATATCCTGGCTGGGTGAGTGTCCCTTGGCAGTGGGGTGACCATGCCCAGATCTGTGCTGTTCAGCTCTGGGGGATTTCAGGCCTGAGGGTCACAGATTCAGTTGCTATTAGGGGCCAGGAAGGTGCTGCAAATGGGGAGGGGGGCTGGCATCAGGCAGACAACAGGGAGTGGTGGGGACTGCAGTGTCAGAGGTGCTGCAGTCAGTTCAGCTCTTGTCAATTATTGCTGGGTACATGGGTCTGGGCTGATGCTTTCATTCAAAGGAAGTCAGAAATTTAAATCTGTATGTGATGTTTTCCAATGTTGGTAGCGTAAATACAACATTTCTGTGAACTGTGTTCATTCGGTCAGCGGGCAGCCGGGTTTTAGCCTCAGGCTTACAAAGAGCATGTGTAGCTGTTGTCTCATTTATTTTTAGACTCCCAGCAGGCTTTGGAAGGGATTAAGTAGACAAGATTGGGGATGATGTCTCCCGTTTTATAGATAAGGAAACTGAGGCTTAGAGAGGACAGAAGTGACTTATTTAAGGTCAGTGGGCAGTGGCAAATTAAGTGATAGATTTGGGACAAGAGGCTGAGTGAACCCTTTTAATTTTTGTTGTAGAGATAGGGGTCACGCTCTGTTGCCCAGGCTGGTCTTGAACTCCTGGCTTCAAGCCATCCTCCTGCGTTGGCCTCTCAAAAGTACTGGAATTACAGGCATGAGCCACAGTGCCCAGCCCAGGGAGCCCCTCCCTAATGTCTGACTCTTTCCTTTCTTTTGGACACAGAACCAAGTCTAACCTTTCTCCTGGGTCAGCTCTCCCTCAACTTTGGGAGGTGGAGCCTGGGGCAGGCTGGGGAATGTGTGTGTAAAGCTGTGGCCATGCTTTGCTGCCCCCTAGTGGTCTTTGATTCACTTACAAGCCCTTTTTTTTTTTTTTAGCTCCGCTTCCCGGGTTCACGCCATTGTCCTGCCTCAGCCTCACGAGTATCTGGGACTACAGGCGTCCGCCACCACGCCCGGCTAATTTTTTTTTGTATTTTTGGTAGAGACGGGGTTTCACCGTATTAGGCAGGATGGTCTCGATTTCCTGATCTCATGATCCGCCCGCCTTGGCCTCCCAAAGTGCTGGGATTACAGGCTGAGCCACCGCGCCCCGCCTACTTACAAGCTTTTTGACTTCGAAGCTGGACACAGGGTGGGGATGAGGTCTACAGGCCCCCAGCTGGAGAGAATGGGGTAAAGACAGAGCCCCAGAACGAGAGGAGTGCACCTGGGGAAGAGTCTCCCTGTAGGATTCTGGGTCTTAAGCTTGTGGTGCAACAAGGGCCTCATCTGGACCAGCTAGATTAGTTAATGCTTTTTGTACATTAATTATATTCGAGGTGTGGGCTCCATTTGCATTTTCTCATTCACTCCTGATGACAACCTATGGGATAGTCACTTTCACCTCACCTGAACACAGAGAGGTTCATGGAGGTTCCCACACCTAGAACTATCTGGGCTGGGGTTTTTCTTTCTTTATATGTATATTTTTAAAGCTTTGTGGGTGAACCTAGTAGGTGTATATATTTCTGGGTTACATGAGATGTTTTGGTACAGGCATGCAATGCATAATTATCACATCAAGGTGAATGGGGTATTCATCCCCTCAAGCATTTATTTTTTGTGTCACAAACAATCCACTTATACTCTTCGTTATTTTATTTTATTTTTAGTTTTAGTTTTTGAGACAGAGTCTTGCTCTGTCACCCAGGCTGGAGTGCAGTGGCATGATCATGGCTCACTGCAACTTCCAACCCCCAGGTTCAAGCAATTCTCCTGGCTTAGCCTCCCCAGTAGCTGGGACTACAGGCGTGTGCCACTATTCCCAGCTAACTTTGTATTTTTAATACAGACAGGGTTTCACCATGTTGGCCAGGCTGGTCTCTAACTCCTGACCTCAAGTGATCTGCCTGCCTTGGCCTCCTAAACTGCTGGGATTTCAGGCATGAGCCTCTGTGTCTGGCTGAGGTTACATGAGATGTTTTGATACAGGTATGCAATGTGTAATAATCACGTCAAAGTAAACGGGGTATTCATCCCCTCAAGCATTTATTCTTTGGGTCACGAACAATCCTATGATACACTTTTTGTTATTTTATAATGTGTGGGCTGGGTTTTGAATCTAGGTCAGCTTGACTCCAAAAGGATTGAAACTGATTGACTTTCCTTTGTAGACTTTGGAGCAAATGTAGCTCCAGCTTCTCTTCCTGCCATCACCCAGTAGGCATTTTTGCTGGGCATTCTAGAGGAGTGTGTGGGGAGTGCTGGACTGCACGCCCAGCGGGGAGCCATGCCTTCTGCTTCCTGGTGCTAATAGCCCCTCTGCCTTCTTTAGGATCTACCCAGGAGCTCATGATGTAGGAGTTTAGAGAGGGTTTCTGGGTGGTGTGTGACTAGGCCTAGTTGGGGACATGAGTGTGAGGTGAGGTGGGGTTTGGCTGGGATCCTGGTGACCTTGGTGCCTGGGTGTTTGCAGGGGCCCTGTGTCTGGAGGCTGCATGAATCCCGCCCGTGCTTTTGGACCTGCGGTGGTGGCCAACCACTGGAACTTCCACTGGATCTACTGGCTGGGCCCACTCCTGGCTGGCCTGCTTGTTGGACTGCTCATTAGGTAGGAGTGTGACACAGGGTCACCGGCCCATTGGATGGGCACTTGGCAACATCTCCCAGAGAGTCCGGGACTAGAGGGCTAGGCTCTCACTTGGGTTTGGAAGAGAAAAGAGGGAGCCTCTTTAGAGGCAAAGAAAATGGCTCCATCTAGGAGCTTTGGTTGCAAGTGACAGAGATCTATTTCAAAATAGCTTATGTCATAAAGAGGAATTCATTGGCTCACATCATCAAAAACTTCACAGGTAGCAGTGGTTTCAGGTGGCGCTCAAACAATGTCTTTAGGACTTGGTCTTTCTCCTTTTCTTTTTTTGACAGTTTCCCTCTGTTGCCCAGGCTGGAGTGCAGTGGTGTGATTCTGGCTTATTGCAACCTCCGCCCCCGGGTTCAAGAGATTCTCCTGCCTCAGCCTGCCAAGCAGCTGGGACTACAGGCGCCGCCACCACGCCCAGCTAATTTTTATATTTTTAGTAGAGTCGGGTTTTCACCGTGTTGACCAGGCTGGTCTCGAACTCCTGACCTCATGTGATCCACCTGCCTGGGCCTCCCAAAGTGCTAGGATTATAGGCATGAGCCACCGCGCCCAGCCAGTTTTTGTGATTTTTTTGGTAGAGATGGGGCTTCACCATGTTGGCCAGGCTGGTCTCCAACTCCTGACCTCAAGTGATCTGCCTCCCAAAGCGCTGGGTTACAGGCGTGAGCCACTGCACCCGGCTTCATTTAATTCTGGGCTTTCAGAGTGGCAGCAATGAGCATCTTCAGGAAAAGGGTTAGAAACCAAGCAGGACCCGGGCATGTGGTTCACGCCTGTAATCCCAGCAGTTTGGGAGGCCAAGGTGGGTGGATCACTTGAAGTCAGGAGTTGGAGACCAGCCTGGCCAACATGGTTAAAACCCTGTCTCTACTAAAAATACAAAAATCAGCCAGGTGTGGTGGTGCTTGTCTGTAGTCCCAGCTACTCGGGAGGCTGAAGTATGAGAATTGCTTGAACCCAGGAGGTGGAAGCTGCAGTGAGCTGAGATCATGCTACTGTACTCCAGCCTGGGTGAGTGAGACTCTGTCTCAATTAAAAAAAAAAAAAGAAACCAAGCAGGAAACTGTCTCTCTCTCTGCAAGGGGATCTGGCTATTAAGGCTGGGGAGGCTCAGGAAGTCATCTTTCTGGAGACTTCTGAGCCTGGAGACATGACGAAGGGCTGGGTCTCACCTCCGGGGCAGAGACCTTACTGGGTCATCTTTCTTGCAGGTGCTTCATTGGAGATGGGAAGACCCGCCTCATCCTGAAGGCTCGGTGAAGCAGAGCTCGTGGGATTCCTGCTGCTCCAGGTGTCCTCAGCTCACCTGTCCCAGACTGAGGACAGGGGAGTTCCTGCATTTCCTGCCAGGGCAGAGGCCCAGAGGAGCGACCCCCTGCTTCCACTGCTTGGGCCTGCTTTCTCAGATAGACTGACTGCTGAGGAGGCTCTAGGTTCTTGGAATTCCTTTGTGCTCATCAGAGACCCCAGCCTGGGGAACACGCTGCCCGCACTGCCCAGAGAGCAGTGCAAACACCACAACACGAGCGTGTTTCTTGAGAGGAATGTCCCCGAGTTGGACAAGGAGGCTGTTTCTGCACATCAGCTCATTTCCCGCACCCCATTTCTTGCTTGATTGCTTTGTTGGGGGCCTGGCCACTTCCTTGCTTCTCAAGCTGACAATTCTCACTTTGCAATAAATAGTCCAGTGTTTCCTTCCACGTGCTCACTGGCTTGCCTTTCATTTGAGAAATGGGCACTGCTGAGGAGAAAGCAAGCAAAAAAAAAAGTCTGGGGTTAGGCCTTGGCTGGGGTTAGGCCTGAGCTGATCCCACAGCCCAGCTCAGAGTCCTGGGCCATGGCAGGCTCTTGAAGTTGAGGCCAGACCAGAGCCTGTCTCCACTTGGACGGGCCCATCCTGGAGCTCTGTCTGGAGCTCAGAGTGCATATTGAGTCCAACTTGGAGTCTAGTCAGAGTCAATTCCAGATCACAGACCTCAGGACCCTGCTGAAAACCCCCAGGCAGAGTCCAGGGTCTGGCTGAGTGCCCAGTGCTGTCCCTACTCGAGTGCTTGGTGCTGTCCAGGACATGGGTCAGCCCATTCATTCACTCTAGGTGGGGAGGTGGGGGGGTGGGTGGGATTGGGATGGGCTGCAAGAATTTCCTGAGGAAATATTAGGTTGGTGCAAAAAAAATTTTTTTTTTTGAGACAGAGTCTTGCTCTGTCACCCAGGCTGGAGTGCAGTGGCATGATCTCAGCTCACTTCAACCTCTGCCTCCCAGGTTCAAGCACTTCTCCTGCCTCAGCCTCCCAAGTAGCTGGGATTACAGGCATATGCCACCATGCCCAGCTAATTTTTGTATTTTTAGCAGAGACGGAGTTTCACCATGTTGGTCAGGCTAGTCTTGGACTCCTGACCTCAAGTGATCCACCCACCCCGGCCTCCCAAAGTGCTGGGATTACAGGCGTGAGCCACAGTGCCCAGCCAGTTGCCCAGCCAGCCCATTACTTTCAATGGCAAAAACTGCAATTACTTTTGTGCTAACATAATAGAATCCTGAACAAGTGACACAGTACAGGCCTGAAGAACCAGTGGCACTTGGGTGGAAGATAGGAGTATAACAGATAAGAAAGGACGGAAAGACACACCCTGGAAGTCACCCCTTCGAAGTAGAGTATGTGTCTTCTCCATAAGAATCGATGGGTCATTTATGGAAGATGATCATTATAACACCAGAAAGAAGGGCCAGGGAGAAACCACTCTCAACAACAACCGAAAACTCACCCACTTCAACAAGATGAGCAAAATGCTCACTTGAGCAAAAATGAAGAAAATCACCACTACAATAAGAGATTGTCCATGGAGGAAATAGATTCACGATATAGCCACACATCCAAACCATTCTCAGGGAAAAGGAGAATAACAAACAAGAATAACGATGACAACCCGACAGAATAGAAAAGGGGAGGAAAAAATATGATACAATCAGAAACAAGCAAATTAGGACATTTACAGAGTTCAAAATGGGTCAGCCATGGTGTTTCACGCCTGTAATCCCAGTACTTTGAAAGGCCAAGGCGGAGGATTGCTTCAGGCCAGGAGTTCGAGACCATCCAGGCAACATGGCAAGACCCTGTAACTACAAAAAATAAAAAAATTAGCTGGGCAGGTGGCACATGCTTGTAGTCTCCTCTACTTGGGAGGCTGAGGTGGGAGGATCGCTTGAGCCTGGGAGGTTGGGGCTGCAGTGAGCTATGACAGCACCAATGCACTCCAGCCTGGGCAACAGAGTGAGATCCTGTCTCAAAAAAAAAAAAAAAAAAAAAAAAAGGCCAGGCGCTCTGGCTCACACATGTAATCCTAGCACCTTGGGAGACTGAGGTGGGAGGATCACTTGAGGTCAGGAGTTCAAGACCAGCATGGCCAGCATGGTGAAACCCCTTCTCTACTAAAAATACAAAAATTAGCCAGGCATAGTGGCGGGTGCCTGTAATCCCAGCTACTTGGTAGGCTGAGGCAGGAGAATTGCTTGAAACCGGGAGGTAGAGGTTGCAGTGAGCCAAGACCATGCCACTGCACTCCAGCCTGGGCAACAGAGTAAGACCCTGCCACAAAATAAAGTAAAAGAAGAGTAAAAAATATTAAAAGTTACTATTTTGTTTGGTGAAATAATGAAATAAATCTTTGATTAATCTAGTAAATAACAAAAGATATACATCCATACATATATATACTTATATGTATATAGCTAACATTTATGGAGAGTTTATTACATGTTAGGCACTGTGCTGAATGCTTTACACGTATTATGTCGTTTACTCCCTACGACAATCCTATGAGATAGTACAGTGGGTTGAATAGTGTCCTCCCGAAATCTGTGTCAGTCTACAGTCTTAGAGTGTGACGTTATTCGGAAATAGGGTCTTTGAAGATGCAATTAAGGTACGGGTCAAGACGAAATCCCACTGGATTAGGGTGCCCTTTTCTTGTAAGAGATAGTAAAAGAGGCGCAGAGACACAAAGGAGAAGGCCACGTGAAGATGGAAGCAGAGGTTAGGGTTATACTGCCAAAAGACAGCACCAGGAGCCGCCAGGAGCAGGGGGAGGGAAGGAAGGTTCTCCTCTAGAACCTTCGTGGGAAGCCTGGCTCTGCTGACATTCTAATTTCAGACTTTCTGGCCTCCAGAACGGAGAGAGAATAGTTTCTGTCATCTTAAGCCACAAGTCTGCGGTGTTTGTTCGAGCAGTTCCAGGAAACGAATAGATAGATTCTCTCATTATTCTCATTCTGCAGAGGAGCCAGTGGAGGTTCTAAAGGATGGTGTTAATGCTAAGCTGCATGGTTAGTGCACTGGTGGGCAACTGTAGAAGGTCAGGTATATCTGGCTGCAGGGTCCATGATCTTTGTCATCATACGTTTCTGTTTCTGAATAAACGACAATATTATGTCCTCTGCCTAGTCTCCTACTTGCCTATTAGTTCCTCATTAAAAAGGGGACAGAGCCATGGTGGCGCGTGCCTGTAGTCCCAGCTACTCAGGAGGCTGACATGGGAGGATCGCTTGAGCTTGGGAGATCGAGGCTGCAGCAAGCTGTGATTATATCATTGCACTCCGGCCTGGGTGACAGAGCAAGACTCTGTCTGGAAAAAAAAAAAAAAAAGGAGGACAGAAAGACATTCATTGTTAACTCCTCATTTCAAACTTGCAATTGGATTTTAAGTTGTGGCTTTCATTTCAATTTCTAGACCATAAGCTCTCAAGAGCAAGATGGATATAAATTCATATTTGTATTAAATAACTGTACATTATGTGTTTGGCATTTGCTGAATAGAAGGGACTCAGTTCTTTTCTTTTTTTTTTTTTTTTAAACGGAGTCTTGCTCTGCCGCGCAGGCTGGAGTGCAGCGGTGTGATCTTGGCTCACCGTAACCTCCGCCTCCCGGGCTCAAGCGATTCTCCTGCCTCATGTTGGCCAGGCTGGTCTTGAACTACTGACCTCAAGTGATCGGCCCACCTCGGCCTCCCAAAGTGCTGGGATTACAAGTGTGAGCCACCGTGCCTGGCCAGAAGGGACTCAGTACTCACTGACTGGAAGAATGGCATAGGCTGATCCCAGTGATTCCCAAATTCATTCTGACCCTACAGAGTGGAATCCAAAACTGATCCAGATCACCAGGTTCATCTCTATCCCAGCTCCCTTTTCCTCAGTAACAAGGAAGTCACAGAATTTTGGGGTGTTAGAGCTAGAAACTCTATTACAGTAGTAAAATATGGTGGCTGTAAGTTTACATCCTGAGGAAGATCCAAGTTTTAATTTCAGAACTGTCACCTTTTTGCTGTATGTGCTTGAAGAAGCTATTGAAATTCTTTAGCCTCAGCTTTCTCATCTATAAAATGCAACTACTACCTCAGACTGCTTATGACAATATGTTTATAAAGCATTAGCACAATGCCCAGTATATAGTAAGTACACAATGTGTTAGCTCTTATATTTATTATCAAAGGTTTTGCAATTTGCAGGTATCAGAATAAGAATAAGGTGGGGTTTGGCAAGGAACTTCTTCTTCTTTTTTTTTTTTTTTTTTTGGAGACAGCATTTCGTTCTGTCATCCAGGATGGAGTGCAGTGGTGCAATCACAGCATGCTGCAGCCTCGACCTCCTGGGCTCAAGCGATCCTCGAACCTCAGACTCCTGAGTAGCCGGGACTACAGGTGTACATCACCACAGTGGCTAATTAAAAAAAAATTTTTTTGTAGAGATGGGGTCTCACTGTGTTGCCCAGGCTGGTCTTGAACTCCTGTCTTCAAGTGTCCTCCCACCTTGGCCTCCCAAAGTGTTGGGATTACAGGCGTGATTACCAGCCTTGGCAAGTAACTTCTAAATGGACTTGGGACATATGTATTTTCTCAGTCAAGTATTCTCATATAGGGACTATTAGGGCCTCCCAAGTGAAAAAGGTTGGAACCTCTTCATCCCGTCCAACGTCAAATTTCAAAACCCAGAGAAGCTAAATAATTTGACTTAATTACAGAGTTGTCTAGCAGCAGAGCTCAATTAGAATCCACGATCTTGGACACACATCTAGTGCCCTTTCTATTGCAACATGTGTGTACTTAATTCTCCAGACCCTTGGGGTACAAGTACCGAGCCATTTCCTTTTGCCAGAATTGTGTTGAGGTCCTCACATGCCATGTTGTTGGGAATCCTAGTATCCCTACTAGGATTATATTTTCCAAGAACCCTGGGGGTTTAAGCAAGCCAAAAGGGAAGTGTACCAATCTTTTATTAATACTTGCATGGGCTGGACGCGGTGGCTCACACCTGTAATCCCAGCACTTTGGGACGCCGAGGTGGGTGGATCACCTGAGGTTAGGAGTTCAAGACCAGCCTGGCCAACAGGGTGAAACCCCTTCTCTACTAAAAATACAAAAGTTAGCCAGATGAGGTGGCGCACGCCTGTAATTCCAGCTACTTGGGAGGCTGAGGCGGGAGAATCTCTTGAACTTGGAAGGCGGAGGTTGCAGTGAGCCAAGATGGCGCCATTGCACTCCAGCCTGGGTGACAGAGTGAGACTCCATCTCAGACAACAAAACAAAACAAAACAAAACGAAACATAACACCTTGCATGATGTCGTAGGGAAAATTTTACTTCGTGCCGCAGCTGCTGTTCTCTCCGCTGCCACATGGTGCCGCTGTTGGAAGAGGTTCTCAGAGATGCTGTATGCTATAGCCAAGTCACATTGGTGTCTTCAAAGAGGGCTCCTTTACTGATAATTCCACAACTTCCATGCCAAGCACACTTGCATGCGCCATGGACTCTGCACATGTATCCAAGCAAGGCTTATGGCCTTTCAGGTACCTCCTCTCCCCTTGGCCTACCTAGAGCCCTATACCCACCACCACCGTCAACATCATTTTCCCTCCAGAGTCCGACCACCTCAGAGTGAGTAAGATATTTACTTGTCTTGGAACCCAAAGCCACTGTTCCCCCTCCAAGTCCCTGGACTCATCATAAAGTTTGGGGGTTATGATGAGCAATGCTCCTTTTAGTGCTTGGAACACAAAGCATTCATTCTCCTCCCTTAATGTCTAATTGCCTCAACTGATTTTTAGGAATTGAAAATTTGTAATCCTTAGAGATTTTTTTTCCCCTCAGAGACTTAAAGTCTCTCATCCAATTCCCAGACCTGAGTGAGTTCACAGACTTAAGTCTCTGTGAAGGAATGGGAGGTCCGGTAACCCTGCGGAAGAACCCTGATGGAATTCGGCCTGTGAAGATAATGAGCTTTTATCTTGGCTTTCACCAAAAAGGTTTGTGGCCATTTACTCAAGGAAAATACAGGGGGACTCTTCTAGTTATGGATACTCTGCAGACACTGGCTCTGAGCAGCTACACCTCCTGAGGTCTCTGGGTCCCATTGAAGCACGCTGCATAGAGCAGAGGCTTATCAAGTCCATGTGACAGATACTTTGTCTGGAATCGACCTCATGTTTAGGTGGACTGGCTCTTGGAACGCATCCTATAGTTCTCTCTACAGTTCCTGATGGTGTAGTTGGAAATAGTGCCTCAGCAAGTGCTAAAATCTCTACCCTGCCTTTACAACCCATGGAGCTGGAGTTATGGTAGGAAGAACTAAGTGGAAGCCACTGGAACACTTCCTGTATGCCAAAATTTTCAATCAAAAGCAACGCTCAAGGATGACAGAAGATGCCACCCCCATATGTGCCACTTTTGGGAATAATGATTATCTTGAGTTAAAGGCACTTGAGAAACAGCAGGTGCCACAGGGCACTCTCACTCCTCTTTTACTCCCTGAAAGCAGGAGTTGAACCCCCAAGTGAAAGATGCCCTCCCTGTCCTGGGAAGAAAGAAACGTTCTTATCACAAGATGGGGAGGCAAGGCCGAGGGAATCTGTACAGACCTTGTTAAAATAATCCTTATCTTCCTTTGGTCTTCCCATATATTTTAGGTACTTTTTCACAACTGACTCTTTGTTCAATCCATAATACAGTTAGGTTTTGCTACTTCTTTGGGTCTTCATTTCTTTTCTTTTCTTTTTTTTTGAGATGGAGTCTCGCTCTGTCACCCAGGCTGGAGCACAGTGGCGTGATCTCAGCTCACTGCAAGCTCCGCCTCCTCGGTTCACGCCATTCTCCTGCCTTAGCCTCCGGAGTAGCTGGGACTACAGGCGCCTGCCACTACGCCTGGCTAAATTTTTTTGTATTTTTAGTAGAGACGGGGTTTCACCATGTTAGCCAGGATGGTCTCGATCTCCTGACCTCGTGATCCACCCGCCTCGGCCTCCCAAAATGCTGGGATTACAGGCATGACCCACGGCGCCTGGCCGGGTCTTCATTTCTTGTGGAGACTCCCATGTATGCTTTTCTCTTGTTTATCTGTTTTGTGTTACTTTAATCCTCAGGCCTAGCCTGAGACCCTAAAAGAGTAAAGTTTTGTCTCTCCTGTTACTGTATCTTCGAAGAAACTTTTAAGACTTCTTCCACCATTAGGCTATGGGGGAGTGCCTCAGAAACACAGGCAGCACGTGTATCCAAGGCTAATTCCCTCCTAGCACTGGAGATGACCATTACTGGGACAATGGCAGGGACAACCACCAGAGGACGGCTGCACACAGCTGTGGACTCACAAAAGACCCCTGCTACTTGTGGGGGACAACACTGAACTAGAATGAGACTGGAATTCTTTTCATTGGCTGGTAAGATCAGCTTTTATCAACTTCTTGGTACATTATATTTTCTCTTAATAGAATGACGCCCTTCAAATTATGGCAGAAACCAGTGGGAGCCATTTATTTTAGACATTTATTCCACAAACAAGTTTTCAAGAAGACATCTAAGTGAACACTGATACAAAACAATGAATGGACATCCATTTGCACCAGGTCTTGGAATGCATTCAGAGGCAGAGGCTTCCAGTTTCACAAGTTACTCAGACATTCCTTTAGCCAGGGCTGCCCCAGCTCCCTCACAGCTGTCTTGTCTGTCACTGGGCGCCAGACCTCCTGACAGAGGCTTCCTTCACTTCAGCCTACCTGCCACTGGTTATCGAGGTGCTTGGGGGGTGCCTGCTGTGGACCACGAGGGACTTGCCCTTTCTCCTTCCCCAACAAGCTCCTGGGCTGAGTTTGCTGTCACAGCATCCCCTCCCTTTCCTGAAGCATGCGATGGATTTGGTATGGCCAGATGTGGCAGGCACAGGACAGCTGGGCCGGCAGCCTGGTCTTCTAACCTCTTCCGCATCTATATCACGCTCCACAGCCTCATGAAACATTAGAGCCAGAGCAACTTAGCAGTTAAGTTCAACTTCTCTTCAGATGAGGAGCCGAGGCCCAGAGAGGCTATGATGTGTCAAACAACACTCATTTAGTGACAAGATTAAAACTTGCTTCTTTCAGCTTCCAGTCTCATGCTCATTCCACCAAGGCCAGGCTGCCCTGAGCCATTTACGTGTGAGGTTTCCCTTTTTAAAAAACTGTTTCTTTCCAGATGAATGAATTAGGTTGAATGCATAATAACATCACTGGTAAGAACTGGAGGTATTTGTGGCAGTAACAAAGCAAGCCTAGGTGGGACATACGACCCCAGTTTCCAAAATGCCTTCGATAAGATGATAGTGAAAAGTTGTCAGTCTATGCTGCTTTTCAAAAACAGGATTTGACACAATTTACAAGGAAATAAGATGAAATTAAATAAATATAGGTTGGGGTAGTTGGTTGAGGTGGGCTGTAAGTTTTGTTGAACTTTCCAGCAGCCAGAACAAAGAGAGAAAAAGCAGCTTAAGTTACAAAAATCACAGTGTTTGTAATACATACATACAGATCTACACACACATGTAGACGTGTGTGTGTACACATACTGCGCTTAGGATCAGAGCTTTCCTTGGCACTGAGATCTAGATAAAAAAACCTTTTTCTATGAATCTTCATAAAGGCAATGTTATGTGATCTAAAAGACACATTGGTCAGAACATGATTATTCATTTTGACTTACATGTACCAGGTGAAAACAAATAAAATGCAGGGAGACAGGTAGTGTTGGTCTAAAATGGGGGGGAGACCTTCCATTTCTTCAGAACAAAGTTCATCAAATTAATGTAACACATGTCTAGACAGCCCATTTACAATTAGGAGTAGAGATAGGGGAACCCAAATTCCACCTCAGCTTGCTCCCAGGCATATGAGAGTTAAACAGAATCAGTTTGTCCCACTAGAGAGGGAATGGGTCTTGCTTGACCCTTTCCTGCCACTGGGGAAGGTTGAGAGATGAAGGTACAGAATATGATTCTGGGCAACTTAGCGCAACTCTTCTGCAGGGGAAGGTGATGTTCTCATGACTGAGCTCCTGGCCTTCTGTAACTGCCATGGTGTAAGTGGCCCCAACTTTTGCTGTGATGCTTCCTCTATCAAACTGTGAGTTCCTTGAGCCCAGGCACCATGCCCCTTCCTTCCTTTTTCTATCATTCACTGTGGCTAGAACATGGCCTTACATGTAACAGTGCTTCATATTTATGAATAAGTCATCTACTTTCCTGAATCATGCTTCCACATAATATCAATCCTGTGTACATATTATTAAGTGGTGATTTCTATTAATTTACATCTTCTCTAGAGCTGGAATTCCAGAACATCTACACAATATAAACACAAGCCCACTGGCACCACAAACATCTTACTGTGCTACGCACACTACCAACATGGAACTGTACTTAGCATTAGAAATCTATAACTTGGACAACACAGAAAAATCAACCTATTGAGATGTGAACAGTCATAATATTTCCAACAAATGTAAATCAGAAACATTTATCAATGTCTACCTGAGTCACCTGCCTTCCAACAGGCCACACCCTATTCTGGCACCATAAATTAGATTTCTTTCTACAGTGCCTACCCTCCTAGGTACTTTGCTGAACAAGTTTCAAAAGATTGAAACATACCAAAAGGAAAAATATCATTTCCAGATGGCTTCAAATAAGAGCATTTGACAAAGAAAGGGAGAGAGAAGAGCAAAATAATCACCCACAAACAGCCCTAACTCCGGTTCCCTTCCCATTAAACTTGTGACTTCTCCCTTGCCAAAGCAAAGCCACCCTGGGTCACCTACATACTAAGGGAATAAACGCCACTGACTCCATCCTGAAGCAACTGGCCATGGAAAATCAAATCTCTGGGTTTCATCTGTAACTTCAAAAGTCAATTAACCATCCCCCATCAGAACTTTTCCTTCAGTGTTTACTGGGTTACTGCCGGGGGTTCTCAAAGAGATTTTTCAGACAAAACAAGTAAATGAGGAAAACAAAAACGGTGTTCTGGATTTCTGGATTGAAGTTTTTATAAATGTTCCCACTTTTCACCCAGTGAGCTCTAGAGTTGTGTTAAGTTACTTGGCACACTACAGTTAGGTTTCTGATGCGGTGAACAGGGACTAGAAGCCTCAGGAAAAGAGACTGGGAGATTTAACAGCCAGACCTGAGAGCGCTGGTCTAAGCTGAGGTGGCTATCTGATCGACAGCAGGCCAAAGGAGTCCAACTGGTCTTAGAAATGCTTCAGGTGTCTATTACCTCTTCCCTATCCCCTTAAAGTTTTAGAAACACTATTATAATATTATACTGCAGTGCAGGGGTGGGAGGTACGAAATATGCCAACATGCCAGTCATGTTCTAGATAAGAGCCAGAGAAGTTAGAGGATAGAACTAGAACGCATCTGAAATCCTACTTTGCTTTAGTGAGACACACCACGAGCAGGCCTCCTATTCTATCTGAGGAGGGCATGGTAGTTCGGAAGAGGCCGGCAGGAGCACCCAGAGCAACTGAGAGGCAAGTGCAGGGCTATGAGAAACAGTAGGAGGACCTGGGATTACTTATAGGCTGGAGAAGCAGCAGCCAGGGGATTTAAGTCTTCGGGTACAGAAAAGGATGAGGGGTGATCAATTGCTTCTCACCTCCATGGAGGGCAAGGCATTAGTAACAGGATTTCAGTGACAATACAGGGATTCTGCCCTAGCTATTTGGATCAACTTCTTGACAAAAAAAAAAAAAAAGGTACACTGTAACAGACTTCTGAGGAAAGCTATAAAATCTTCACTCTTCTTTTGTGGATCTCTTCAAAACCAAGATGGATTTGATGTAGTTCCGATCAGACTCCTCAAAGTTCTATCTAAATGTGAAAATCTGTTATCAAGTTTCATCCAGGATCTCACGGAGTAGGTAATAACAACAAAAAAACTTTTGGCATTTTTTATATCCTTGAAGACAACTCTCACCCATATGGAAGATCTTGAATGTTGCCGAACTTAGCAATCCAGTTGCAGTGGCCTCAATGTACTGAAGGGTATTTCATTCTGAACTCGGACAATGTATCTTCGCCACATTCTTAAAGGAGAAGCTGAGACACACAGAAGAGGAGGAACAGACTGATGAAGTTAGAGGCAGAGGTGAGAACAGGATGAAAGTGTTTAGTTTATTTATATTCTCAAGTTTATCTTGGAAATTACACTTCATAGCTAAGAAAAGATTGCTTCCAAGAATGAGATTAGGGTAAAATGGCTAAGGGGGCATTTAGGAAGAGAAGATCATCATCAAAAAGTTTTCCTAAATTCATCAGTCTTTCCCTTATGTGGGTTCTCAGGGCAATACAGAGATGGAGGGTGTGGCAGAGGCTTTTCTCTCACATGAACTTCCCGATGTTTGGTAAGAACAGAACTCTTACTGAAACGTTTGCCACACTGGGCACATCCATAGGGCTTCTCTCCAGTGTGTATTCTCCGATGTTCTCGAAATCTCGTACAGTTATTGAAACTTTTTTCACAGTCCACACATTTGTAGGGATTCTCCCCAGTGTGAACTCTCCGGTGGGCGCTGAAATGAGAACTGTTGGTGAAACTTTTCCCACACTCTCCACACTGATAGGGCTTCTCACCGGTGTGCGTTCTCTGATGTATAATAAGACTAGAGCTCTGACTAAAGCATTTTCCACACTCTCCGCATCTGTAGGGTTTCTCTCCTGTGTGGATTCTCTGGTGGGCACCAAAATTTGAGGAGTCATTAAAGCTTTTTCCACAGTCAAGACATTTAAAAGGTTTTTCGCCTGTGTGGATTCTTTGGTGTCTGATCAGGCTCCTGCTTCTACCAAAGCACTTCCCACAGACACCACACTTGTAAGGATTCTCCTTGTGGTGGGTCATCCGGCACATCAGACGAGTGCTCCTTCCAAAGCTTTCTCCATATTTGAGAAGTCTGTAGGGTCTCTTCCCCACAAAAGGCCTCTGATGCACAACGGCTTTCCCTAAATCTCTAGGCTGAGACATCGGCTTTCCCTGTCTAATTCCTTGAAGATTTTCCCATTGTCTTCCTGAGATGCATTCCCTTTTGCGATATTTGCTGGGGTCGGTACTCTGGGAAACAACTCTTTTAGACTTTTCTATTAATGCCCTATGCTGTTCCATGTCCTTATATACTATCTGTGTTGGATCCTCCTTGATGCTACTTCCGATTTCAAAATCTGAAAAAATGAAAGACAATACAAATTTTATACAAGTCTGATATTAACCATAAACAACCTGGCTTGCAAGGCTTGATCCGCTTGCTCTCCATACACTTCTCTAACCTCAGATCCTGTGACTCTTCCCTGATTCATTCTGCTATATTTCTTTCCATTCATAAACAGGCCAATAACAGCCAGTACAGAGTAGGCCTTAAGAAATGTTTCCTGCATTATAATCCAAGCCATCATTCCCCATCCATATCCCGATTAACAAGGGTGCAACCTGGCTTATCTCCCTGAGGTTCCACTCTAATTCATCCTATTTTCATAATTTCACCTCTATACTAAAGCACACTACACCACACTGATCTCTAGATTAGATTCTGACTAAGTCCAAGTTCCTCGAGGGACTTCAGGAACTAAATTCCTCTACATATCTAATCATATCCCACCCAAGGGTACCTGTTTCTTTTCAAATGTTCTTCTCACTTTGTTTTTCAGGCTGTCCCATAAACCACACTAAATGAAATCTTAATTCTCACTGTTACCCAAATTGGATTATTTTCTCACTCTTTTCACCTACATCCCACGTTCACTACATCTTGGATCCAGATTTTCTGTTAAGTTTTCTGGACAGAGAGCATGACATGGTGAACAGAGACAAGTTTTGGAATTACACGGCTCTGAGTCTGGTCCCATCTTGGTGAGTTATTAACTGTGTGATTTTTGTATTAACTTATGGAAAATTCAAACACAGAAAAGTCTGGAGAACAGTATGTATAATGAACTCCCACAAACCACTTACCTACATTTAACTATGACCTATTCATGGCCAATCTCATTTCATTTCCACGCCCACATACTCCCTGCTCCCTCCATCCAGACTACTTTGAAGCCAATTCCAGACATCACGTTATTTCATCCATAAACATTTCACAAGCTGTGCAACTTAGGCCCAATTCAGGTTAATCCTTGTTCTTAAGCATCTGCTCTCCTGCCTTGTTTCTACTGCCAGTTTCAACATTACTTTCCTTCCACACATTCAGTAGAAACCACAGATAACTCTCAATCCCAAGTGTGGAGGCTGTGGCATGGGATGGGGAGAGGAGGGCAGCCATCAATCAATCTAGACACTTAAGTAAAAAGCCCTAACAATTCCATCTTTCACTTATTAGTACTTTTTTGGTCACCCAGGCTGGAGTGCAGTGGCATGATCATAGCTCACTGCAGCCTTGACCTCCCAGGATCAAGTGATCCTCCCACCTCAACCCCAGAAGTTGCTGGGATTACAGGTGCACACCACCACTCCCAGCTAATTTTTTATTTTTTGTAGAGATGGGGTGTATGTTGCCCAGGCTAGTCTCAAACTCCTGTGCTCAAGCGATCCTCCCACCTTGGCCTCCCAAAGTGTTAGGATTACAGGTGTGGGCCACCACACCTGGCCTGTCAGTACTTCTTTTGAAGTTTTCTGATTGAGTTCAACATTGTTCTGCGATTTGGAGGAAGTCACAACCTAGGAGTTGGCTCAGAGAAAGCTTGATAATTTGATGATAGGTTTGGAGCTCACTTTAAAAACAAGATTCACAAGGACTTTGTTTCCAGTTATCAAAGCCAGGGTTCTACAGGACTTAATTCAAGCCTTCATACTATAATTTCCCATATATATACTAAGCTAGAGTCACTTGCTTCAATAAACTAGTCCTGAATTACCCTGCATATTCAACTGATTGCCGAGGGCTTAATCTAGTGTTATGGGAAGACGGAGCTCCTGTCCTTCAGGAGCTCACCATGTCTGGGAGATCTTACATACAAAGTGTTCAGTGCCATAAGACAGAGACAGACAAAGTATGGGAGGTGAGAGAGAATTTGGACATGGAGATATGTAGAGCCAAGGACATTCAAGGTGGAGGGAACATCGCAAGCTAAAGTTTGGATGTGAAAGAGCTTGAGGTGCATGTAGGAAATAGCCAGTAGTTCCGCTCTGAATAAGCAGAGTTGAGGAAGGAAAATGCTGACATGTAGACTAGAAGAGTAAGATGAGCTCAGATCAAAAATGGCTGTGAAACCTTAATAAAAGTGTGGGTGGAGAAAACTGGTTTGGAGGCTTTTACAACAGTCTAGGCAAGAGAGAGAGAAGACTGAACTAGACAGTGGCTAATGGTAACTGAAGAGGGGACAGATAGACGTGATAGTCTGGATGAGGGCGGGAGCCCACAGGGAAGAGCCGTGGTGTGGTAAGGAAGATGGTGAAGTTAGTTTTGAACATCTTAAGCCTGAGTTACTAGTGACAGGCCCACGAGGGCGTAAGTCAGTGGGAAACATGCAGGTGGAGCTCAGGACCAGAATAAAGTCTTTTATTTAGTCTCTGCCTATCTTTTTTGTCTTGCACACCCCATATAACCATAAGATATTCTTCTTTTGTGCTTACTGAAACACTTTCTTCATCCAAGTTTTTTCTCATGTGTAATTCCAAGTTTTTCTTCCCCACGGTACTTCCAGGAGATACAAAACACTGTCTGACCCATACCAACAAAAACCAAGGCTGAGAACCCAAGGACTGAGTCACTCTAACGTGAGTTCCTCCTTTGAATAGAAGCACCATGAGAACAGGAACTTTGTTTTTTTCAGATGGAGTCTCACTCTATCACCCAGGCTGGAGTGCAATGGCACGATCTCGGCTCACTGCAACCTGCGCCTCCCAGGTTTCAAGTGATTCTCCTGCCTCAGCCTCCTGAGTAGCTGGGATTACAGGTGCCCGCCACCACACCCAGCTAATTTTTGTATTTTCAGTAGAGACAGGGTTTCGCCATGTTGGCCAGGCTGGTCTTGAACTCCTGACCCCAGGTGATCCACCCGCCTCAACCTCCCAAACTGCTAGGGTTACAGGTGTGAGCCACCATGCCAAGAACATCACTGCTATATCCCCTGTTCTTCAAGTAGCACAGGCACTCAAATATTTCTTGAATGAAGGAATATTCATGAGCTATGTGCAAGATCTACTCATTTTTCAGTAAATCACACTTATTCCTCTTTTGGACTAAAACTCCTTGGTTTTGCACCTTACCATTTGGGCTCTGCAGTAGACCTGGAGGTCCCTGGAACTCTGGCTCTTGCACAATTTCCTCCTCGCTCATTCTCTCACTGCAAGAGTCTTCTATTACTGCCTCCTGTGAGGTCTCTTCAGGTTCCCAGCCTGTAGGTTCCTGGGGTTCAACCTCAATACCCCCTCTTTCTTGCCTTGAAGGTGATGGGACTTCCTCTGGGGTGCTGGGGGAAGGAGCAGATGCCCGAGAGTTAATCAGGGCATCCATCTCCTTGTAGAACGCGCAGGACTCTAGCACGTGGCCATTTTTCACCTTGCGGTAACTCTTCTGAAGGCTTTTGAACTTGGTTCGGCACTGTTCTGGTGTCCGGAGGAAGCCGCACTCTCGAAGCTGTTCAGCTACAGCCCCATACAATTTGCTCTTCCGATGACAGGCTTGAAGCGCTTCATAAAACCGAGTCTCACGGAGGATATCAAGAAAAGTCTTGGTTTCTTCATAGCCCCAGTGCACGCCTGCCATTTGGGGATAAAGTTCACAATGTAACAAAGAAAAGGAGTCTCTAGCCTCTATACTATATACATTAAGAAATGTAGAGGTAAAAAAAAATCCCATTCACAGTGGCAACAAGAACTACATATGCCTAGGAATAAGCTTTGCAAGAAATGAGAAGGTCTATATCAAAATGTGTAATATCATAAAACTAGAAAAAATGACAAGACACTGTTTATGAATAGGAAGACTCAAGGTGTACAGATATCATTTCTCATATGAATCTATAGTCAAAATCCCATTCAGATTTTTAAAACTGAAATCGGTAAACTAATCTCAAAGCTTATTTGGAAGAATAAAAATGCAGTCCCCCAAATCTGCCATTGCTATGGTGATTAACTAAATGATTTAGTTCTCTAGAAGTCTCTTTCCAAAGTGGTTAAGAATAATGACTAGAATTTCCAATAGGAACTTTCCCCCTCAAATTTCCTACCACTTCTGTAAGCAGTCTTCCTTGAGGAGCAGAACTATGTTCAGAGTAGTTTTTGGATGTCATTGAATCCTCTACTTTGAGATGAAATGATCTGTAAGACAAGACTATGTTCTGCATTTATAGCAGAATAAAACTTTTCAGGGCATATCTAAATATAATTTGTAAAACATGCTTTTTGTATGTTTTGTAATCTATTGTAGGAAAAATCTCTATCCTCTATCTTACTAGGTGGTTTCTTCCAGGCCTATGACTGGATTCCCATATTTGAGACCACCCCAAGAGTCCCAGCCTCATGTTGATGGATTTTCAGATTGGTGAGACCTGTCTAGGCATAATGCATCTTCCCATCTTAGCAGATGTTTATTTTTTATTTTTTGAGACAGAATCTCAGTCTGTTGCCCAGGCTGGACTGCAGTGGCACAATCATGGCTCACTGAAGCCTTGAACTCCAGGGCTCAAGCGACCCTCTCGCTTCAGCCTCCTGAGTAGCTGGGACTACAGGAGTGTGCCACCATGCCTGGCTAATTGTTTTATTTTTTGTAAAGACGGAGTCTCGCTGTGTTGCCCAGCTGCTCTCAAACTCCTGGCCTCAAGGGATCCTCCCATCTCAGTCTCCTAAAGTGCTAGAATTACAGGTATGAACCACCACATCCAGCCAGATATTTCTTTTGAATGGGTTTAGTCATGGATACATTCCCTAGCCTGATTTAGTTTTCCATTCTATGTAAGAATTTATAGGCTGGGTGCGGTGGCTCATGCCTGTAATCCCAGCACTTTGGGAGGCCGAGGTGGGTGGATCATTTGAGGTTGGGAGTTTGAGACCAGCCTGACCAACATGGTGAAACCCTGTCTCTACTAAAAATATAAAAATTAGCCAGGCGTGGTGGTGGGTGCCTGTAATCCCAGCTACTTAGGAGGCTGAGGCAGGAGAATTGCTTGAACTCACCCAGGAGGAGGAGGTTGCAGTGAGCCGAGATTGCGCCACTGCACTCCAGCCTGGGTGACAGAGTGAGACACCGTCTCGGAAAAAAAAAAAAAAAAGAATTTATCTCTAGCTGGAGTAAAGAAACATTACTAATAACAGTGATACCAGGCAATGCTGTATTATATTTTAGCATTTTCACAGTGCCTTCATTTATATTATCCTATTTAACACTAATAACAACCCTATGAGGTATTCTTAGCCATATTTTACGGATGAGAAAATTGAAGCTCAAAGTAGTTACGTGATGTGTCTACTGTCACACAGTTATTAATTGGCGATTTAATTCTGCATGTCTCAGTCACAAAATATTTAACACCAGCTCTCTTTTGCATGGTGTATCTGTCTGCCTTTTTAATTTTAATGTCTCTGTATTATATTTAAGGTGGATCTCTTATAAGCAATTAATGTCTGATAATCTTAGTTCTTTAAGTTTGTAATTAATTATATATTTGGATTTATATCTTATTTTTTTCCATCTGACTCATCTATTTTGTATTCTTTTTTCTCTCCTTTGTCTTCTTTTAGATTACACAAAAAATGTTTATTTTATTTTTAATGAAAACCTGTTGAAACTGTTACAAAATTTTGTACTGGTTATTTTAGATAACGTAATAATGCATGCTTGACTTATAATGCAATACAATTGATTGCTTTATGCCAATTATCAGATAATACAAGATCCTTAGAACCCTGTAACTCCATTTGTCTTCCTTCCACAAGGACCCAAACACTCAAAATCCATGCTGTGCTCTAAAGTGAAAACGACTTCTCCACGGCCACTTGGAGCTGTTACTCTGACTGCAATGGGGGCAGCAGCAAGCACCTGAGAGTACTTCAGTGATGTGGCCACACCACAGTGAAAGTGGTGAGGTGTGTGTGACAGCACCCCCCGGGTTTGGCCACTTCTGGTCTACTCCTTTTTCCACAAGATCACACATCTGTTTTCCTACCAGAGAAACAAAGCACAATTCTTACCACTGAGATTCTGAAACAAGACAGGGGCACCATGGATTTCAGACTTGCGGATAAATTCGATGCCTATTTCATCATCATCAGAATCTTCTGCAGCTTCCTCCTCCTCCACCAAGCTGATGTGTTCCTTAGCACTGATGGCAATTCTCTTCAGTCTGGGGACAGGTATCATCTCCTTTGGTTTATCAGTGGACGGAGCACGGGCTGCAGGGTTCAACAAAGCATCCATGTCCTCAAAGAAGGCGCAGGGTTCTAGCATGTGGCCATTTCTCACCTTTCGATAGCTTTTCTGGAGACTTTTGAACTTGGTTCGACACTGTTCTGGGGTTCTAAGGAAGCCACATTCTCGCAACCATTCAGCCACAGCACCATACACTTGGCTATTTCGGGGACAGGCCTGAAGTGTTTCATAAAAGCGAGACTCTTTGAGAATTGCCAGGAAAGTCTTTGTTTCCTCATAGCTCCAATGCACACCTGCTATCTTTTCATCTTCTAAACCCCACTGCTGCTGCTCTCTCCATGTTTTTCCTGCACTCCTTGCAGGGACCTGAATAGCATGAACTGACTTTTCCTTGACGTAGTTGCTTCGTAGGATACTTCTCTTGTTAGAGGAATGCAGACCTAGAGTCCATGGCTCCTTTCTCTGTTCCAACCGGGTTATCTTGTTAGATGTAGACACTGCACTTCCTACAGTAAAATAAACATATTTCATGGTAGACATAGAAGTCATTACTGCATGCCTCAATCTTCTGCTGTCACATGCTCTCCTGGGCCACTTGTTCACACCCAAACCTTCCTCAGCTGTGACACTGCACATTTATTTTTACATGACTTCCTTGGTACAAACATCTACTAACTTACACGATCATTTTACTTCTCATATATGTACCATTTCTTTTCCTAGCTAGTTCTTACAGGAAAACCTTTAAGGGTAAGAATATATATTTTTAACCTTTGATTCTCTCTCAGTAGCCAGTGTTGTGTTAGGTTCAGGGTATGCTCCTACTCAGTATTTGTTACTTGTAAAATAAAGTGTATCTTTTCCCCACATTCCCCTCCATGCCCACCCCAACATACATAACATACATACATATATAGGCACTGGGACTATAAGAGAAAAGAAGCCAAGAATTTTTTGTTAAACTATATTACAAAGCCACAGTAATCAAAACAGTATGGTACTGGTATGAAAACAGACACAAAGACCAGTAGAACAGAATAGAGAGCATAGAAGGAAGTCCACACATGTATAGCTAAATAATCTTTGACAGAGTGCCAAGAACACATCACTGGGAAAAGATCATCTTTTCAACAAATGGTGCTCGGAAAACTGGATATCCAGATACAAAAGAGTGAAACTGGACCCCTGTCTTACACGACTCACAAAAATGAACTCAAAATGGATTAAGCCTTAAATATAAGACCTGAAACCATAAATCTCCTAGAAGAAAACACAGGGGACAAAGCTCCTTGACACTGGTCTGGGCAATAATTTTTTTGGATATGACATCAAAGCACAGGCAATGAAAGTAAAAATAAATGAGTGGGACTACATCAAACTACAAAGCTTCTATACAGCAAAAAAAAAAAAAAAAAAAAAAAAATCTAATCCAAAACAACAACAAAAACAGTCAACAAAGTGATGAAAAAATCTATGGAATAGAAAAAAAGATTTGCAAACCACTCATCTGCTAAGGGGTCAATAACTAAAATATACAAGGAACTCCTACAATTCAATAGCAAAATAACAACAAACCAAACAAATAATCTCATTAAAAAATAAGCCAAGGATATGAATGGACATCTTCCCAAAGAAGACATACAAATGGCAGATAGGTACATGAAAAGGTGCTCAACATTGCTAATCATCAGGGAAATGCAAATCAAAGCCACAATGAGGTATCATTTCATACCTTTCAGAATGGCTATCATCAATGAGACAAAAATAAGAAGTGTTGGTGAGAAGAAAATGAAACCTCTGAATACTGTTGGCAGAGCTGTGAATTGGGAAGAGTCATTATGGAAAACAGTACAGAGGTTCCATAGAGAACTAAAAATAGAATTACCATATGATCCAGCAATCCTGCTACTGGGTATATATGCAAAAATATTAAAATCAGTAGGCCAAAGAGGCACTACCATGTTCACTGCAGCATTATTCACATACAGCTAAGATACGGAAGCAACCAGGAGGCTGAATGGATAAAGAAAATGTGGTCTATATACACAAAGGAATATTATTCTGCCTTAAAAAAGAAGAAAATTCTGCCTTTTGCAACAACATGGACGAACATGGAGAACATTATGTTAACTAAGGTAAGCCAGGCACAGAAAAGACATATATCACATGACCTCACTTTTTTGGCAGTATCTAAAAATGTCCAACTCATAGAAGTAGAGAGTAGAAGATGGTTACCAGAAGCTGGGGGAGGAGGAGGGAAGATGGGGAAAGTGGAGATTTGATCAAAGGGTACAAAATTTCAGTTAGATGGGAGGAATAAACTTTAGTAATCTATTATATAAATTTAGTAATCTATTATATAGTGACTATAATATGTAGTAATGCTTTGTCTATTTCAAAATTCCTAGAAGAGTAGATTTTCTTTTATTTTTGAGACAGAGTGAGCCCAGGCTGGAATGCAGTGGCACGATCTCGACTTGCCTCTGCCTCCTGGGTTCAACAGATTCTCCTGCCTCAGACTCCCAAGTAGCTGGGATTACAGGCACCCACCACCACACCTGGCTAATTTTTGTATTTTTAGTAGAGATGGGGTTTTACTATGTTGGCCAGGCTTGTCTTGAACTCCTGACCTTGTGATCCGCCCACCTCAGCCTCCCAAAGTTCTGGGATTACAGGCATGAGCCACCATGCCCTGCCTAGGTGATGGATTTGTTAATTAGCTGATTTAATCACTCCCCAACGAAAACATGTATCAAAACATCACATTGTACCCCATAAATATACACAATTATTATCTGTCAATTAAAAAAAGACAAATGATAACAAGGTTGTGGAGAAAAGGGAATGGTCATGCACTATTGGTGGGAATGTAAACAGGTACAGCCATTATGGAAAACATTAGGGAGGCTCCTCAAAAAATCAGAACTACAATATGATCCAGCAATCCCACTTATGGTACATATCCCAAGGAGACAAAATCAGCATCTTGAAGAGATAGCTGTACTCCCGTGCTCAATGAAGCATTATTCACAATAGTCCAGACATGGAAACAACCCAAGTACCTCCTGATGAATGAATATTGAAAATGTGAAAATATAGGAAAAAAAATATAATGGAGTACTAGCCAGTCATAAAAAAGAAGGAGCCTGGGCGCAGTGGCTCACACCTGTAATCCCAGCACTTTGGGAGGCCAAGGTAGGTGGATCACAAGGTCAGGAGTTCGAGACCAACCTGGCCAATATGGTGAAACCCCGTCTCTACTAAAAATACAAAAATTAGCCGGGCATGGTGGCATGCACCTGTAGTTCCAGCTACTCGGGAGGCTGAGGCAGGAGAATCGCTTGAACCCAGGAGGCAGAGGTTGCAGCGAGCCGAGATTGCACCACTGCACTCCAGCCTGGGTGAGAGCAAAACTCTGTCTCAAAAAAAAAAAGAAGGAAATCCTGCCATTTGTGACAACACTTGGAGGGCATTGTGCTAAGTGAAATAAACCAGACAGAGGAACACAAATATGATCTCACTTACATGTGGCATCTAAAATGCTGAACTTAGAGAAAGTGAGAAGAGAACAGTGGTTGCCAGGGGCTTGGGTAAGGGGAGATGATGGTCAAAGCGTATAAGCTTTCAGTTATAAGATTAAAAAATTCTAATGTATACAGCATGATGGTTACAGTTAATAATATTATAGTGTATACTTGAAATTTGCTGAGAGTGTAGATCTTAAGTGTTCTCAACACACACATACATAACTATGTAAGGTGATGGATGTGTTAACTCAAATGTGGTAATTATTTTACAATGTATATGTACATAAAATCATCAAGTTGCAATATGACATTCTTAAATATACACAATTTTATTTGCATATATATACATATATGTAGTTTTTGAGATGGAGTTTTGCTCTTGTTGCCCATGCTGGAGTGCAATGGTGTGATCTTGGCTCATTGCAATCTCCGCCTCCTGGGTTCAAGCTATTCTCCTGCCTCAGCCTCCCAAGTAGCTGGGATTACAGGCATGTTCCACCATGTCCAGCTAATTTTGTATTTTTAGTACAGATGGGGTTTCACCATGTTGGTCATGCTGGTGTTGAACTCCTGACCTCAGGTGATCTGTCTGCTTTGACTTCCCAAAGTGCTGGGATTACAGGCATGAGCCACTGTGCCTGGCCTTATTTACATATATTTAATAAATAAATATTAAATTTATTTGTACCCCAATAAAGTCGAAAAAAATTTGGTAGAAGAACCTAATTTCCAAACAAAACTTACAGGAACCCACAAATACATATATCAAAGAAATAAAATTGAGTTGTTTTGCTTAAGGAGGTTGAGGGTAGGTGGGCAAAAAAAAGCCTTATATCTTATTATAGCTTTGTGGTCCTGAGACACGTCAAAGATGTCTTTCTCCTCAAAAGAGTCTGAAATCTACTTTTCTATTACATGAAGGGGAAAAATAATCTGTGACTTCACATTTGAAAATTATTGGTACAGATATATTTTCGTAAGTATTTATTGAAAACAAAATATTTCATTAATAAAATATTTCATTAATTAAAAAAAACTTCTGAAGACATTTTGGTGAGGTTAATAGGAAAGAGCTGTTAAGAACAGAAAGCAAATTGAGAATTTGCCAGCTTATGATACAAAAGAGATGAACATGTCGTAATTTGAATCCTAGCTACATTGCTTACTTTACTTTGACCAGGGGAAGTTTCTTAAGCTCTCTAAGCCTCAGTTTCCTAAGGAATAATACCATTTACTGTACTACACCATTTTATGTAATACAAATATGATAGTCATATGTAACTCCTCTCCAATGTTTTAATCACTAAATTATTATTATTATTTTTTTACTGGAAGGAGGAGTGGGTGAGGGAAGAGAACCTGGCTAAGTGATTACACTAGACAATCCTTAGAGATCCTTTAAGTGTTAACATTTCTATCTGCCTATCTTCTAATCAGTAGAAATGAATACATTAGAAAGCTCCAAGTCTTATATTTGGAAAGGGAAGGAATCCTTACCCAGGGAGACCACGTTCCCAACATTCTCCTTCCTGAAATCCCGGTAGAGGTCCCTTTGGGCAGGAATCTGATGCACACTCTTTCTGTAGGAAAAGCCTCTGGCCACGTGGACATCTTTCACTGGTTCCTGTAATGACACTAACACCAATGACTACCAAGATAACTGCACAGGTCTTCAAAGGATGAGCAATCACAGATGAGGCAGAGAAGAACCCTAAAGAACTGAAATCAAGGAACAAGTGGATAGTTTGCGCCAAATGAAGCAGAAGAGAAAGAATCATAAGATGACAAGATAAACAAGATGATCCAGCAAGGAGTCTCATTACTCAGAAGACTGGGTCCCATCTTTTCAGGAAAAGGAATAAGGGGGAAATATACTTATACACTTGTGAGGACTATAAGTGTATTTACAGTAAGTAAAGTAAGTATATTTAAAGTAAGTATAAGTAAAGGAATAAGGGGGAAATATACTCTTGTGGGGAGTATATTTAAGGTAAGTAAAGTAATTATATTTAAAGTAAGTATAAGTAAAGGAATAGGGGGAAATATACTTTTATACTCTTGTGGGGAGTATAAGTATATTTAAAGTAAGTATAAGTAAAGGACTAAGGGGGAAATACACTTTTATACTCTTGACGGGAGTATAAAAATTTGAGGACAGTGAAGGCACAGAAAGCATTGCGCCTAAACACCCTAGTAAGGAAGGCCAGAGAAGATAATTACGGCAGGGCATGGTAGCTCACACCTGTAATCCCAGCACTTTGGGAGGCCGGGTCGGGCGGGTCACTTGAAGTCAGGAGTTTGAGACCAGCCTAGGCAACATGGTGAAACCCTGTCTCTACTAAAAATACTAAAACTTAGCCAGGTGTGGTGGCATGCACCTGTGGTCCCAGCTACTCAGGAGGCTGAGGCAGGAGAATCGCTTGAACCCAGGAGGCAGAGGTGGTTGCAGTGAGCTGAGATTGCGCCACTGTACTCCACCGTGGGTGACAGAGTGAGACTCCATCTCAAAGAAAAAAAAGACAATTACAATGTACCTGGGACCCAGCAGGAAGCCGTGTGGTTGTCACTTCCTGATCTAGGGTATTCCATTCATCAGCAAGGGCAGGAACCCAGGGAGAAGGCCGAGCTGTAAGAATAGAAAGAAACGATTAGTAATCTGGGCTTTGACCCTTTAATTCATGCTGTCTCTCTTTTTAAGAGATGAGTATGTATTGAAACACCAACAAATATAAATTCACCATTTTATCTGTGAGTTCAGAACAATCCCCAAAAACACAGTACCCTAAAGCTGGGATCACAGCCTCAAATGCTTTCCGGGGGTAAGCAAGTAAATACAGGATGAAGGGGACCAGGTAAGGACTGTGGGAACTGGAGAGCACACATCTGATTGAAAGGGCACTGCCAATGCCAATGCTCAGGTCCCGCTCATGTCTCAGTGTGAGACTATGGCTGTGGTACCTTCCCTCCTTCCCTACCCCCTTTCCCTTCCCCAGCCTTCCTTTCCCCCTCCCTTCCCTTTTCTCCCTTCCTCTCTCTCTCTCTCTCTCTCTCTCTGTCTCTCTCAATCATGGACATTTGCAATGCATTCCATCATAATATAAATTTGGGGAGGCATAAAACAGTATAGTAGTACTGAATCTTGCCTCTCAGTGAAGGGCTGGGTAAATCAGACAGACTTGAGGTTTAAAAATAATTGTGCCATTCTGGGGGAAAGGAAACTAGCATTTATTGAGCACTATTATGCACTGGCTCCTTCATGCTGCCGCATTTAATCTGCACAAATAGCCTTGCTATTTCCCTCTTAAAGATGAGAGGACTGGGTGTGGTGGCTCACGCCTGTAATCCCAGCACTTTGGGAGGCCAAGGCGGGCAGATCACCTAACGTGAGGAGTTCAAGACCAGCCTGGTCAACATGGTGAAACCCCATCTCTACTAAAAATACAAAAATTAGCCAGGCATGATGGCACACGCCTGTAATCCCAGCTACTCGAGAGACTGAGGCACGAGAATTGCTGGAACCTGGGAGGCGGAGGTTGCTGTGAGCTGAGATCGTGCCACTGCACGCTAACCTGGAACAAGACTCCACCTCAAAGAAAAAATAAAATAAAATAAAATAAAATAAAGATGAGAGAATGGAAAGCTTGAGAAGTTAAGTATCCTGACCAAGGCCACATAGATAAAAAAATGGCAGAGCTAGGTTTTGAATCTAGGTCTGTCTGTCTCTAAAGCCTAAGCTCTTAGCCTCTGTGCATTCATGCGTCTTTTCATATTATTTGCCCAAGATCACAGACAGAAGGTGGCAGAGACAAGATATAAACAGAAGACTTCTGACGGCAGGTTTAGTGATGTTTCCATTCCTCTCTTTAAGACTGAGATGAAGCCACACTTCAGGAGATGGAGAGATCACTGTGGACTGGGAAGGACAGGGTATTCATTTCCTAGCATTTGACCTGAGTCATTAATGTGCAGGGCAGCTATGAATGTCAGTGGTCCCTTCCCTGTGAAATCTTAACTGTTTATCTCTCTTGTATGCCACTTCTGTGATGGCCTGTGAGTCAAACTTTGAACACAAATGCCTTGTTCCCTTTCAAACAGCTTTTTGACTTATTTATAGTCAGCCAAGAGCACATACACATGGCAGGACTGAAAAACACATGATGATTGTAGAATGTAGATCTTATTTTATTTTTTTGTAGAGAAAATGTGTTTGTCTCGCTATCTTGCCCAGGCTGGTCTTGAACTCCTGGCTTCAAGAGATCCGCCTGCCTCGGCCTCCCAAAGTGTTGGGATTACGACGTGAGTCACTGTGTCCAGCCATGGAGAGTTTACCACCACAGGATCTCATAGCTGGCCCAGGCAATCTAAGTTTCCCCAGTTTGGATCTTTTTTTTTTTTTTTTTGAGACAGGGTCTCGCTCTGTCACCCAGGCTGGAATACAGTGGTGTGATCACGGCTTACTGCAGCCTCAACCTCCTGGGTTCAAGCAATCCTCCTGACTCAGCCTCCTGAGTAGCTGAGACCACAGGTGCACGCCAACACACCTGGCTAATATTTTTTTTTTTTTTGCGATTTTGTAGAGACTGGGTTTTCCCATGTTGCCCAGACTCAGTTTCCATCTTTATGATACCTTTTCACTTATATTGCACATGTTCCTAATTCTTGAAGTGAATGAAACCTTTCTCCTATTCTGAATATGTATCAAGGAGGCCCTCCACTGCACATTCACAGCGTTGGGGTACTGCGGAAATCTGCCCCAGCCTCTGCACTAGGCGTGCTCCGAGTCTTCCCTCTTACCATTCTTGGGTAAGGGCCGACGTTCTCGCTTTCGGTTCAGCTGTTCCTGGTGTCCTGAGTGGAGGCTTCCAGGTTCCTCCCGAGACACCGCCCTGGGTTGGGTCTCCACCTGCTCTGGCTGGAAGTCTGCCACCTCCCACGCTGCTCCAAGTGGGGAGTGCTTCTCCCGGTGCACGGGACTGCTGACCTGAGAAATGAAGTCAATACCATAAGAGGGAGTAAAACAGGCCCATATCAGGGCGAAATTCTCCCAGGAAAGACATCAAAGAAGGACAGAGACATGAGAAGGAATGAAAATTCCACTCCATTCCCAGTGGAGTCTCTGAGAGCGCTGGGCTGAGAGTACTGTCCAGCAGTCTGGGTGTAAGGTAACAGAACAGTGTTCTTTTTTCTGAGACAGAGTTTCACTTTTGTTGCCCAGGCTGGAGTGCAATGGCACGATCTTGGCTCACTGCAACCTCCACCTCCCAGGTTCAAGCGATTCTCCTCTCTCAGCCTCCCAAGTAGCTGGGATTACAGGCATGCACCAACACAACCGGCTAATTTTATATTTTTTTAGTAGAGATGGGGTTTCATTATGTTGGTCAGGCTGGTCTCGAATTCCTGACCTCAGGTGATCAACATGCCTCGGCCTCCCAAAGTGCTGGGATTACAGATGTGAGCCACCGCGCCTGGCCAGAATAATATTTAATACTAAACAGAGAAGGAAATCTGTCAGGAGTGAAAGAGCCTCCTTGTTGCTAGAATAGATATTATTTGACTCTATATCTGTTACGTTCGCAAAGAAGTTACCAGGACATGAATATATACAGTAGTGAAATGAAAACTTACAAAATTAATATCCACATCTATCTGTCTATCCCTGACCAATACAGCAACCTGCTGATAGATCTCTACACAATGCAAGTCTGATGCAAGGTGAAACCGCAAATCTTGCAAATGCTGCAGGATTTCACGAGGTTCATGAAAGTGAGGTTGAAGAACAACTAGAAGAGCATGCAAGCCACTGAGAAATGAAGATGTGGCAGTTAGACTGGAGGAGAGTGACAGAAATGAAGGCATGAGAGCACTTCAGAAGACACTGAGTGCAACAGTAAAACGCTTGGAGACGGCTCTGGGATAACGGATGAAGTCTTTTTTTTTTTTTTTTAAAGGGGGAACAGAATAGCCTTTTTTGATCAAAATGCGTAAGTGAACCTCTGTGACGCAAAACCATATTGTTCTCTTATATTGTTTTGTTGCAAACATTATGCCAAAGATGACGATAAATGCTTAGGTGAATAATGTCTGGTTTCCATTGTAAGATAATATTTCAATCAAAGCTTTTATTTTTCTATTTCATGTGAAATTCTGATCCCCTTTTAAGTGGATTCACTTAAAGTGAAAAGACCCCCTTATAGGGTCTTTTATTAGTACCATTTATCTTTCTCTGAAGAGCACGTCTTTCTGCAATACATCCCTGCCCACATGCCTTTCCCATTCCCTTTTTTCTAAGTACAAAAATTTGGAAAATCCTCTCTCACCTGCTGTCTTAGTCTTCCAGTCTCTTTCTCCAAATGCACTACCAGGGCCACCGCTTCCTCTCCACTTTGCGGACACTGCTTCTGTGCCCAAGCCTGAATCTTCTCGGGTAAAATGGTGAGAAACTGCTCAATCACCAGCAGCTCAAGTATTTGCTCCTTGGAACGCATTTCTGGCTTCAGCCACCGGCAGCAAAGTTCCCAGAGTTTACTGAAAGCTTCATGGGGTCCAGTCACATCCTCATAACAGAATTGCCTGAAGCATTTGCGGAAGGTCTCAGAGCTATCCGATCCTTCCAGAATGGGCTCTGATGCCCACTCAGGGTCCTTTTCCACCTTCATTATTAGGCATCCCTCAACCTCCAGGGGCGCGTCGATCTGAGAGTCGAGGGCGACAGCCATGCTGCAGCCCAGGGGTCAACTTCACGTCTAGCTCAAGGTGGGGACCCAAAGAAGACTCCAAGCGCTCCCTGCTTAATGTTCCTGGGAGTGTGATAAGGTACGGAGGTAAAAACGGCCAGGTCGGCAGGAACAGGGTATTCCAGGCTGATTAATCAAATCTATGCCAGGCCCTTGAAAAGGTGAACGTATACTCTAAGATGCAAAAGCCTGGCCTCTTCTCCAAACAAGATGTGACCGCGCAATGTGGTTTTCCAGAGTGCATCCCTCTTAGTGCAAAGTCGGAAACCGGGAGGCTGGACGACTGGGAGAAAAATGAAGCAGGCTGAGGAAAGGCTGGGCGGAGGCGGACAGCCGGGCCGGGAGGGGGTGTGTCCGCTACTCCCGGGTCGGGCGCGGAGAGGCGAGTCCCCGAGTGGGTGGGGCCGGATGTGCAGGCCCCGCCCGGCGCCAGGTTCCGGGCTCGGGTCACCGCAGCACGTCCAGGCCGCCGCGGGTGCCGCTGGGGCCGCCGGATTCCGAGAGCGGCGCCGGGCTCTTTCGGGCCCACGACGGCCCCGACCGTCCTGAGGAAACCGCTGCCGCCGAGGAAAGGCCGCAAAAACTGTTCCGCCCGGAAGGGAGAAGAGCTGCGGGGCGAAGCCAGGGCTCGCAGGGGGCAGCGGCAGGCTGCTCGCGTTCGGCCTCGTCCACTCGGCCCGCGGAGAGCGCGGGGGGCGCTGGGAACCGCAGTCACGCATGCGCCGCCTGCCACCGAGCGCCGCGGGGCCCGCGCGAGGCGTCCTGGCGGGCGAGGGGCTGGGGGAGGGGGGGGGGGCCGTGCGGTGGACTCTCGCGAGAGCGCGCGGCGCGGTGACTCGTCGCTGAGGGACTTTAAGATTGTAGAGGGGCGCGGAGGGTCCTCCCCGGGGCGGAGGGACACAGAGGGATTCTAGGGAACCTGCCGTCGCGAGTCCCGCTTCAGGCGGAGAATCTAGGCGGCGGCGGGGCCTCCCTGAGGCGGAGGAGTCGGCACCGGGGCCTGGCTGCCGGGGAAGGAGAGCACGGGAGCGGGGACTCCTGTGTCTGGCGGAGGGACACGGCGTTCCGGTGGAGGGATCTGTTCCTTGTACCTGGTCCAGGGTTGCGGTCGGGGATGGAGCGGTTACCCCGACCCTGCGGGACCTTCTTCCTCTGGCGGAGGTGCACGGCGCGGCGTGGTGTTTTTCTGGCGGAAGTATCTGTGCGTGGCCCCAGGCCCTTCCCGGCGCGGTCTCATCTGGGGCCACTTGTTGGCCCTCGCGTTGGGGAGGTTCATGTGGTGCATCCTGATGAGAAGGGGGGTCACAGGGGTCTCGGGGCCAGGGTTCAGCCAGCCAGGCCCCAGCTTGCTCTCTTCTGGTGCTGCCCCTGTCCCTGAATTCATAGACCCGGCTTTCCCTCTCTTGAGCACCTACTATGTGCCAGGCTGCGCTTTGCGCATGTAGCAGAGGCAACAGTGTCACCTGGGAAGCTGGTTTCCCCCAAAGGAACTCTTGTCTGTCCGTTGTTGCAGAGCCAGCGCATGAGACCAAGTGTGAGTATCAGGCAGTGCAGCCTTCATTCAGTGGCCATGGAATTGGAGAAGTGGGAGGGTAGCTCGCAAATCAAGCTCTCAGCTCTTGGAAACTGAGAAGTTACAGGTAATAGGGAGTGTTGACGAAAAGTAAAACCGTGCAAAATATTTGAAGAGATTTATTGTGAGCCAAATACGAGTAACCACAGCCTGTGATACAGCCCTCTCGAGGCCCTGAGAACATGTGCCCAAGGTGGTCGGGGTGCAGCTTGGTTTTATGTTTTAGGTTGGCATGAGACATCAGTCAAATACATTAAATACATTGGTTTGGTCCAGGAAGGCGGGACAACGCAAAGGGGTGGGGGTGGGGGCTTCCAGGCTATAGGTAAATTTAAATATTTTCTAGTTGACAATTGGTTGAGTTTGTCTGAAGACCTGGGATTGATAGAAAGGAAGTGTTCAGGTTAAGATAAAAGATAGTGGAGACTAAGGTTCTTTTGAAGTCTTATGGTGGCTGCTCTTAGAGATAATAGATGACAAATGTTTCCTATTCAGATCTTCAAAAGGTGTTAGACTTTTAGTTAATCCGTTTAGGATTGGGAGGGCCTGGAAGAAAAACATCTAGCTATGTTAATAGATGTTCTTTACAGATGCACATTTTACCCCACAAAGGATAGCTTTTGGGGGAAAATGCTGTCCTTTATGGAAGAAATTGCAAAATAGGGCAAGGAAACATGTTTTGGGGTAAAATATTTTGACTTTCTTTTTGTCACGTAATGTTATGCCAGAGTCAGAATGGAAAGTAAGTCATCATATATAGGATTAAATAAAACCCATCTGATGAGAATTTATGGTTTGTAGGTCATGACTCCCCAGATCCCTTAGATAGGAATTTGGGCAGGATTAAAAAAATCAAGAGTTTAGGCTGGTCGTGGTGGCTCACGCCTATAATCCCAGCATTTTGGGAGGCCAAGGCAGGTGGATCGCTTGAGGTCAGAAGTTTAAGACCAGCCTGGCCAACATGGCGAAACCCCGTCTCTACTAAAAATACAAAAATTAGCTGGGCATGGTGGCACACGCCTGTGATTCTAGCTGATTGGGAGGCTGAGGCATGAGACTCAACTTGAACCCGGGAGGCGGAGGTTGCAATGAGCTGAGATTGTGCCACTGCACTCCAGCTTGGTTGACAAAGTGAGACTCTGTGTCAAAAACAAAACAAAACAGAAAAAAAAAACAAAAGAATCAGAGCTTAGTCGTCAGGTGTCCTTAATGAAGGGGCTGGGCATTAAGAGCAAGGCGAGGAGGCAGAAGGAAAGCTTGAGCCCAGGAATTGGAGACCAGCTTGGGCAACATGGTAAGACCCTGTCTCTAAAAAAAATAAAAATTAAGAACAAGAGGAGGAATATTCATGTTTTTTCTTGGGAAGGGAGGTAGATTTTCCTGGAATCAAGGAGCTGCCCCTTTTTTTGTCCTTTTTTTGGTCTCTTCGGGTCATCACGGTGATTGTCAACTGTCATGGCAACCAGTGGGAATGTCATTTAGTACTGAAGTTGGATTAGAATGAAGCTAGAGGTTCTTCAGAGGTCGAGTAAGCTAAGAAGGAACCTATGACCACAGACAACCTGTTTTCTAAAAATAAGCAGAGTTAAATCTGAGTAGGAATTTAGCTATGTCATGGAGGCATTGCATTGGGTAACAAAAGCCAGGTAGGCGTCCAGCTAAGTCCCCTAGGCCCTGCAACGGGTAACAGCAGTACTGACTCTATGTTAGAGAAAAGCTTGCTTGCTTGAGTATAATTATTGTTTTGCCTGAGTTTGTAAACTATTCACTAAAAACAGCCACAGAAAAAAACAGGACCTTCTTCAACAGATAAAACACACAGACCCGCAGCTTTGGGAACAGGCTGATGGCCCCTGCACAGTCTAGTCACAAGGCATTGACCAAGAAAGTAATGACTAACTGCCCATCTGAGACTGCGCATGATTCACAAGAATGTTTCTTTGTTTTGTTTTTTGAGACAGTCTTGGTCTGTCTCCCAGGCTGGAGTGCAGTGATGTTGGTTCGCTGTAGCCTCTGCCTCCTGAGTAGCTGGGACTACAGGCGTGTGCCACCGCACCTGGCTAATTTTTGTATTTTTAGTAGAGATGATGTTTGACTATGTTGGCCAGGATGGTCTCGAACTCCTGACCTCAAGTGATCCACCTGCCTCGGCCTCCCAAATTGCTGGGGTTACAAGTATGAGCCACCGCTCCTGGCCCACAAGAATGTTTTGATCATTATTTCTCCTAATTTTCCTTAAAATCCCTGGATCTAGAGGCACAACTGAGAAAGGTGGTCTTTGAATGCTAGTGCACTGCCTTTTGCAGGTTGCTGGTTTCTCGAATAAAGCTAACTTTGCTTTCACCAAAGCTTGTCTTTTGAGTTTTTGGCTTTCAGGCGACGAGTGGCCTGGACACCAGTTCGGCTACATGTATGTCAGTGGGCAAAACAAAAATCCTTATTCTGGGAGGTAGATAGCTTATTAGAAAACACAACCTAATCACTTGTTTCCCAAATGTTAAAAATTGAGCCAATTTTAGCCCCAGAAGCTTAGGGTACCATGTACATAACAGGCATTACCTGAGGGTGGGGCAGAGAGAATCAGTGGGGTACCTCGTATATGCCAGGGGTTGTATCAGCATCCTTACACAGCTCATTTTTCTTTTTAAATAATACTTATTGAGGACCTATTTAATGCCAGATATGGTGGTAGGTAGGGAGCAAAAGCAGGATTCCCCTCCCATTATTGAGTTTTCAGTCTGGTGGGAGAGGCAGGAATTAAATAAGTAATCCACAAACTCAAGTACAATTCTAAGGGAGATGGGTGCCACCAAGAAGAGACATGGTGCTGAGAACCTATGTCTGTCAGAGGGATTTGATCTATTTGGGAGGTCTGGAAAGGTTTTTTTGAAGAAGCAGTGCTAGGGGTGAGATCCAAAGGAGAAGAGCTAATTAGGCAAAGCCTAGTCCTCACAAAAATCCTATAAACCAGATATGATTACCTTCATTTTAGAGTTTAGGGCATTGAGACTTGAGCAAGGTGATGTCACTGCCCAAGGTTACATCAGATTAAATGGCAACCCAGGATTCAGATTCAAATAAGAGTAGGGTTCTTTATATTCTCCTTGGGCTATTTGGTGGTTTTAGGAGAGGCAAGTATCACAAACAGCTTGGGGACATGAGGGAGCAGGAATCACAAACTTGAAAGCCTGCAGAGCTCAGGCAGATAGCATAGAGTGAAGTAGGGCAGAGTGTAAGACAATAGGGGATGGTGGGGAGTGTGGTGAGCTGAAGGCCACATTTCCTGTCTAAAGGAAGCAGCCACTAGTTCCAGTCTCTTGTTGCCATGCAGGATTACAGACCAAGCCCTGCTGGATCTTCTGATGATATTATTTTGAGGGCTTGGCGCGGTGGCTCACGCCTGTAATTGCAGCACTTAGGGAGGCCGAGGTGGGCAGATCACAAGGTCAGGAGATCGAGACCA
This sequence comes from Homo sapiens, assembly GCF_000001405.40. NCBI lineage: Eukaryota > Metazoa > Chordata > Mammalia > Primates > Hominidae > Homo > Homo sapiens. The sequence goes on from NC_000016.10 coordinate 25,262,182, forward strand.
TCCTGGCTAACATGGCGAAACCCTGTCTCTACTAAAAATACAAAAAATTAGCTGGGCGTGGTGGTGGGCGCCTGTAGTCCCAGCTACTCTGGAGGCTGAGGCAGGAGAATAGCGTGAACCCGGGAGGTGGAGCTTGCAGTGAGCCGAGATCGCGCTACTGCACTCTAGCCTGGGCAACAGAGCGAGACTCCTTCTCAAAAAACAGGCTAGAGTGCAGTGGTGCAATCATAGCCCACTGCAGCTGGGACTGCAGACACATGCCACTACCCGGCTAATTTTTATATATTTTTTTCAGAGACAGGGTCTCACTATGTTGCCCAGGCTGGTCTGAAACTCCTGAGCTCAAGTGATCAGCCTGCCTTGACCTCCCGAAGTGCTGGAATTACAGGCGTGAGCCCCTGCGCCCGGCCTAGATCTTCTGATTTCTAAAAAGAAGCTGGCAGTATTTTTAGGTGAAGTTATCACACTTCTAAATAATTGGCAGTTACATGAGTTTGCCTCACTATAATGTTAACTCAGTGAAGCAGGACATTTTATGTTTTTAACCACTGTGTACTGGGAGCTTATAAAGTGCCTTACGCATAGTAAGCACTCAACCTCATCTGTGGTATGTAGCCTCTGAGCGATTCCTCCCTTGTGCGCATGGTTTCACAGTTTTTGAAGCAGTTTTATGGTCATTATTTTATCCACCAGTTTTTCAGCTGGCACCTCATTTGTCCTGATGCGGCTGCTGCAGGAAAAGTCCCCGGAAAGGCTCCCCAGGGAAATATTTAGTTGTGCCTTCCTTTTGTACCTTTCCGCCCTCTTTGTATTTTACATTTTCTCCATCCTAATGTGCCTGGCATTATACCTTGGCTCCCTCTAGTTATCCAGCCCATTTTATATTTAATATTTTGTTGTTGCTTTGGTTCTCACCTAGACTTTATGTATTGACCTGGGGCCCATGACCACACTTAGGTATACTTTCACTTACTCTTGGCCCAGCCCCTGCTCCCAGCTGCTTGTCAGGGAAAAGTGCATGAAAAGGTTTCATTTCTTAGAAATTGCTGTCCTGAGACATCTTGCGAAAGTGATCATCCCTGGACATCTGAACTTCCTACTCCATCACATGGACTTGAGCAAGAGAAAAATCTCAGGTCTGCATGGGGCATTTAGAACCTTGCCTCCTGAAAGCTCCTCAGGGTGCAGAGGGAATCAGGTTTGCTCTTTATTATTTCTTAGGTGCAGGATCATAAGTTGTTCAGGAATTGTTACAATTTTGTGGTAGCCTCTCAGTAACACACACAAGTGCGCACACACAGACTCATATATACGCATATGTCTGTGTATATATATATATTTTTTGCATATGTATATATTTAATGGAAAATTTCGAACATAAAATAGAATCCTCACGTTTCTGTCCTCCAGCTTTAACAATGAGCAATTCATGGCCAATCTTGTCTCACCTGCTCTGATCCTGGATTATTTTGAAGCAAATTCTGGACATGATATTTTTTATTTGAAACTATCAGAATGTATTGTGTAAAGACAGGAACTCTTTTTTTTTTTTTTTTTTTTGAGACAGAGTCTTGCTCTGTCGCCCAGGCTGGAGTGCAGTGATGCGATCGCGGCTCACTGTAACCTCCACCTCCCAGTTTTAAGTGAGTCTCCTGCTTCAGCCTCCCGAGTACCTGGGAGTATAAGCGTGCACCACCACTCCAAGGTAACTTTTTGTCTCTAGTAGAGGTAGGTTTCGCCTTGTTGGCCAGGTTGGTCCTGAACTCCTGGCCTCAAGTGATCCGACTGCTTCAGCCTCCCAAAGTGCTGTGCCTGGCCAGGAACTCTTATTTTAAACATAGCTTCAATATCATCATAAGCTCTTCTCAATTGTATCAACAATTCCTTAATACCATTTAAAGAAACAGCTAATTTGGGCCAGGCATGGTGGCTCATTCCTGTAATCTCAGCACTTTGAGAGGCTAAGGGGGGGATGATTGCTTGAGGCCGGAAGGTCAAGACCAGCCTGGGCAATATAGTGAGATCCTCATCTCTACAAAGATAAAAGTTAAGCAGGTGTGGTGGCACACACCTGTAGTGCTAGCTATTCAGGAGGCTGAGGTGGAAGAATTGCTTGAGCCCGGGAGGTCGAGGCTGCAGTGAACCATGAGGGAACCACTACACTCCAGTTTGGGTGATAGAGTGAGACTGTTTCCTCAAAAAACAACACAACAACAACAAAAAGAGCAAACTCAGGACAGCTAATTCGTTTGCAAAAGATAAAAGGGTTATAGATGCTGGACATGTAAAAAGAACAGATGTCCTCCACATTTGCTAACTAGGTGTTTACATTTAGTTCAGCATGAAAATGGTGTCTTGGGAACAGAAAAGCAGATTGTTGAAGAAGTAGTGGATCAATATGTAGGTCAGTAAATGAAGCAGGTCATGGTACTCTGAGGTATTTTTAAGAAGTGGTTATTTTCTCAAGACCCCAATCCTCTGAGTTGATCCAAACCCAGAGCCACTCTCTTTGATGCCAAGAACAATGTTCACACTAATCTTTCTTTGGTAGAACATCATATATCACAGCTGTTATTTTCTAAATAGGCGCAGATCCAACTTTTGCACCAGATTCCTCTGTCCATGGTGCTGAGCCACCAGCCTTTTGGCCAGCAGGCTGATGAACTATAACTTGGTGTTGGCTAGTGGGATCTAATTTAGGGTCACTGTAAACGTGAATATTAAATATGCATTAAAGTCCTAAGAAATTATATCTGTGCATATGTTAGTTAAAAAATAAAAACTCCAAGATAGAGAATTTTTTAGTAATGCCTGTTATTTCTCATTTTTTTTTCATTTTTTCCTTTTTCTTTTTTTTTTTTTTGAGACAGAGTTTCACTCTGTTGCCCAGGCTGGAGTGCAGTGGCACAGTCTTGGCTCAGTGCAACCTCTGTCTCCTGTGTTCAAGTAATTCTGCCTCAGCCTCCCAAGTAGCTGGGATTACAGGCACATGTCACCACGCCCAACTAATTTTTGTACTTTTGGTAGAGATGAGGTTTCATCATGTTGGCCAGGCTGGTCTCGAACTCCTGACCTCAAGTGATCCGCCCACCTCGGCCTCCCAAACTGCTGGGGTTACAGGCATGAGCCACCGTGCCAGGTTATTTCTCATTTCTTTTATTTTCTTTTCCTTTCTTTCTCTTTTCCTTCCTTCCTTCCTTCCTTCCTTCCTTCCTTCCTTCCTTCCTTCCTTCCTTCCTTCCCTCCATCACCCAAGCTGGGGTGCAGTGGTGCAGTCTTGACTCACTGCAGCCTCCACATCTCAGGTTCAAGAGAGTCTCATGCCTCAGCCTCCCGAGTAGCTGGGATTATAGATGTGTATCACCATGCCTGGCTAATTTTTGTATTTTTTTGTTTTTTTAGTAGAGACAGGGTTTCACCATGTTGGCCAACTGGTCTCAGACTTCTGGCCTCAAGTGATTCACCCACCTTGGCCTCCGTAAGTGCTTGGATTACAGGTGTGAGCCACCGTGCCCAGCCTTTTCATTTCTTTTATGCCAAATCTGATCTACTTCTTAAAAATTGAAAAGTAGAAATGAGAAGATTGGGTATGTGTGTACTGGTGTCTACTTCAGACATAGTATTAATATTTTCAAATATGATTCCTTAACTAAGCTACATGCCTCTTTATAAAGCATCATGCCAGGCACTAATGGGATAGGCAGATACATAAGACATGACCATTTTACTTAAAGTGTTACAGTAAAGTGGAAAAAATTTGAGACGGTGTCTTGCTCTGTCCTCAGATGATATCCTCAGGCAATTGATTCCCCTCTATTTTCAGCTCTGTTTTTTCCTGAATCAACCTTATTTTCAGTAGGTTCTCCCCATGTAGTAGCTGCTGGTCTTCTGAAAGAGAGTACACTTCCCTGAACCCCCAGTAGTTTCAGCAAATGTCCTGGGGCTGACCCTCATAGGGTTGACTTGGGTCATGTGCCCATCCTGAACCAATCACTGTGACCAGGGAGAGGGAATTCCTGATTGGTGAGGCCTGGGTCACATGTCCACTCTGGAGCTGCGGTGTGTTGTCAGCTCTTTCTGAGCCGCCTGGTCCAAGAGTTTGGAAGGGTTTTTTTTTTTTTTTTTTTCCTAAAGAAAAATTGAGTGGTCCATTTTTCCTAAAGAAAAATTTTCCTAAAGAAAAATTGCTACTACCAGAAGAAGGGATAAAGGATGCTATACAGGTAAAACGAAGGGATGTTCACTTTCCCTCAAGGCCCTAGTAGAAGAGGTGTCATAAAACCGTACATAATTCCATATGATTATATCAGGCAATTAGAGCTGTCAATTCAGATGTTTTGGAAGTGGTCAAAACAAACTTCATGGATGAGACTGAAATTTAGTTAAGCTTGAGGAATGGGCAGGAATTGATAAGAGGAGTTCTAGAGGTGGGCAGGACTAGAGTACATTCAATGGACCAGGGTGAACTGAGTGGGTAGTTGGTGAAGGGAGAGAGGTTGCAAATGCCAGAACTTTGATTACCTTGATAGGATAACCTTGGCCAAGAGAGTTGCAAGCAAACCTTTTGACAAAATTTGCTTGAGCCAGCCTGTGGTCTAATCCTTATTCTTGTCTGTGATGCATGGATAGCCCTTTGGGTTCTAGCTGGCCTTTGTCTCTGGAGTTCTGGGAACACCTCTTACTGACCTCATTGCCTACTTTGTGATGAGGCTTCTAGTTATTGGAAAAGTCTAATGTCCATGTATGCCCTCCTGTGACCAATCCGGTTCACCCCTTGTAGTTGATTGTGCCAAGTCATTTTAGCCTGGGACACAGAAAATATGCTGCAGGCCTTTCCCTATTTTCAGAGTAAAGCCTTGGGAGAGCTTGCTGCAACACTGTCAAACAGAAGAAAAATCCCTCTTAATCAGAAGAGCAAATGCAGCTGTTTTCAATGGCAAAGTCATGGAACCAACCTAAGTGTTTGCCAGTGGTTGACAGGCAGAAAATGTGGTGGGCTGGACATGGTGGCCTATGCCTGCAATCCCAACACTTTGAGAGGCTGAGTCAGGAGGATTGCTTGAGGCCAATACCATCCTGGGCAACATAATGATAAAAATAAAAATAAAAAATTAGCCAGGTGTGGTGGCATGCACCTGTAGTCCCACCTACTAGGGAGGCTGAGGTGGGAGGAGCACTTGAACCCAGGAAGTGGAGGCTGCAGTGAGCTGTGATGGTGCTATGATGGCTGGTGGAGTGGGACCCTGTCTCAAAAAAGAAAAAAAAATGTGGCAGATCTATAACATGGAATATTACATAGCCATAAAAAGGATGAAATCATGTCCTTTGCAGCAACATGGATGGAGCTGGAGGCAATTATCCTAGGTGAACTAAACAGAAAATCAAATACTGCATGTTCTCACTTATAAGTGGGATCTAAACAAAGGTTACACATGGACATAAACATGGAGAGAATAGATTTTGGGGATTCCTAATATGGGGAGGGTGGGATGGGGGTGAAGGTTGAAAAATTACCTATTGGGTACAATGTCTGGTATTTAGGTGATAGGTCCACTAGAAGCCCAACCCACACCATTATGCATGTAATACCCTTGTAACAAACATGCACATGTACCCCCAAATCTAAAAAAAAAATCAAGTGAAGCACAAGCAAGGAACAGCTGCAAGGAAATCAAAGTTCCTTATGTGCAAGCCACACTTTTATTGGGTGCTCCCACTTTGCCTCTGTGAGTCCCTAGAGAGGTCCAGTGTTCCTCTTGGGGGATTCACCCAATTAACCATGTGCGTGTAGACAAGGGAATTTCCCTGGAGGCAGGGAAGTCCAGGTTGCTACTTGTCTAATAGCTAAAATGTATTGAATTTTTATTATGAGCCAGGTATGATTTTGACTATTTTATATGCAATAACTAATTTCGTTCTCATGCCAACACTGGGAGGTAGATGCTATCAATATTCCCATTTACTAACAAGAAAATTAAAGCAAAGGGAAGTAACATGCCCGAGTTCTTCTAGCTGCTGAGTAGAGGATCCTGGATTCAAATTCACGTGACCTGACTCCAGAGTTTGTGCTTTTAACCATTACTTTATGCTGCATCTAACCCTGTTATTTTAACTTACAATGACTGAAAAAGAAGGCAAATAAGCTCATTTAATTATCAGAAAGGACTTAATGCTCATCATTGCTAGTCAGGAATAGATTGAGAATGTAGAGGCTGCTGCCAGCATCTCTTTGTTCTGTGCATTACCTGTCAGGCTGAGTTTGCCTTTTGTAGACACAAGGAAATTCCCTTTATCTTGATTTCCATCCCTCTATTATTTTCTAACAAGGGCTCCAGCCTTTATCTGCACCTGCTCCTTTTTATCTGTCTTGATAAGACCCATTTTCCCCGAGTTCTCGCATTTTTCAGAGCAGGGTACCCAAAGACCATGAAACCTCTATGGCTAATATTGGTCAACTCTCATAGGATAACTTTCATGTATTATACTAATTATCTTCTTCCCGCTAGGAAAGAAGTTGAAGAGGAGGAACAATGGAAATGAAGGGGTTAGGGGATAGGATCTTGCCCCAATAGGATGGGATAAAGGGGCTGTGTGATTAGGTAGAGCCATGGGTTCTATACTTCAAGACCAGAATCTCAGGCTGGGATTCTATGAGTATTTCCTATAAGAAATGCTATAGAGGCCAGGTGCAGTGGCTCATGCGTGTAATCCCAGCACTTTGGGAGGCCGAGGCGAGTGGATCACCTGAGGTCAGGAGTTTGAAACCAGCCTGGCCAACATGATGAAACCTCGTCTCTATGAAAAATACAAAAATTAGCTGGATGTGGCGGTGCTTGCCTGTAATCCCAGCTACTCGGGAGGCTGAGGCAGCAGAATCGCTTGAACCCAGGAGGCGGAGGTTGCAGTGAGCTGAAATCGCGCCATTGCACTCCAGCCTGGGCAACAGAGCAAGATTCCATCAAAAAAAAAAAAAAAAAAAAAAAAAGCCATAGAGACTTGGAGTGGCTTAGAAACAGAAAATGGCAAATAGCGACCTTGGCCAGATGTGCCTGGATTTGAGTCTGTGAACTGCCCATTTTCCACTGTTGGCCCAGGACTGAAACAAGCATGTGTAAAAGGGGCTGACCGGTTATTTCCAAGTTAAGTAAACTTCTCCCTCTTGTCGCTCAGCACATGAGTTCGTATGGGAGGTTGAGTATCATTCGTGAAATCCATATCCTGATGTTGGAATCCCCGATTTTTTTCTCTTATGAACACTGTCAGATGGTGCCAGGCTGTCCCTCCAGCCATCTGGTTTGGTTTGGGGGTCAGAGGTCTGGCAGTGTCTTCATGTATGTGGCTGATTCTGTGCATGTCTTGGGAGTTTGGGTAGGTGTAAGCAAGTAGGCAATTAACTACCCAAATCAGGAGGTCTGAGAATGGGCTAGTGGACAGAGCAGGAGCATTGCTATCTTGGACAAACCCCACCATTTTAAATTCCCCTTGATTAAAAAAAACCTGCCTAAATCCAGCCCCCAAACATCAGCCTAATGGCTAATGTTAGCATAACCAGAAACATTCCAACCCTAAGATAAACGCCACTCCAACCAGAAACATGCCGACCCCAAGATAGCTTCACCTCCAACCAGAGACTTTCCAACCCCATGATAAACTTTCCCTCACATCGAAACATTGCGAACCTACGATAAGCTCCCCACTTCCTATATCCTTAAACATCTTTAGTCTGTAAGAGAGAGTGCCCCCGATCAAAACTGGTCAGAAACCCCTCAGGTTTATTCTCCAAAAGAAACTGACTTTGAATGTTAAGCTGCTTTTCATGTTTCTTTGCTCTTTAACTCTTACACTAGTGGGTCATTTCCCAAGTGTGATGCTATCTACACTAGTTTACCATGGTTGCTGAGAAGATAAAATATATGCCTGGACCTGTTGTTAGTCTACTAGGTTGCTGTAAGGAGAGTCTTCCAAGAATGAGGCAAGATAAAAAAGCAGAGGGTGCCACAGAGTTTGAAGTCATTATTTGAGCTCCTAGATGCAACTGCACCTGAAACTAGACCCCTGTCTCTAGGTTTTTGAGCCAATATATTCCTTTGCTTTGCTTAAGCCACTTTGAATTCAATTTCTGTCACTTGCAACCCACACAGTTCTGACTGATATACAAAATAAACATATTACATGTTATCTTCTGTGACTCAGAAATTATTATCCATTTTTACAGATGAGGAGTTGGAGTTTTAAAGGTGCAGGTAACTTGCAGTGAAAAGCTAAGGTCTGGCACAAGGTTGATCTTGAATCTGAAGAAGAAATGGTTCAAAGTCTCCTTTAGAGATGCTACCTTCCTGCTGCTCACTTCCAGAATTTAGTCAGGGAATTATTGGGCTGACTTGAGTTGTTGTGTATACAGTCTGTGAACTTGCAGTTTATGGTATTTTATAATTTTGTTTTCCCTGCCGTTCTGCTAATGCAGCTTTGTGAGCAAACATTGCCTGTGATTTAAATCCACCACCGTAATGAAACGCACACACACACATGCACACACACTTCCTTGGAACAGTCCACAGCTCTCTGATTAATCACATGTGTACAGTACAGTGTTTACAGGAAATCAGCAGGTGGCAATTAGCATCTTGGAAATTATCTGGGAAACACAACTGGAGCTGCCACTTCAGGATGGAAATGTGGCAACAACCGGCAAAGTGACAAACCCCTTGGAGTTGGAAATGAATGGGGCTGAAAGCGCTGCCAGGCACACAACAGCTGGTGGGGGCAGCCCGGTGTGGACTGCAGACTGCCTGCTAGCTTCTTCCTTTTCTTCCCAACGCGTAAGAAGCAATCCTTGAGTAGAGACATGTAATAGATGCTCAGACCTGGCTGGACATGGTGGTTTATGTCTGTAATCCCAGAACTTTGGGAGGCTGAGGCAAAGCCATGAGTTCAAGACCAGCCTGGGCAACATAGTGAGACCCTGTCAGTGCCCCCCCACCCCCCAAAAAAAAAAATTACCCAGGTGTGGTGGGGCATGTCTGTAGTCCTAGCTACACAAGAGGCTGAGATGGGAAGATTGCTTGAGACCAGGAGTTTGAGGCTACAGTGAGCTGATTGCACCACTGCACTCCAGCCTAGGTGGCAGAGTGAGACCCTGTCTAAAAAAAAAAGGAAATGTTTTCAACAATGACCAAATGGAATGAAATAATGTTTATTCAGTATGTATCACAGTATCTGCCACATAATTCTCAATAAATAGTAGGTATTTTCAATTATTATTTAGATCAAGGCACAGGCAGACACTGGCATTACTGTAACACTTGTTAAAATATTAAGCTATTTCCATATCAGTTGGAAAACAGCTGCTTTCTTGAACCCTCTGAGTGGCTCCCCACTGCTGCCCTCCCTTGGGAGCCACACTCTTCCGGATCCAGTGATCAAAACGTTAACGTCTCAATCCTGCTCCAGCGATAAGTCCAGTGTCCATTCTGATTGGTCAGTTTCTGTGCTGTCAGGACTCTTACTGCTCAGGAGTTTCAGTGACCACAAGAGAAAGCAGCAACACGAGGATGGATGTACTGAAAGGAGTGAGGAGAGGAAACAGTGCCAGTCTGTTTTATACATGAGATGTTCTTCATCAATAATTGAAAACAAATTCAATGCTAGTTGGTATGGTTTGGCTCTGTGTCCCCACCCAAATCTCATCTCAAACTGCAATCCCCACATGTTGAGGGAGGGACTTGGGAGGTAATTGGATCGTGGGGGCAGTTTTCCCAAAGCTGTTTTTGTTTTTTGAGACAGTTTTACTCTTGTTGCCCAGGCTGGAGTGCAGTGGCACGAGCTCAGCTCATTGCAACCTCCACCTCCTGGGTTCAAGCAATTATTCTGCCTCAGCCTCCCAAGTAGCTGGGATTACAGGTGTCCACGACCACACCTGCCTAATTTTTTTTGTATTTTTAGTAGAGACGGGGTTTCACCATGTTGGCCAGGCTGGTCTCGAACGCCTGACCTTAGGTGATCCACCTGCCTTAGCCTCCCAAAGTGATGGGATTACAGGTGTGAGCCACCACGCCCAGCCCCAAAGCTGTTCTTGTGATAGTGAGTGAGTTCTCATGAGATCTGATGGTTTAAAAGTGTAGGCCGGGTTCGGTGGCTCATGCTTGTAATCCCAGCACTTTGCGAGGCTGAGGCAGGCAGATCACTTGAGATCAGGAGTTCGAGTCCAGCCTGGCCAACATGGCAAAACCCTGTGTCTACTAAAAATACAAAAATTAATTGGGTGTGGTGGTGCACACCTATAATCCCAGCTACTTGGGAGGCTGAGGCACAAGAATCACTTGAACCTGGGAGGCGGAGATTACAGTGAGCCAAGATCACACCACTGCATGCCAACCTGGGTGACACAGCAAGACCCTGTCTCAAAAAAAAAAAAAAAGAAAAAGAAAAAGTGTGGCACTTCCCTCCTAGCTCTCTCTCTCTCCTGCCACCACGTATGATGTGCCTTGCTTCCCCTTCTCCTTCCACCATTATTGTAAGTTTCCTGAGGCTTCTCCAGCCATGTGGAACCATGAATCAGTTAAACCTCTTTTCTTTATAAATGATGTAGTCTCAGTTAGTTCCTTATAGCAGTGTGAAATGGACTAATACACTAGGTATATGTATATCTGTACTTATGTCTACATATATTGATATCACTATCAACATCTATATCTATATCGTCTTCTGTAAATGAAGTGGCAGTAAAGCCCTGAATTCCAGTCTCTCTAACATTCACATTGGTTCTCAGCCCTGGTTGCACATCAGTGTCACCTCTGAGAGCACTTACAAAATACAGATGCTTGGACACCATCCACAGAGATTCTAATCCAGTAGACTTGGGATGAAGCCCAATCATCAGAATTTTTAAAAAAATAAAATCTCCCAAGATGATATTAGCATGCCATTGAGAGCCACTAACTTAAATTTACTAAGCTTCATGTTCCCATGTAATCAGTACAAACACCCATCTCCCAGGATTACATAACACAATGTACATGAGGCTTTTTATCACAATGTGGGACCTAACCCTGTAAATGTTAGTTCCATTAATAATTAATATTCATTACTTTTTTCTTTTGAGATGGAGTCTCGCTCTGTCGCCCAGACTGGAGTGCAGTGGCACGATCTCGGCTCACTACAACCTCCACCTCCTGGGTTCAAGTGATTCTTCTGCCTCAGCCTCCTGAGTAGCTGGGATTACAGGCACCTGCCAACACGCCCGACTAATTTTTGTATTTTTAGTAGAGACGGGGTTTCACCATGTTGGCCAGGCTAGTCTCCAACTCCTGACCTCAGGTGATCCACCTGCCTCAGCTTCCCAAAGTGTTGGGATTACAGGTGTGAGCCACCGTGCCCGGCCTTTAAATTTTTTTATTGGAAAAAATTTTTTGCCCATGACACAGCCCTCAGGAAACCCTGAGAACATGTGCCCTAATTCATTTTTTTATATGAAGTAGAGGTGAAAATTCTTTTATATTTTTTCTATATGGATATCGAATGGTTCCAGCATCATTTTGTTAAAAAATTCTCTTTCTCCATTGCATTGACCTGGTACCTTTGTGAAAAATAAGTGGATTCAATATGTATGGGTCTATTCCTGTATTCTATTCTGTTCCATTGATCGGTTTGTCTATCCTTACGTTGAGTCCTTGTCTTTTAATTGGAGATTATTGATGCAGTTTGTTGACTCCTTCTGTATATCCTAATTTCTCTAATCAGGCCAAATCTTTCTCAGTAACAGCAAGGGATAAAGAAAGCAAAGAAGGCAGTGAGCTGAGTGCTGCTAAGCCAATTCAAAAAGCCGTCAGAGGAATGAGCCCTGCTTTGACTTGTGCAGGTGTTTCTTTCCACTGATCAATGGTTATCAGGTCAAAAAGCAAGGCAACACGATTAAATAATCAACATTTTCTACCTAAGTTATGACCATGCCAGTGAAAGGCAAAGTAGGGCTGCAGTAGCCAAGAATGTCCCGAGCTCCCAGCTGCAGCCCAATCCCTTGAATTTACACCCTAAGCCCATCACTCACTCTTAAACTCAGTCCACTGTTCAAAAGCCTCCAGAACAACCTCCCAGAACTTCCGCCGAGGTAGAACTGGTTGGCGCATATGCTGTTCTGACTGTAATTACTGTTTGCTCTGTTCACTTCATTTGTATGACTTTTCTAATATCATAATGATCATATCATTATCAAGAAGAGGAGACCCTTTGTAGTAATTTGCTATAACAAAGTCCTACAAACTGGGTGGCTTAAACAATATAAATGTATTTTTTCACAATTCGGGAGGCTAGAAGCCTGAGATCGAGGTATTGGCAGGGCTGATTCTGAGGTCTCCTTGACTTGTAGATGGCCGTCTCCTCCCTGGGTCTTTATCTGGGCTTTTCCTTGGACATGTCTGTGGTTAAAGTGATGAAAACTCATGGCTTGTTATCTTGGATTTGTTGCTTAAAATTTGTGTGATGTTGAGCAAGTCGTCTACACTCTTTGCACTTCAGTTGTACCAAAGTGGGTTGGAAGGTTCTTATTTATTTATTTATTTTTTAGATGGAGTCTCACTCTGTTGTCCAGGCGGGAGTGCAGTGGTGTGATCTTGGCTCACTGCAACTTCCGCCTTCCGGATTCAAGCCATTCTCCTGCCTCAGCCTCCTGAGTAGCTGGGACTACAGGTGTCTGCCACCATGCCTGGCTAATTTTTGTATTTTTAGTATCCACCTGCCTTGGCCTCCAAATGTATTGGGATTACAGGCATGAGCCATCATTTCCGGCCATATTTTATTTTTTTAAGAGGTAGGGTCTTGCTCTATCGCCCAGGCCAGAATACAGTGATGCAATCATAGCTCACTGCAGACTCAATGGTTAAGCAATCCTCCAGCCTCATCCTCTTGAGTAGCTGGGACTACAGCTGTGTGCTTCCATGCCCAGCCAATTAAATTTTTTTGTTGTTGTTGAGATGAGGGACTCACTATATTTCCCAGGCTGGTCTCAAGCTCCTGGCCTCAAGCGATCCTCCAACCTTGGCCTCCCAAAGTGTTGGGGTTACAGGTGTGAGCCACCGCACCCAGCTGAGTTGGAAGGTTCTGACTGTCATCCTGGTTTTACCATGCACTGGCTAATGAGACTAAATGCAAGTTCTACAAGTTTCCAAAGTCTCAGTTCTCTCATCTGCAAAAAGGGCTAACAATGCCCACACAGCTCACCTCACAGGCATTTGCAGAGCATCACATGAACAAGTTGGTGAATATTTTAGATCTTTAAACAGTTTTGCCTTTTCCAGGAGGTCATATAGTTGGAATCATACAGTATGCAGCCTTTTCAGATTTTCAGGCAAAACCATGGAGACAACAAAAAGGTTAGTGATTGCCAGGGTTTAGGGGTGGGTGGGTAGGGATGAATAGGCAGAACACAGAGGGTTTTAGGGCAGTGAAAATACTCTGTGTGATACTGTAATGGTGGATACATGGCATTATACATTTGTCCAGACCCACGGAATATGCAATGTCAAGTGTGAACCCTAATGTAAATTAGGGACTTTGGTGATAATGACGCATCAGTACTGGTAGGTGCCTCAGTTGCAACAACTGTACCACTCTGGTGGGGGATGTCGATCATGGGGGAGGCTGTGCATGTGTAGGGAAGGGGGTGAATGGGAATTCTCTCTGCCTTCCTCACAATGTTGCTATGACCCTAAAACTGTTTTTAAAAAAATCTTAAAAAAATAAAAAATAAGGCCGGGTGTGGTGGCTCATGCCTGTAATCCCAGCACTTTGGGAGGCTGAGGCAGGTGGATCACGAGGTCAGACGTTCGAGACCAGCCTGGCCAACATAGTGAAACTCTGTTTCTACTAAAAATAGAAAAAAATTAGCTGGTCATGGTGGTGGGCACCTGTAATCCCAGCTACTCAGGAGGCTGAGGCAGGAGAATTGCTTGAACCTGTGAGGTGGAGGTTGCAGTGAGCTGAGATTGTGCCACTGCACTCCAGCCCGGGCGACAGAGTGAGACTCCATCTCAAAAAAATAAAAATAAAAAAATATAGGCCTGGGCTGGTGGTTCATTACTGTAATCTCAGCACTTTGGGAGGCTGAGGCGGGAGGATCCCTTGAGCCCAGGAGTTCAAGACCAGCCTGGGCAATATAGTGAGACCCTGTCTACAAAAAATCAAAAAATTAGGCAGGCAGGGTGGTGTGCACCTGTAGTCCCAGCTACCTGGAAAGTTAAAGCAGGAGGATCGCTTGAGCCTGGGAGTTTGAGGCTGCAGTGAGCTATGATCACGCCACTGCACTCTGGCCTGAGTGAGATAGCAAGACCCGTAAGGCAAGGCAGGGCAGGGCAGGGCAGGGCAGGGCAGGGCAGGGCAGGGCAGGGCAAGGCAAGGCAAAAGACAAGACAAAAAAGAAAGAAGAAAGAAAAGAAAGAGATAATGTAATATTTGGATAGAAATGAATGACGAAGATTTGGGAGATATCCTTTCCTCTTATATTGTTTTTTAAGAGCTTCTGGAAATAGTCAAACTTATTGGCAAGGAAGACGGGGTGTCCTGATAACTGATTATCTGTTTTCTACCAGGACAGCGTTTGCTTCTTCAGGTGATAATGGTGGCTGTTAATCCAAAAGTGAACAGCAGAGGGCAGTTTGTGCCCAAAAATGACATCACTCTTGCTGTCTCCAGCAAGCTCTGTGAATATGGGGCCAGGGATTATAATAAAATTCATGTAGAGTCCACTAATACTGCAATCCACGGGTGCAGCTCAGGATTGCTATTTGTTTTTGACACACACACACACACACACACACACACACACACACGTATATATATATTTTTGAGACAGAGTCTCCCTCTGACACCCAGGCTAGAGTGCAACGGCGCGATCTCAGCTCACTGCAACCTCTGCTTCCCGGGTTCAGGCGATTCTACTGCCTCAGCCTCCTGAATAGCTGGGATTACAGATGCCCGCCACCATGCCTGGCTAATTTTTGTACTTTTAGTAGAGACGGGGTTTCACTATGTTGCCCAGGCTGGTCTCGAACTCCTGACCTCAGGTGATCCACCCACCTGGGCCTCCCAAAGTGCTGGTATCACAGGCGTGAGTCACTGTGCCCAGCCTGTTTTTGATCTGTATATGTTTTTTAAAATTATCAACCACACGCGTCGTTAAAATATTAAATCTACACAAGAATTTACAAAAGATTCCTTAGAGTCACCACACGACCCTACGCAATCAGGCCCCCCTTTTACTTCTCTGTCTTTGAATCCTATACACTTGTTGGCCCCAGCGCATCCTCAGAAACTGTTCTCGCTGTTCCCTTGCCCTGGAAGACTCCTCCCCAGATATCAATGAGGCTCATTCCCTTACCTGCTTCAGATCTTCACTTGATCATCTCCTTATAGAGGTTTTATCTGGTCTTCTCATTTACTATTACAGCCCCTCTCAACACTCTACACCCTCATTTGAAAAGTTCCTGGATCATAGGGTTATACATAGTGTTATTCTTTTTCTCCAGAGCACTCATCACTCTTGCTCAATCTGTTACACTTAGTAATTAAAAAAAAAAAAATTCTGTGGTTGGGCATGGTGGCTCATGCCTGTCATTCCAGCACTTTGGGAGGTGGAGGTGGGAGGATTATTTGAGCACAGGAGTTGGAGACCAGCCTGGGCAACATAGCAAGACCTCATCTCTACCACAAACAAATAAAAAATCAGCTGGGCACAGTGGAGTGGGCCTGCACTTCCAGCTACTCAGGAGGCTGAGCTGGGAAAATCACCTGAGCCTGGGAGGTGGGGGCTGCAGTGAGCTATGATTGTGCCATTGCACTCCAGCCTGGGTGACAATGCAAGACCCTATCTCAAAAAAACAAAATAACATTCTGTCTCTTACCTCTAGAATGTAAGCTTCATGAGGGCAGAAACTTTTTTTTATTTTTATTTTTTTCATTTTATTTCATCAGTGCCTAGACAATCCTAGCATGTAATAATAGGCTTAATAAATATTTGTCAAATGAAGCTACAACACAGCTCTGCTTATGAAAGATGCTGACCTTTATGAGAATGTGATAAAATGAATTGGCATCTTTTACTACCTCATGCATAATTCTGGGATTTGGCAATTAGGGGTGGGCTCAGGTGGTTGGCTTTTCTGTTCTAGACCAGGCTTAGCTGATCTTAACTGGGCATGCTCAAGCTTCTAAGGTCAGCTGAGGCACCTCAGTTTTCCTCCACGTGGCCTCTCATTCTATAGCAGGCTGGCTTGGGCTCATTCACATGGTGGCCTCAGGCTTCCAAGCACAGCAAGGGAGGCAATTCCAATGTACAAGCCCCCGTTTGCATTATATTTCCCATTCTCTCCTTGGCCTAAGCAAGGCCCATGACTAACCCAGATTCATGGAGGTAGGAGCTGCTAAGTAACATTGCAAACAGGAGTGCATACAAAGATGAGAAGAATTAGGGGGTATTTTTGCAACCCACCATCATAAGTATGATTCAGTTGCCCTTGGAAAAATAGAATAAAATCCCACCAAGAACATATTCAGTTGCCTGTTTCTTTGCTGTATTATGCACTGTGTATTATTACATTTAACAAAACTTCACTAATCAGATAGATGAAAAATAGTGTCTTATTTGCTCAGAGAACTTGAAAGACATCAGTGTAGCTGGTAAGAAGTAGAGCTTGACCTCAAAATGCAGGTTCTTGCTTATACACTGTTGTTGGGAATGTAAACTAGTTCAGCCACTGTAGAAAGTAGCTTGGAGATTTCTCAAAGAACTTAAAACAGAACTACCATTTGACTCAGCAATCCATTACTGGGTATGTATCCAAAAGAAAATAAATCATTCTACCAAAAAGGCACATGGACTGAAATGTTGATTGCAGCGCTATCCACAATAGCAAAGACATGGAATCAACCTAGGTGCCCATCAGTGGTGGATTGGATAAATAAGTTATGGTGTATATACACCATGGAATACTACACAGCCATAAAAAAATAACCCAATCATTTCGTTTGCGGCAACATGGATACTGCTGGAGGCCATTATCCTAAGCGAATTAATGCAGGAATAGAAAACCAAAGACTACATATTCTCACCTATAAGTGGAAGCTAAACGTTGGGTACTCATGGACATAAAGATGAGAACAACAGACACTGGGGGTACTATAGTGGGGAGGAAGAGATGAGGGGAGGGGTTGAAAAACTAGCTATTGAGTACTATGCTCACTACCTGGGTGATGGGATCAAGCATACCCCAACCCTCAGCATCATGCAATGTACTCATGTAACAAGGCTGCAAATGTAGCCCCTGAAACTAAAATAAAAGGTGAAATTATTTTAAAAATATTGCAAATTCTCACTTGGCTTGCCATGCTTTCTCACTGTAGGCAGGGCATCAAGACCTGTCCTTGACTCCAGGCTGCGTCCTGTGACTTGCTTCGGCCAATATGGTATTCACAGATGTGATGCAAGCAGAAGCTTGAAATAGGCTTGCGCGCTGGCGCTTGCTGTCTCTTGTCCCTCTGCCATCACCATGAGAACATGCCCAGACTAGTGTGCTGGAGCATGAGAGACACGAGGAGAGCTGAAGCAGCCCAGCCACCCTGCAGAGGCCAGTCCAGGTGCCTGGATAGCCAGCTGACACCTGGACACGAGAGCAAGCCAGCCAGGATCAGCAGAGCCACCTGGCTGACCATCAGCTGCCCCAAGATCTGTGCATTGATTGCTTTCATCTCACTGGTCTCCCCAGAGGACCTGTGAGTTTAGAGCAGAGAAATGGCATCCCACAACTCTTAGATGATGGAGGAGCCTAATTCAATCCCAGCATCCTCAGGCCCTGGGGACTCCCTGTTGTTGTGCTTGGACCTATGAATTTGGACACGCTCCTGGGACATCCTTTATAAAACTATTAACCCTTTCCTGATCTCCTGTAGTTTCCTTAGCTGGAGTGTTCTGATGGTGCAGAGGCTGTTGGGCTGGGTTAGAAAAATCTTAATAATTATCAACACTCTGGCCAGAGTCAGACCCCGACATCTGATGGAAAGGGTCACGAATGGCAGAAAAGGAAGCTGGCTGAATTTGCCCAGAGCCTGCCTGAGATGATGGATGAGCGGCCCGGCAGGCCAGGAAGGATGGAGATGTTTCTATTTCTTAAGGCAGGGCATTTTCTCCCAGGGCACAGGATGAGTGGAAACAGGGTCAGAACAAATCACTTTACATTTTTTTTCTCTCTCTCTATTTTTTTTTCCTTCTGATGAGAAATAACTCCTACTCCCAAGGCATGATAGACTAGTAAAACTGCATCAAAGCTACATTTATGCTCTGAACATTTTTTTCCATGAATTTTAATCTTCTTGTGGGACTGTAACCTCTCTGAGAATCTGATGAAAGACATGGACCCATTCCCCAGAAAAATACTCATAAACACAAATTTTTACTTAAAATGTTAGGGGATTTACAGTTTCTCTGAAACCCACTCATGGAACCTAGATTAGGAGATTCTAAGAGAAGAAAAGAGGAAGGGAGGGAGGGGGAGACAGTAGTGAGGAGGGAGTTGGAAAAAAATGGGGAGAGTTTTGAAACAAACGTGTTGAGAAGTTTGAACCACAGATCCTCTGCCCCCTCTTCACTCTGTGCTAGTTCAAGAACCTATACTTTTCCTACAAATCACTTCTCTTAGTCAATGATATCATAGTCCATGTATCGTTCTGCAAACCTGCCTTTTCCCATCAAGTCTGCCTATTTCATATCTATTCATATATGGTATATTTTGATGTAGTCTATTCACTTTAACTGCTAGAGAGTATGTGGTAGGAATTTACCTCATTTTATGTATCCATTTTCTAATATTGGACATTTAAATAGTTTCCTGTTTCCCGTTACCTTTGGAAATATCCTTGTATATTTCTCCTTGCGCACAAGTGAGAGAAGTTTCTCTGTGGACTTTTCTTAGAGTGGAATTGCTGGGTTGTAGGGAGTGAGGGTTTTTTTTTTTTGAGACGGAGTCTTGCTCTGTGGCCCAGGCTGGAGTGCAGTGGTGTGATCTCGGCTCACTGCAACCTCCACCTCTTGCGTTCAAACGATTCAGGAGTGAGCAGTTCTTGAACATTTTAAGATACAATTACCTTGCTCTCTGGGGTCATTGCACAAATCTACAGTAGTGTCTTGGGGTTGTGTTACCCACGTCCTTTTCAAGGCTTGTTATTTTCTGACTTTTATACATTTAAAAAATGAATCTGATGGGCTTAAAATGATGTGTGTATATTTTTAAATGTGTGTTATATTTGCATTTATTCACTTTTTTTTTTTGGCGTTTGTGTGCCTCTTCTGCAAATTTCCTATGTCCTTTGCCTATTTCCCTTCCCCTACTAGCATATTGAAGGTGAAGTCTTTCTAGGTCTTGGTTTTGGTTTTTAAAATTTGGCCATAGCCCTACCTCCTCAAAACTTGGTAAAAAAAAAAAAAGTGGCATGCATGGGAGACGAAGTCAGAACTTGAATTTAGGGTATTCCAGTTTCAGTCCTGGCTCTGATGCTAACTGGCTGTGTGAATTTGGGCAAGTTATTTAACCTCTGTAAACCTCAGCTTCCTCACCTGGAGAATGGTGATAACCATCTCTACTTCTCAAAGTCAATGACAGGCTTAAATACACTGGTGCCTATGAGTGGTCAGTAAATAACAGTTGAGTTGAAGAGCCCAGATAAAGTTCTCACCATGTCCAGATGCCTTCACATATAGCTCTGAACGGATCTATAGCACAGCCTCCATGAAGGAATTCAGCTATCACAGTGGGGCACAGCCCTCCCATAGGACGGTTCTGCTGTCTGCCAGGTGGCCCTAGAACTGACACACAGTTCTGGAGACCCGTAGACTGTTCTAGGGAAGCCCCCTCCCCACTTTCTCTGCTACTTCCAGAGAGGTCTCATGGGACATCATTAACCTCACATCGGAACAGTAGTGGCTCTGGAATGCCAAACCAGCATCTATACCCTCCCTTAATGCCCACTAAGGAAACCAAACCATTTGGAATTAGTAATAATAACAAAAGAAACAACAATAGCTCATCATTCTTGAATGCTACCTGAATAGATATAAAGCACTTAGAACATTGCCTAACACATAGGAAGCACTATGTAAGTGTTAGCTATCATCATTATTATTATTACATGGTGATGATGATGATGTACTAGGCACTGAGTTAAGCATAATGGACATTAATTTGTTTAAGCCTCATAACTGTAAAGATTTTTGGTTAATTCTCATAAGTATAAGTGCTGGGGATGGACACCCCTCCCAGCGCTTTTCTAAGTTCTTTCTCTAAGCACAGAGATGTTGGACTAGGGGGGAATGATTTTTTTTCCTTAAGATGATAGTAATACTTCATGTAGTATTTGTTCATCAATTAACAGCTTACAAAGTGCTTCCATAGGCATGCATTCTTTCAGTCCTCACAAAATCCTAGTGCAGGAGTATCTTATCTCCCTTTTGAAACAGCCCCCTCTCAGCTTCCAGGAGCCACATATCCTGGTTTCCTTCCTCTATCATGGTCCACTTCTTTCCAATCTTCTTTTGCTTGATCCTCCTTTTCCCCCCGATCTCCACATGTAAGCGTTTCTTAGAGGATCTGATGCATGAGTTCCATGCGCAGAGATTCTAGCTTATTAAGAGTTGATTTGCTGTTAAGGCTTAGGCAGCAGCACTTTTTTGGTGGGTGCAAATTATTATTATTATTATTTTTCACAGAGCAGTGTGAACATTTATTTGTACAAATTTATGGGCCAACACTCTCACCACTCCGATTCAACATAGTGTCAGAGGTATTTGAACCAGAGTAACTCCATCTTAAATAGGAGCTGTGTAGAATGAGGCTGAGTCCAACTGGGCTGCATTCCCAGACAGTTAACGCATTTAAGTCACAGGATGAGGTAGGAGGTTGGCACAAAGTACAGATCATAAAGACCTTGCTGATAACACAATTTGCAGCAAAGAAGTCAGCTAAAATCCACCGAAACCAAGATGCCCACGAGGGTGACCTCTGGTTGTCCTCACTGCTACACTCCCAACAGCGCCATGACATTTTACAAACTCTATGGCAATGTGAGAAAGTTACCCTATATGGTCTAAAAAGGGGAGGCATGAATAATCCACCCCTCGTTTAGCATATCATCAAGAAATAACCATAAAAATGGACAACCAGCAGCCTCCAGGGCTGCTCTGTCTATGGAGTAGCCATTCTTTTATTCTTTCACTTTCCTATTAAACTTGCTTTCACTTTATGCACTTGCCCTGAGTTCCTTCTTGCGCAAGATCCAAAAACCTTCTCTTGGGATATGGATTGGGACCACTTTCCAATAACAATAGTACTGGAAATCCTAACCAGAGCAATCAGGCAAGAGAAAAAAAAAAGTCATCCAAACAGGGAAAGAATATGTCAAATTATGTCTCTTCCCTGATGATATAATTCTATATCTAGAAAATCCTAAAGTCTCTACCAAAAGGCTCCTAGAATGGATAAATGACCTCAGTAAAGTTTCAGGATACAAAAATCAATGTGCAAACATCAGTAGCATTTCTACACATCAATAATGATCAAGCTGAGATCCAAATCAAGAATGCAACCCCATTTACAGTAGCCACACCAAAAACAAAATATCTATCTGGGAATACCTCTAACCAAGGAGGAGAAAGATCTCTAGAAGGTGAACTACAAAATACTGCTGAAAGAAACCATAAATGACACACAAATGGAAAAATATTCCATGCTTATGGACTAGAAGAATCAATATTGTTAAAATGGCCATACTGCCCAAAACAGTCTATGGATTCAATGTTATTTCTATCAAACTATCAAAGCCATTCTTCACAGAACTAGAAGAAACTATTCTACAGCTCATATGGAACCAAAAAAAAAAAAAAAAAAGCCCCAATAGCCAAAGCAATCCTCAGCAAAACAGAACAAAGCTGGAGGCATCATAGTACCTGACCTAAAACTATACTCTAAGGCTACGGTAACAAAAACAGCATGGAAGTGGTATGAAAATAGAAACATGGACCAATGGAACAGAATATAGAACCCAGAAATAAAGCCACACGTTTACAACCAACTGATCGTTGACAAAAATAAGCAATCGAGAAAGGACCCTTTATTCAATAAATGGTGTTGGGATAACTGGCTAGCCATATGCAGAAGAATAAAACTGGACCTCTATCACCACATACAAAAATTAACTCAAGATGGGTTAAAGACTTACATGTAAGACCTAAAACTAAAAATTCTAGAAGAAAATCTAGGAAACACCATTTTCGATGTTGGTCTTGGGAAATAATTTATGACTAAGTCCTCAAAAAATTTGCAACAAAAACAAAAATTGACAAATGGGACCTAATTAAATGAAAGAGCTTCTGCACAGGAAAAGAAACTATCAACAGAGTAAACAGACAACCTGGAGAACAGCAGAAAATATTAACAAACTATGCATCCAAAAGAAGTGTAATATGAAACTTAAACAATTCAACCAGCAAAAAAACAAATGACCCTATTAAAAAGTGGGCAAAAGACATGAACAGACACTTCTCAAAAGAGGTGGGTAGATCACCTGAAGTCAGGAGTTTGAGACCAGCCTGGCCAACGTTGTGAAACCCCGTCTCCACTAAAAATACAAAAAATTAGCCAGGTATGGTGGCAGGCGCCTGTAATCCTAGCTACTCAGGAGGCTGAGGCAGGAGAATCGCTTGAATCTGGGAGTCGGAGGTTGCAGTGAGCCAAGATCACACCATTGCACTCCAGCCTGGGCAACAAGAGTGAAACTCTATCTAAAACAAAACAAAACAGACATACAAGCAGCCAACAGACGTAAAAAAATGCTCAACATTGCCAATCATCAGAGAAATACAAATCAAGACCACAGTGAGACCAATTAATAGCTCACACCCGTCAGAATGGCTTTTGTTAAAAGTGAAAAGATAATAGATGTTGGTGAGGCTGTGGAGAAAAGGGAATGCTTGTACACTTTTGGTGGAAATGTAAGTTAGTTTAGCCACCATGGAAAGCAGTTTGGAGATTTCTCAAAGAACTTAAAACAGAACTACCATTCGACCCAGCAATCTCATTACTGGGTATATACCCAAAGGAAAATAAATTGTTCTATCAAAAAGACACATGCACGCATGGGTTCATCACAGCACTATTCACAACAGCAAAGTCATGGAATCAGTGTAGGTGCCCATCAGTGGTGGACTGAATGAAGAAGATGTATACACCATGGAATACTGTGCAGCCATACAAACAAACAAAATCACATCCTTTGCAGCAACATGGGTACAGCTGGAGGCCATTATCCTAAGCAAATTAATGCAAGAACAGAAGACCAAAGACTACATATTCTCACTTACAAGTGGGAGATAAATATGCTCATAGATGTAAAGATGGCTACTACAAATAAAGTTGCTACGAACAATCACAGATCAGTTTTTGTGTGGGCATAGGTTTTCATTTCTTTGGGGTAAATGCCCAGGGGTGGGTACAATTGCTGGGTCATATAGTAAGTGTATTTTTTTTTTTTTTTTAAAGAAAGTGGCAATCTATTTTTCCATGGTGGCTATACCATTTTTACACTCCAGAAATATACAAAAAATCTAGTTTCTCCACATCCTTGCTGGCATTTGATACTGTCACTGTTTTTTATTTCAAATGTTCTAATAGATGAGTATTGATAGCTCATTGTGGTCTTGATTTGCATTTTCCTAATGGCAAATTATGTTGAACATTTTTCCTGTGCTTGTTTGCCATTTGTATATCCTCTTTGGTGAAATGCGCCTTTTGCCCATTTTCTTTTTTTTTTTTTCTTTTGAGAAGGAGTCTCGGTCTATCACCAGGCTGGAGTGCAGCAGTGCAATCTCGGCTCACTGCACCCTCCACCTCCCGGGCTCAAGCGATTCTCCTGCCTCAGCCTCCTGAGTACCTGGGACTATAGGCACGCACCACCACGCCCGGCTAATTTTTGTGTTTTTAGTAGATACGGGGTTTCACCATGTTGGCCAGGATGGTCTCAATCTCTTGACCTTGTGATCTGCCTGTCTCAGCCTCCCAAAGTGCTGGGATTACAGGCGTGAGCCACTGCACCCGGCTGCCCATTTTCTAATTGAATTATTATTATTTGTTTAATGTTCAGTTTTGAGAGTTCTTTATTCCAAAGTGGCCTTTTGTTAGATATGTGATTTGCAAATAATTTCTTCCAGTTTATAGCTTATCTTTTTATCCTTTTAATGAAGTCTTTTACAGAGTAAAAGTTTTTCATTTTGAAGTCCAATTTATCAATTTATTCTTTTATGAATTACACTTCTGGTGTCATGTTTAAGAGTTCTTCATGTGCTCCAAAGATTTCCCCTTTTGTTATCTTCTAAAATATTTATAGTTTTACATTTTATGTTGAAGTCTATGATCCATTTTCAGTTAGTTTTTATATAAGGTGTGAGATGTAGGTCAGAGTACTTAAAAATTTTTTTTTGCTTCAGCACCATTTGGAGAAAATATTACACTTCTTATATTGAGTTGCTTTTGCATCTTGTAAAACATCAGTTGGTTGATGCAAAAGCAGAGGGGTGTTAAAAAATCAGTTGGTTGCACTCATGTGGCACTATTTCTAGGTTTTTTATTCATTTCCATTGATCTCTGTGTCTCTCCCTCTGCCATTATCACATAGTCTTTATTACTGTAGCTACCTCTATTAATATTTATTTATTTATTTATTCATATATATATTTTGAGACAGGGTTTTATTTATGTCACTCAGGCTGGAGTGCAATGGTGCAATCTCGGCTCACTGCAACCTCTGCCTCCCAGGCTCAAGTGATCCTCTTGCCTCAGCCTCCCAAGTAGCTGGGACTACAGGTGCACGCCACTGCACATGGCTAATTTTTCTTCTTTTATTTTTAGATACAAGATTTTAGAGACGGGATTTCACCATGTTGCCAAGCCTGTCTTGAACTCCTGGCCTCAAGCAATCCAGCCTCCTCAGCCTCCAAAGTGCTGGGGTTACAGGTGTGAGTCCCTATGCCTGGCCTTACTGTAGTTACATCTAATAAGTCCTGATATGAGGTAGAGTGATTCCTCTACGTTTATCAATGTCTTTTGAAAATTGTTTTGGTTATTCTAGCGCCTGGCCTTTCCATATAAATTTCAGAATAATTTTGTCTGTATCTGTAGAAAATTTTGCTGAAATTTTGACAGGAATTCTGTTACATTTGCATCTCAATTTGGGGGGAATCGGCATCTTTACTGAGTCTTCTACTCATGAACATGTTATGTTTCTCTGTATATTTAGATCTTTGATTTAATAGTTTTTGGCCTGTAATTCATATACATATTTAGTTAGATTTACACATAATTGTTTCATCTTTTGAGCAATTATAAAAGGCATTATATTTTTAATTTCAGTTTTCATGTGTTCATTGTTAATACATAAATACACAAATAATTTTGTATCTTTCTCTTGTATCCTGTAAACCTGCTGAACTTATTTATTTATTTATTTTTGAGATGGAGTTTTGCTCTTCTTGCACAGGCTGGAGTGCAATGGTGCAGTCTCGGCTCACTGCAACCTCCACCTCCCGGGTTCAAGTGATTCTCCTGTCTCAGCCTCCCAAGTAGCTGGGATTACAGGTGCCCACCACCACACCTGGCTAATTTTTGTATTTTTAGTAGAGACAGGGTTTCCCCATGTTGGCTAGGTTGGTCTCGAACTCCTGACCTCAGGTGGTCCGCCCACCTCGGCCTCCCAAAGTGCTGGGATTACAGGTGTGAGCCACTGTGCCCAGCCAGTTCCAGTTGTTTTTCTATAGATTCCTTGGAATTTTCTGTGTAGACTGCTATGCCATTGGCAAATATGGACCATTTTTTTCCTTCCCTTCTTATTAGTGTGCTTTTTATTCTCTCTCTCTTTTTTTTAACCTTATTTCACTGGCTAGAACTTCCAGCACTATGTTGAATAGCAGTGGTGAGGGTGGATGGCCTCCTTTTCTTCCCAATTAGCTCATTCTTGTAAACACAGTTGTGTATGATGCAATGGAGAGACTAAGCATGGGTGTCAAAATCAATCTAACCCATGGTCAAACCAGATCTCACAACATACTATCTATGTGATCTTAGAAAAGTGGCTTTCTCTCTGTATGTTTCCTCACCTTCAAGGATTAGATAATACTATCTATGCCCGGGCTGGGCGTGGTGGCTCATGCCTGTAATCCCAGCACTTTGGAAGGCCAAGGCAGGTGGATCACCTGAGTTCAGGAATTCGAGACCAGCCTGACCAACATGGTGAAATCCCGTCTCCACTAAAAATACAAAAAATTAGCCAGGCGTGGTGGCGGGCGCCTGTCATCCCAGCTACTCAGGAGGCTGAGGCAAGAGAATCTCTTGAATCTGGGAGTTGGAGGTTGAAGTGAGCCGAGGTTGCGCCATTGCACTCCAGCCTGGGCGACACAGCAAAACTCTGTCTCAAACAACAACAACAACAACAACAACAAACCAACAATAATATCTATGCCTTGGCTTTGCTAGACAACACAACAGCGTGTAGAGGTTAGGAACACAGACTTTGGAGCCAGGTTACCCAGGCTCAGGTCCCAGCACCGCGACTCTCAATCTCATGACCTTGGGCAAGTTACTTGTTCCCTCTGTGCTTCAGTTTCCTCATTGGTTCAGTGGGCAAAATAAGACTAACATAAAGTTATTGCAAAGATGGAATGAGATAATAAATGTTAAGCTTTTAGAACAGTACTTGGCACATAGTAAGCACTAGGGAAGTGTTTTTGTTGTTGTGGTTGTGAGATTTAAATGAATGTGTAGAAAATACCTAGCATGGTGCAAATGCTCAGTAAAATTTTTTTCTGACACTAAATTCTATGCTAACTAAAAAAAAAAAAAAAAAAAAAAAAATTAAGCGGCACCAAAAACCTTGTAATAAAAGCAACAATGTCTTGTTTCCCCTCCTTTCCTGCTCTCTGGAGGTAAAAATTTTTTTTTTTTTTCTGAGACGGAGTCTCGCTCTGTTGCCCACCTGGAGTGCAGTGGCGCCATCTCGGGTCACTGCAACCTCCGCCTTCCAGGTTCAAGCGATTCTCCTGCCTCTGCCTCCTGACTAGCTGGGATGACCAGCGGAGGTAAAAATTTTAAACTCTTTGATCAGTTAAAAGAATAAATCACAAGCTTCTTTACCTCTTTCTCCCTT
The DNA here is from genome assembly GCF_000001405.40 of Homo sapiens. Lineage (NCBI taxonomy): Eukaryota > Metazoa > Chordata > Mammalia > Primates > Hominidae > Homo > Homo sapiens. The sequence goes on from NC_000016.10 coordinate 25,289,410, forward strand.
TCTCTCTCTTCTTTCTTTCTTTCCTTCCTTCCTTCCTTCCTTCTTTCCTTCCTTCCTTCCTTCCTTCCTTCTTTCTTTCTTATGTTTCCTTCCTTCCTTCCTTCCTTCCTTCCTTCCTTCCTTCCTTCCTTCCTTCCCTCCTTCCTTCCTTCCCTCCTTCCTTCCTTCTTTCCCTCCCTCCCTTCCTTTCTTTTCTTTTTGGAGACAGGGTCTCCAACCATTACCCAGGCTGGAGCACAGTAGCACAAACAGGCTCACTGCAGCTTTGCGCTCTCAGGATCAAGCGATCCTCCCACTGCAGTCTCCCAAGTAGCTGGGACCACAGGCGCATGCCAGCAGGCCTAGCTAATTTTTTAAAAAAATTTTTTATAGAGTTAGGGTCTTGCCATGTTGCCCAGGCTGGTCTTTAACTCTTTGGCTCAAGTGATCCACTCACCTTGGCCTCCCAAAGTGCTCAGATTACAGCAATGAGCCACCGTGCCTGGCCATGTATTTCTAGATGCATCAGTTTCAGATATTATCTATTTACATTCTGAAACAATGGTGGTGGATTTAGCTCTCTTATACTGCCTGTCTCCCATCCTTCTCATACAATGATACGGTTATTTATAATTATGTCACTGGTAAATATTGTTCACCGAAGAGCCAACAGATGTATTATGATTATATTTTTTTCTTGAAAGCTTTCCTTCTCTCACACTCCCCAGGATTTCTAATTGCCTTAATGTCTTCTTCCTTTTAATTTTGTACTATTTTCTTTTCTTCTTTTTTTTGAGATAGAGGCTTGCTCTGTTGCCCAGACTGAAGTGCAGTGGTATGATCTTGGCTCACTGCAGCCTCTGCCTCCTGGGTTCAAGTGATTCTCGTGTCTCAGCCTCCCAAGAAGCTGGGATTACAGGCATCTGCCACCATGGCCGACTAATTTTATTTTTTATTTTTGTATTTTTAGTAGAGATGGGGTTTCACCATGTGGGCCAGGCTGGTCTCGAACTCCTGGCCTTAGGCTATCCACCTGCCTCAACCTCCCAAAGTGTTGGAATTACTGGAGTGAGCCACTGCACCTGGCCTGCTTTTCTTTTTCTTTTTTTTTTTTTTTGAGACAGGGTCTTGCTGTGTCGCCCAGGCTCAGCTCACTGCAGGCTCACCTCCCAGGTTCAAGCAATTCTCCCACCTCAGCCTCCCAAGTAGCTAGGATTACAGGGGCACACCACCATGCCCAGCTAATTTTTACATTTTTAGTAGAGACAGGGTTTCACCATGTTGGCCAGGCTGGTCTCAAACTTCTGACCTCAGGTGATTCACCCACCTCGGCCTCCTAAAGTGCTGGGATTATAGGTGCAAGCCACCACGCTCGGCTGTGCTTTTCTTATGTACACAATTTTTCCCCATCCTTTATCACATCAGTTATTCTAATCAGATCCACTTTTTCCCCTTGGGGACTTCAAGTCTTATATTCGTTACATGGCTGTCAGGACAGTAACAAAACATTATTCTTTTTCTCTTGCTCTCCTGCCTCGAACCACCCCCCAGTGGCAATCATGACCTGCCCATGTTTCTCTGTCTTCACTTTTTTCCTGTCCGTGCTTTTGATGAGCTCACTCCTTTTTCCCAGCCACGTTCTCTCTCGTCCATCCATTTGGCCTTCTCACCAGTTCACTCATAGAGATATTGTTATCAATTTTTGGCTCATTATAAATTAGCATTTTCAAGTGTTCTCATTTACATAGGGCACCCCAAAGATAACTTGGTCCACAGCTAAAAGGGCAATTGTTCTAATGCATCTATGATTGAGGCAAAGCCCTTGCAGGAAATAGCAAGCTAAGGACAGCTGATTATAATGAAGGGCTTAAGCAAGGCATAAATGCTTCAGGGATGACAAGAAGACAGACTGAAAGGACTTGATCTATTTCAGCAAAAAAATATCCATCAAAAGAGAAACCTTTCCCAAAGCAGTGCCCAGTCAAGGTGTGGGACTTAGAAAAGCCAGATCTATATTTTAGGAGACAGCAGCCCGCTTGGTTGACAGGTCATATGTCAAGAAACAAGTTTAATAAAGAATTCATTGAAAAACACTATTTCAACACTAGGTGATAAAGTTGGCCCCAGAAGAGTAGGTCTTGGGAAGGTTTTGGAACATATTATAGGTTGATATCAGATGTTCAACTTAGAAGGCTACATCTTTAAGACTCATGGAGCAATGTGCAAGCATCATGACCTTGGACCTGTTCCAAAGTCCCGTATATTATCTAAATGAATTCATTGAGACCACCTGTGTACCTACTTGGTGTGCTTTCTCTGCTCATCAATTTGAGCTGTTGCGTTTGAGTTTGAATTACCTCTACATACTGACTGTCACACTTTCCCCATCTAGTTTTAGTGTCACTGTTAAAACGATTGAATGATGGACCCTGCAGCAGGCAGCAGGTGTTGCTTCAGGCAGTGGGTTTGGACCCTTCCTTCCTTCCTCTCTTTCTCTCCTTCCCTCCTTCCCTCCCTCCCTCCCTCCCTTCCTTCCTTCCTTCCTTCCTTCCTTCCTTCCTTCCTTCCTTCCTTCCTTCCTTCCTTCCTTCCTTTCTTTTCTTCTTTCTTTCTGTTTCTTTATTTTTTGACAGAGACTTACTCTGTCACCAGGCTGGAGTGCAGTGGTACAATCTCGGCTCACTCCAATCTCCGCCTCCGGGGTTCGAATGATTCCCCTGCCTCAGCCTCCCGAGTAGCTGGGACCCCAGGCATGCACCACCATGCCCAGCTAATTTTTTGTATTTCAGTAGAGACGGGGTTTCACCATGTTGGCCAGGATGGTCTCGATCTCCTGACCTTGTGATCTGCCCACCTCAGCCTCTCAAAGTGCTGGGATTACAGGCATGAGCCACTGCGCCCAGCCAAGAAAGTAGGCTTTCTATTTGCCCTCTCTGGGTATCTAGTATTGGCTAGGACTTTGTCTCTCTCATCTCAGACCCTTCCTGGGACCTGTGCAGCTTGAGTGGGAACTGCTGCTGCAGCACCTGTTTTTCTTTGTTTTTTTTTTTTTTTTTTTTTTTGAGACGGAATCTCACTCACAGCTCAGGCTGGAGTGTGGTGGCACGATCCCAGCTCACTGCAACCTCTGCCTACTGGGTTCAAGTAATTCTTCTCCTGCCTCAGCATCCCAAGTAGCTGGTATTACAGGTGCGCAGCACCATGCCCAGCTAATTTTGTATTTTTAGTAGACATGGGGTTTCACCATGTTAGCCAGGCTGGTCTCAAACTCCCGACCTCAGGTGATCCGCCCGCCTCAGCCTCCCAAAGTGCTGGGATTACAGGTGTGAGCCACTGCACCTGGCCCAGCTCCTGTTTTATTGGTGCTGCTGCCAATGGTGGTCCCTTGGCTGCTGTGGCCCAAGACAATTCTTCTTCTGATGTGGCCCAGGGAAGCCAAAAGATTGGACACCCCTGCTCTAGACACTTGTTGCTCTGTTCCTCTGCCCTACCCCATGGCCACTGTCCTCATTAGGGCCTTCATAACATCTCATCTGGATCACAGCGTTAATCTCTGAAGTGGTCTTGCTGCACTTCCTGGTCTCCCTCAGTCTCGAATCCATGTTTCACCCAGTGAGATGGTTCTAAAGCACGAATCTGATCAGAAAGTGCTCTGTTGAGTGCCTCTGGGGCTCCTCACAGGATTTAGGCTTTGGTTCAGTCTTCTTAACCCACAGGACCCTTGTAATCAGTCTTGTGACAACTTCTCTTCTGCTTTAGCTGTTTGGTGTGCCACCACATTCATTCATTTACTAAACATTGATCAAAGGCCTGACACTGTTCTTTCCTGGCACTGGGAATAGAGTAGTGAACAGAAACAAAAGCCCCCACCGCATGGAACTTCATTCTCATTGGGGAGACAGAACATAGCAGAAGGCAGTAAATACAGCGGAGAGAAACAAAGCAAGAAGGGAGTCAGGAGGTGGGGGGGCTCTCTCTTGAAAGGGAGGATTCTTAAAGGAGAGTGTTCAGGGAAAACCTCACTGAGGAGGTTATGTTTGAATCCCGACTTGAAGGAATTGAGGGAGCAAGCCACGTGGGATCTAGAGGAGGGAACAGTATGTGCAAGGGCCCTGAGGTTATTTCAAGGATTGGTAAAAAAGTGAGTGTGGCTGAAGCAGAGATGGAAAACCACTGGATTTTTCTGAACCTAAGAGTGATGTGCTCTGACTTACATTTTAGAAATGAACTACTGGGTCAGGCATGGTGGCTCACACCTGTAATCCCAGCATTTTGGGAGGCCAAGGCAGGCAGATCACCTGAGGTCAGGAGTTTGAGACCAGCCTGGCCAACATGGTGAAACCTCATCTCTACTAAAAATACAAAAATTAGCTGGGCGTGGTGGCATGCACCTGTAATCCCAGCTACTCCAAAGGCTGAGGCAGGAGAATTGCTTGAACCTGGGAGGTGGAGGTTGCAGTGAGCTGAGATTGCACCACTACACTCCAGCCTGGAAACAGAACAAGACTATATCTCAAAAAAAAAAAAAAAAAAAAAGTGTTGGCCGGGCGCGGTGGCTCATGATCGTAATCCCAGCACTTTGGGAGGCCGAGGTGGGTGGATCACGAGGTCAAGAGATCGAGACCATCCTGGCTAAAGTGGTGAAACCCCGTCTCTACTAAAAATACAAAAAATTAGCTGGGCGTGGTGGTGGGCGCCTGTAGTCCCAGCTACTCCGGAGGCTGAGGCAGGGGAATGGCGTGAACCCAGGAGGCAGAGCTTGCAGTGAGCCGAGACCGTGCCACTGCACTCCAGCCTGGGCACAGAGCGAGACTCTGTCTCAAAAAAAGAAAACAAAAAAGTGTTTATGAAGTGAAGGAAAAAATGAATAAAATTATAGATCTGATTGAAAGTGAAGGATGCCATTCATGCCAGGGAAGGCAGGTAAGCAGATGCTTCCCTTAATACCTAACAGTTTTTGAGTGTTCCCTACGTGCTAGGCATTTTCCTAAGTGCTTCTCGTATACATAGCTATCTCTTACAGGAAGGAACTGACTTATTTTACAGAGGAGGAGACTGATCCTACAGGCGTGAAGGAGCTTGTCTAAGATCCCACAGCCATTTTTTATGGCTGCATAGTAAAAATGATGAGTTCATGTCCTTTGTAGGGACATGGATGAAATTGGAAACCATCATTCTCAGTAAACTATCGCAAGAACAAAAAACCAAACACCGCATATTCTCACTCATAGGTGGGAATTGAACAATGAGATCACATGGACACAGGAAGGGGAATATCACACTCTGGGGACTGTGGTGGGGTCGGGGGAGGGGGGAGGGATAGCATTGGGAGATATACCTAATGCTAGATGACACGTTAGTGGGTGCAGCGCACCAGCATGGCACATGTATACATATGTAACTAACCTGCACAATGTGCACATGTACCCTAAAACTTAGAGTATAATAAAAAAAAAAAATTTAAAAAAAAAAAAAAAAAAAAAGATCCCACAGCCAGCAAGAGATGGAGGCAGGACTTGAACAAGGCACTTAAAGTCCAGCTGTACTTTATACTTGGATGAGACAAAGCAATTCATTTCCCCGTGGGCTTGCTTTCTGAGAAATTGCTGAGCCAGAGCAAAAGTACAAAAACTGGCTGGGTGTGTTGGCTCATGGCTGTAATCCCAGCACTTCGGGAGGCTGAGGTAGGAGGATCGCTTGAGTCTAGGAGTTTGAGACCAGCTTGGGCAACATAGTGAGACCCGGTCTCTACAAAAAATAAAAAAATAGCTGAGTGTGGTGGTGTGTGCCTGTAGTTCCAGCTACTCTGGAGGCTGAAGTGGGAGGAGCACTTGAATCTGGGAGGTCCAGGCTGTAGTGAGACATGATTGCCCCACTGCACTCCAGCCTGGGTGACAGAGTGAGACCCTGTCTCAAAAACAAAAAACAAAAACTATCTCTGGGCTGGGTGTGGTGGCTCATGCCTGTAATCCCAGCACATTGGGAGACCAAGGCAGGTGGATCACCTGAGGTCAGGAGTTCCAGACCAGCCTGACTAACATGGCGAAACCCCGTCTCTACTAAAAATACAAAAATTAGCTGGGTATGGTGGTGTACGCCTGTAGTCCCAGCTACTCAGGAGGCTGAGATGGGAGAATCGCTTGAATCTGGGAGGCGGAAGTTGCAGTGAGCTGAGATCACAGCAATGCACTCCAGCCTGGCGACAGAGCGAGAATGCATCTCAAAAAAAAAAAGACTAAATAAAGTAAATCATAATCAACTGACCACTAATAGAAGCACTAAAATTTTTTTTAAATGAGCAAAATTTTAAGAAATATAAACATCTAAATATGGTTTAGCACATTTCTTTGTAAAGTACAACTGTTCGTAGTCAACATTGTTATCTTTTTTTTTTTGAGATGGGGTCTCACTCTGTTGCCCAGGTTAGAGTACAGTGGCACGATCACAGCTCACTGCAGCTTCAAAAACCTGGGCTTAAGTGATTCTCCCACCTCAGCCTCCTGAGGTGCTGGGACTGTAGGTACAACATCACGCCTGGCTGATTTTTAAATTTTTTTGTAGCGATAGGGTCTCACTATGTTGCCCAGGCTGGTCTTGAACTCTTGACCTCAAGTGATCCTCCCACCTCTGCCTCCCAAAGTGTTGGGATTGCAGGTGTGAACCACCATGTCTGGCCATAGTCGGCATCTAATTTGGTCCTCATTCTTCTGCTAGGGCTCAGGAGAAGGGTAATTCCAAAACTTTCAGGAGTTCTTCCCCAAATGGGGCTCAGCTCCTGTGGTTTTGCACTTCAGAGTATCTCTAAAGTCCACAGTACTTACAGCAGAGTGTCTTCACATTTCACAAGAAGCCTCCATGGTCTGCTTTCATTTATTGATGAGAAGGGCTTATTTTGCTTCCTAGTTTCCTTATTACTAATAGTATCAGTGCCAATAGCATGCTGCTCATTTTACCTTTTCAAGTCTTATTTCTGAGAAGGAGAATGTCTCATTCCTCACTAATCAAATTTTCTTTTTCTTGTAAGCTGGAAAAGGTTAAGAGGCATGTTCCTATAAACTCCCTGCCTTTCTCCTAATAACTCCCTTGCATCTAGTCAAGTATTCATTGAGCACCTATTAAGTGCTGAGTATTGCAATTAGTCATGCTCTGTTAGCAGCTATCTTACTACCTTGTTGCTCTGATAATAGATATCTTAAATGACATAGTCACATTTTCTCAGGGCTTCTAAAGTACCTAGTAAAAATACTCATCATGGTTATACAGCGACTTCTCCAAATGTGAAATCTGGAAAGTTCAAAGTAAGTCAAGGAGTCTATGTAGGTCCCTCAGTCTTTCCTTTTTTTTTTTTTTTTTTTAAAGCATATGCCAGAACTTGTTCAGACTATGTTTTTTTTTTTGTTGTTTTTTTTTTGTTTTGACCAAGTCTCGCTCTGTCGCCCAGGCTGGAGTGCAGTGGTATGATCTTGGCTCACTGCAACCTCCGCCTCCTGGGTTCAAGCAATTCTCCTGCCTCAGCCTCCCAAGTAGCTGTGACTACAGGTACCTGCCACCCTGTCCAGCTAATTTTTGTATTTTTAGTAGAGTCGGGGTTTCACCATGTTTGCCAGGCTGGTCTCGAACTCCTGACCTAGTAGTCTGCCCATCTTGGCCTCCCAAAGTGCTGGGATTACAGGAGTGAGCCATTGTACCCAGCCAGGCTATGCTTTTTCATTGCTTTTGGTTGACTACACTGTTACAGATTAGGTAAAGAGGCAGAGAGTATGTTGTTAGCTCTCACAGCTAATTTGTAATCCAGCGTTGGTCCAAGTTAACTGTACACCAAAACATCACTTCCTGTGTAGATGTTAACAATTACTAACGCATTCCTTGATCAACTGCAACAGTTTTGATGGAGAGACAGTTGAGGTCTGAGATGTGCTAGCTTCCTGTTTGTGTATTTGATCTTGAAGCAGCTGGTGAATCTGCATCCGCTGGTAGAGTCCAATCCATGTTTGTTTCTTTCAGTGGAGAAACTTCCATCATGAACTTTACCACTCTCCTTGCTGAAGGGGGAAGGATGTTGCAAAATTGGCTTGATGCCTGAAAATGTCTATTTACTATGCTTCATGAAAAGATGTCTATGATTGAATAATGAGGTTTGAGTACTTAGATGACTTCAGTCTGTAGGGGATGCCTCTCTCGTTTGCCACCTGAAAAGGTGCAATTACCAAAATTGCTTATAATGCCTCTACTTTAGGAGTTCACATTAGGAATCCCTTCAGGAGAATTCATTCATGCATTCATGCATGCATGCATTCATTCATCTCTCTCCCCCTAGGCCCTAAAAGCAAGCTTGTTCTACCCATGTACCGTGAACCTGTCTATCAACAAACACGACTCACAAATTTTGATGTTCAAGATTACCTGATCACGGCTGGGCGCGGTGGCTCACACCTGTAATCCCAGCACGAGGGAGGCCCAGGTGACGGATTGCTTGAGCCCAGGAATTCGAGACCAGACAGGGCAACCTTGTCCCTCCTAAAAATACAAAAATTAGCTGGTGTGGTGGCATGCACCTGTAATCCCACCTACTCGAGAGGCTGAGGCAGGAGAATCGCTTGAACCCAGGAGACGGAGGTTACAGTGAGTGGAGATCATGCTAGTACACTCCAGCCTGCCGAGAGAGACTCTGTCTTAAAAAAAAAAAAAAGATTACCTGATCACCGGAAATAGACCCAGGGGTGTGCTGGGAAGTGCTTGACAATCAGCTTGCCAAAAAAATGAAGAAATGTTTTATTTGTAGTGATTTCTGATCACTACAAATGTTTTATTTGCTGATTTCTCTGGTATAAATACTCCTACCACAGTTGATTAGAAGTCACCAATATGAAGTCACTGCAGGTGTGCACAGTGGCTCTCAGAAATCATGAGCCAGCTCCAGGACCCAGTGGATGTGATCTGCACCCACATCTCCACCCCCTTGCTGATTTCATTACCTCATTCTTACGTGGGCCATCTGCAGCTCCCATAAGAGGAGTTCAGGGTTGAGGTGAAGGTGGCATTCATAGCTGAGTGAGAAACAGCCTAATGTAATTATCAGGCATGTGGATTCTGGTCCATGTCAAGTGCATATGTAGTTCAGATCTCAGCTCTGCCATTAACTATTGTATCGTCCTGGACATGTTACTTATCTCGCTGTTTCTATCTTAACTTGAAAGCAGAGGGCCTCATTGGAATAGCCTATGGACTTAAATGGACTTATATTTGTAAAGTGCTAAAAGTAGTGTCAATCACAGTGTGTGTCATGCAAATGTTTGTTGAATAAATAAGACTCAGTCCACAAATATTTACTGAGTACCTAGTTTGGGCCAAGTGCAGTCACTAAGCCTTATGGATGTGACAGAGACGGAAACACAGTTTCTCCCCTTAGGAGTTCAGCGTGTAGTGTAGCAGGGGAGAGGTAATGCACACACATTGCCTGATGTAAAGAAGAAATGAAAACATCTAACTTTTATTGAGAATTATGTGGCAGATACTTCGATAAGTACTTAATATACATTATTTTATTTATTTCCATTTGGTCATCACTTAAGAGATCTCTTTTTGTTTTGTTTTGTTTTGTTTTTTTGTTTTCAGATGGAGTCTCACTCTGTTGCCCAGGCTGGAGTGTGGTGGCGCAATCTCGGCTCACTGCAACCCCCGCCTCCTGGGTTCAACAATTCTCCTGCCTCAGCCTCCTGAGTAGCTGGGATTACAGCCACCACACCCAGCTAATTTTTGTATTTTTGGTAGAGACGGAGTTTCACCATGTTGGGCAGGTTGTCTCAAACTCCTGACCTCAAGTGCTCTGCCCACCTCGGCCTCCCAAAGTGCTGGGATTACAGGCGTGAGCCACTGTGCCCAGCAAGAGGTATCATCTTTGTTTGTAAAACTAACATTGAAGAATTAGTAGTAAAGCTAAGCATTTGAAAACATCTGGCCACTTTTAGTTCTTTCATTATCAAGAGTTCCTTTTGATTATCCATTTTCATGATGGGGTATTTGTCTGTTTAAATTAACTTTCCTAAGTTTTATACTATGGAAACTTCAAACATACAAAATAGAGCCAATGATATAATACACCTCTAGATATCCATCATCTAACTGCATTAATATGGTTTGGCTCTGTGTCCCCACCAAAATCTCATCTCAAATTGTAATTCCCACGTGTCAAGGGAGGAAAGTGATTGGATTATGGGGTCGGTTTCCCTCCTGCTGTTCTCATGATACCGAATGAATTCTCACTAGATCTGATGGTTTTATAAAAGGTAGTTTTTCCTGTGTGCTCTCTCTCTGTCCTGCCACCTTGTGAAGAAGGTGTCTGCTTCTCTTTCCCCTTCCACCATTATTGTAAGTTTCCTGAGGCTTCCCCAGCCATGTGGAACTGCGAGTTAATTAAATCTCTTTCCTTTAATTACTCAGTCTCAAGGAAGTTCTTTCTAGCATTGTGAAAACGGACTAATACATTCACCAATTATCAACCTATGGCCACTTTTGATTCATTCATACCCCTGTCTGCTTCTCTCACCTGGATTGTTAAGAAGAAAATTCCAGACATCATATAATTCCATCCACACTACCCCCATTTCACAGATTAGAAAAGTGAGGCTCAGAGTCAAGGTTACATAGCTAGCAAGTGGCAAAGCTGGGACATGAACCCCAGTCTATTTCACTCCAAAGTCCACACTTTTAATTTTTTTAATTTTGCTAAAATTGGGGGGATATTGCAAGTATCCCAAGTAAGGGAAGGAAATGGGAGCACAGAAGCTTGGAAGAAATCCAGGAGAGCTTTGCAAAAAAAAAAAAAAAAAAAGTAATTTCTGGCTGTTGAAATGGAGGCGGAGATTTTCAGGAGACATAAAAAGCTTGCCTTAAGTCACAGAGGAAAATGATTAGAGGTTGGGCTGTGGGTTTGAAGAGAATTATTGAAGGTGTGGGGAGTGGGTTAACTTAATTGGTATCATCTGGGAGGTCTTGTTTAAAATGCTGATTGCTGGGATCCTCTGCAGACCTCGTGAGTGTGACTTTCTGGGACCTGGGGCCTCAGGATCTATTTTTAACAAGCTCCCCTGGAGTTTCTGATTTTATTATCCTATATAGTTTGAAAACCAAATGGAGCCATTTGCTGGAACCATCAGGACTGTAGGGATAATCATTCAGCAATTTTATTTTTGTTTCTCACTGTGTGTTCAAACCTGTTATGCAGCCCTGAGAAAAATTCCTGGGAAGCCCCAATGCCTTTCTCGGCTGTTATTAGTCACTCGGTTCTCCAGGCACCTCAAGCTGTACATAGAAAAGTCTCATTTCGGCAAATGTATGTAAGGCCTTAAATTTCATTTAAAGAGGTTTGAAAGGGAATGAAAGCCTCTCTCGTCCTGTGGTAGTGCATGCTTTGGGCTGGCAGCCCACGATGGGAAAGAAGGGCTTGGGCATCTCTTTCTGTTTCCTGGTCCAGGTTTCTCCTTTTCTTTTTTTTTTGAGACAGGGTCTGGCTCTGTCGCCCATGTTGGAGTGCAGTGGTACAATCTCAGCTCACTGCAACCATCTCCTCCTGGGTTCAAGTGATTCGTGTGCCTCAGCCTCCAGAGTAGCTGAGACTATAGGTGACCACCACTCCTTCTGGCTAATTTTTGTGTTTTTCATAGAGATGGGGTTCCACCATGTTGGCTAGGCTGGTCTTGAACTCCTGACCTCAGGTGATCCGCCTGCCTTGGCCTCCCAAAGTGCTGGGATTACAAGCGTGAGCCACCACGCCTGGCAAGGCTTCTCCTCCTCTTGCCTTACTCATCCAGCTGCCTCCAAATTCTCCAAAGCTGCATCAGAAAGAGAGGGAGTGCCTAAAGGATAGAAAAATTCTTTTACTTTAACACTGCAATCTGGACAATAAATGATATCGATTTTCTGGCTCACGAAATTTATCTTCATATGTGTTTGTCCTGCCCTTTGCTTTATTTGTTGTTGTTGGACTTTTAATTTTGGCAACTATTTCTTTAAATTTACAAGGACTCGGTTCCTTTGTGTTGTTGGCATCCTCATTTCGATTTAAGAATGTGATATCTACTCAAATATCTCTTTATATTAACCATACTTCTTTGAGAAGTCTCTTCTGATTTTTGTATTAACTGTACTTCATTTGGTGTTAGCTCCTCTGTTTATTCAGCCTACTACCTTCTGTTTCATGCTGTTTGCCTCAACTATTTGGTTGTCTGGATTGAAGTGTGGTTCTTTCAGCATAATTGAAAATCAATGTGGCTCAGGCAGTGAATGTGGATTATGGTGACAGGGAATTTGGTGTGGGGAATATGCAGTGTAACTGAGTTTTCCCTTAAAGAATGTAGACAGTGCTTAGCTTGTGGGAGGGATTTGGGGACATTGGTCTGTTTCTCTCTGAAGCCTCAATTCTTCCTCATGAATTTCTCCTGTGGCAGAGCCCCTACTGTATTAAGAGCATCGTTCTTCCATCAAGACAGTCAGGCTGGGCGCAGAGGTTCACACGTGTAATCCCAGCACTTTGGGAGGCCAAGGCAGGCAGATCACCTGAGGTCAGAAGTTCAAGACCAGCTCTGGCTAACATGGCAAAACCCCATCTCTACTAAAAATACAAAAATTATCTGGGCAGGTGACACGTGTCTGTAATCCCATCTACTCGGGAGGCTGAGATAAGAGAATCACCTGAACCTGGGAGATGGAGGTTGCAGTGAGCTGGGATTGCGCCACTGCACTCCAGCCTGGGTGACAGAGTGAGACTCTGCCTCAAAAAAAAAAAAAAAAGACAATCGGTAATGCCAGTATGATTTAATATTTTGTAATGTAAATTTTCATATTAGTAGGCCAAAAAAGAAAAAACTATATCATTTAAATAAATGCAAAAACAGATATTCAATACATTTTAAAGTCCCATGCTGATTTTAAACATTTAGTTACATAATAATAGGTGGACACATACTTAACATGACAAAAGATATTAAAATATATAATATATAAATATACATTTATGTACTTCATATAAAAATATAAAATTCACACTCATTTATACACATAGAAAAAAGAAAAACAAAAAAAGCCAGGGTTTTGCTTAAGGGTGAAATGTTGAAACATTTCCTACTAAAGCAAGAAATTAAATGAGGGCTGCAATCACAATTATTAATATCTTTTTAATTATACAAGTAAAGCATATTATACTATAAAATTTAAACTTCTCAGAAAAACATAATAAAAAGTGAAAGCCCTCCCTATAATTGCATGCTCTTAAAATATCAATTCAATCGTTTGATGCCTTTTCTCCTAATTTTATTTTCCTAAGAAAATACTAAGATTTATTACATTTTTTTGGATGGGTCACAAAATGGGATCAAAGAACTAGTCAACACACTTAGAAAAGAATATAAAGTAGAATAACAATCTTAATTGAGGACCCAAAATTGTTGTTATTTGTAGATGTTTCAACTATCTATTGATGTGTAACAAACTACCCCAAAACTGAGTGGCTTAAGATAACAGCCATTTTATTTGCTCATGATTCTGCCAGTTTGGATGGGTTTTTCCATCTTTCTCTCTTTATGGCCTTTGCACGTGGTCTTTCCCGCAATAGAATCAGACTTTTTGCAAGGTGGATTAGGGTTCCCAACAGCACAAAAGCATAAACTGCTGGGCTTCTTAAGGATTAGGCGCAACGTCACTTCGATTCCTTTCTATTAATCAAAAGCAAGCCACAGACCCAGCCTAGAACCAAGGGCAAGAGACTACACAAGGGTGCGAACACCAGGAGGTGTGGTTTATTGGGACAACAATTTAACAAATTACCATGATAGATAATAAGACTTTAGTTATAGATTCATAACAGAATCAACCACAAAATGATTAGGAATGATAAGAGCATTTAGTTAAATAATGGATAACAGAATAGATTAAAAACAACAAATTGTTAACTATATATTACCATATATATTTAGATATATTTTCATATATATTATACATATAATTAGATATTATAGATTATATATCTAATTGTACCTACAATGTTACTTGTGAAGGTTAATGAAATCAAAGACAGCATTTATAATACCAATTATATATATATATATTTTGAGACAAAGTCTTGCTCTGTCACCCAGGCTGGAGTGCAGTGGCACGTTCTTGGTTCACTGCAACCTCCACCTCCCGGGTTTAAATGATTCTCATGCCTCAGCCTCCCGAGTAGCTGGGACTACAGGCACATGCCACCATGCCCGGCTAAATTTTATATTTTTAGTAGAGATGGGGTTTCATTATATTGACCAGGCTGGTCTCAAGCTCCTGACCTCAAGCAATCTGTCTGCCTTGCCTCCCAAAGTGCTGGGATTACAGCCGTGAGCCACTGTGCCTGGCCCCAACAATAATTTATTTCATTAATATTTATTTTGGCCACTACCACATAGCAAGTATTATGCTAGGCCACAGCTAAATAGAGGTATACAGAACAGACAGAGGCTTTACCCTCATGAAACTTATAGTCTAAAGAAGTGGGCATACATTAAACAAAATCCCTGATGGAGGGAATTTAGTGCATCAGTGAGCTATTGCTTTGATGAATGCTGTGTAACAAACAATCCCTTAATTGTTTTAAATCTTAGTAGTTTAAAGCAATAAATATCTATTGTTCTGCTCAACAGTGTGCAAGTTGCTTGGGGACAGTGCTGCTTTAGGCTATGGGTTGGGTTCAGGCCTGTTCCACGTATCTCTCAGTCTGGACCAGCAGCAAATCAGCATGCTCTTCTCCCAGATGGCAGAAGTGCAGGCAGCTAAACCAAACCATGCAAGCACATTTAAAGCCTCTCTTTGCATTGTTTGTTTACATTCCATTGGTAAGAGCAAATCACATGGCCAAGTCCAATTTGATGAGATAAAGATGTGTAATTCTATAACATGGAGGAAATGAAGAATTAGAAAAAATAATCTAATAAAACATAGTCAGAAATCTGAAGAACTAATTCCTATGGGGCTTGGGTGTCATGAACAAGAAGGACAGTGGTGGGGTATAAGGCCAAAGACAGAGGGGATAGATCATTTAGGGCCTTGCTGGTCTCACTGAAGATGTTGAATTACATCTAAATGGAATACAAAGCCATTGGAAGATTTTAAGCATGGAGGTGATATGATCAATTTACATGTTTAAAAAGATCCTGTTGTAGAAAGGGTGAATTGGAAGAAGAAAAGAGAAGACATAGACCAATGAAATCTGTTGCAATAAGTTCAGATAGCAGTATGGCTTAGACAAGGAGGGTAGTAGTAGTAGAAAGGAAGAGAAGCCAGTGTGTTTGAGGTATGTTTTGAAGACGGTCAGACTTAGTCACGAGTTGGATGTAAGTTTGAAAGAGGACTCAGGAATGATTCAGATTCCTGACAATCGCACTAGGGTGAATACAGATACCTTACTTGCAATAGGGGCTGGGGAAGTGGTGTCTGGCAAAGGAACAGATTTGAGGAGATAGATTAAAAGTTTAGTTTTAGGCATACTGAAATCCATATGCTTGTGAGACACTACTCATATAATATCTGGGGACAAGCTTAACAAGCAATGTGGAGGATCTATATGAATAAAACTATAAACCTCTATTGAGGGACATAAAAGAAGATTTGAATCAATGGCGTGTCAAACCTTGCACTTGGATAAGAAGACAAAATTGTAAAGATGTCAATTCTTACTAGATAAATCTATAAATTCAATGCAATTTCAATCAAATTTCAATAGTACCTTTTTCTTGGAACTTGTCACAATTACCAGGAACCTTCTCTAAAAAGAAGAGTAATGAGAAATAACCAGCTTCACCATGTAGTATAATGCATTATAAAATAATGAAATTTATAACACCAGACTACTGATGCAGGAACAGACTGTTAGATCAATGGCATGTAATGAAGTATAGAAATATATCCAAGAATAGATGGGGATTTAGTGTATTAAAAAGATTGAACATATCTAAGTGGGAGAAAAGACAGGTTATTTGTAAGTGGTTTAAGGACAACTGGATAGCTATATGGAGAAAAAAGAAGTGAAACAGCATTTGTAGGTTATTTAGGAAAATTTACTCTTCCTTCTTATTGGCTATATACTGTTCCATAGTTTCAGTATAGCATAACTTATATTCATATTGATGTACTTTTAGCTTTTTTTGGGTTACAAACAATAGTGTGAAAAGGAAATTTTAATATAGCATCCTTGGACAAATGTGTGAATCCTTCTCCAGGATAGATTCCGAGATGTGAATTTGCTGGGTCAGAAAGTATGTGCTTCTCTAAAAAAAGCACTGCTAAATTTCCCTTTGAAACCTCAAACTACACTCCAGCAGCACTGGGCAAGAAGAGAAAAACAAAAGAAACCCAAATAAAATAGATGGATCAAGTTAATAAAAACCAAAGCAGAAATAAATGAAACAGAAAAAACAAGAGTAAAGATGATCAATAAAACCCAAAACTGGATTTTTTTTTAAAAGAATGATAAAACACACAAAGTTTCTGCTAGCCTAATCAAGGCAAAGAGAGAGGATCCAAATGGTATTAGGAATGATGAAGGAGATAGAGTATGGATACAGAAGAGATTTTTAAAATTAGGAGGCTACTTTGTACAGCACTTTTGCTAAAGTCAGAGGTTAAAACAGTAACTGCTTATAATAAAAAAATGCCATTGAAATTACTTTGTAAGTCATACCTATATCAAAGGTGGATATATTCTTGCAAAAACTATTTTTTTTTAAATTCATCTTTGCATCTCATCATTGTTTTGAAAGTAGTGGCCAACTTATATGAAAAACATCATCATTGTTTTTAAATTAGTGGCCAACTTATATGATTGTATAGTTTACTTCTAAACCATACGATCACCTTTGGAGAGGTGAGATGCTTGACAGAAACTAACAGCCTGAGCAGCAGATTCACATCTTGCTCATGTGAGGCATAGCCTCTTTAATTGGAATAACAGGAGGAATTGCCCATGTGGTTTACATTGTTTGGCTTCCCTCCCTCCTTTTTTCCTTTCTTTAAAAATATATAAAAAATTTAATAGGGCATGTACAGTTGAATCCACATATAATAAATGTATGGATGATGTGATTCAACTATGTAACTTTATACCAATCCATTTGAAATCCTTAGATGAAATGGACAAAAATGTCAAGGAAAATATAAATTACCAAAATTGGTCCAAGAAAAGCAATAGAAAACACTCATTAAAAAAAAAATTAGAAATGGCAGTTAAAGGCCCATCTACCAATGTGCCCCTCCCTGTCTGTCATCCAGGACACAAGCCCTTTGTAGTTACATAGGTAAGTTCTACCAAATTCCAGGGAAGAGCCCACTCTATTTTACATGCCAGAGCATTGAAAAATATGGGGAACAACCAATCTTATTTTATAAGGCAAATTTATTTCCAACATCAAGACAAAATAAAATTACAGGCACTTTTGAATATAGAGGCAAAAAACTGTAAAAAGTACTAGATAATTGAATCTAGTGGTACATTAAAAGAATAATATATCTTGATCAAGTGGATTTATCTAATAAATTCAAGTTTGGGAATCAATGTAAATATCAGTGTAACTCACTGTATTTACAGATCAAAGGAGAAAATCATTCAATGGATACTAGGAAGACATTTATTAAAATGCAACATCCTTTCATAATTAGACACACTAGAAATAACTGTAAAGGGGTCTGCCATAAATATACAGCAAATGTTGCACTTAATGCTGAATTTTTTAGAAACATTGTCATTCAAATGAGAAGCAACACATGGATGTTTGCTTTGACTACCAATAATCACAATTCTAATGAGGGCCTAGCCAATGCAATAAGAGGAAATATGTGAGAGATAAATATTGGACAGGAATATAGAATTTGCAGAATTTTATTAACTGAAACATGAAAACATTGTTCTCTGCCTTCCTTGCTTCCAGTCATACTGCATTTACTCTTTTGTAACTCAGTTATATACAACATATATATGAAATTACTTTTACATATATATCGTGTATGTATATGGAATCTCTCTCTCTATATATAAATACACGTTGTGTGAATTAATGCACATTGTTTAACCAGGCCCCCATTGATAAACTTTGCATTTCTTTTGTTCTTTACTATTGTAAACATTTCCTTGCCTTTGTGTACTGTATTTGAAGGATAAATTTCCAGATCTTGAATTGCTAGATTTAAAACAGCGCAGATGTCCTTCAACAGGTGAATGACTAAGCAAACCATGATTTGCTTTGTATTCCAAATCATGGAATTCACATCAGCCATAAAAAGGAACAGACTAGTGGTACACACTACAACTTGGATGAATCTAGGGAATTATGTTGAGTGAAAAAAGCTAATTCAAAAAGTATGATATACGTGCTATATCATTTCATTTATTTAACATTTTTAAGCGACAAAATTTTCTTTTTTCCTTCTCCTTCTGCCACTGCTATACTGAGCTATAATTGACAAATACAAATTGTATATTCTTAAGGTGTACAATATGATGTTTTGATATATGTATATATTGTGAGAGGCCAGATGTGGTGGCTAATGCCTGTAATCCCAGCATTTTGGGAGGCCAAGGTGGGTGGATCACTTGAGGTCAGGAGTTCGAGACCAGCCTGGCCAACATGATGAAACCCTGTTTCTACCAAAAAATACAAAAATTAGCTGGGCATGGTGGCAGGTGCCTGTAGTCCCAGCTACTTGGGAGGCTGAGGTGGGAGAATCACTGGATCCCAGGAAGCGGAGGTTGTAGTGAGCCGAGATTGCGCCACTGCACTCCAGCCTGGGAGACAGAGTGAGACCCTGTTTCAACAAACAAAGAAACAAACAAATAAATGAACAAAACAAACATACCCTCAAACCCCCCAAAATGTTACATACTGTATTATTTCACTTATTTAACATATTTAAGTGATAAAATTTTCTTTTCACTGAGAATAATAAGATTTGTTCTTCTTCCTCAAGAATTGCTTTGGCTTTTTGGGGACTTTTGTGGTTCCATATAACTTTTAAGGTTTTTTTTTTTTTTTCTATTTCAAGTGAAAAATGCCATTGGAATTTTGATAGAGACTACATTGAAATTGTAGACCAAAGTGGCAGTATAGATATTTTAACAAAGGACTATTATCCTTCATTCTGTTCATGTGGCTTATCACATTTATTAGTTTGCATATGTTGAATCATCCTTGCATCTTAGAAATAAATCCCACTTGATCAAGTGTAAGATCTTTTTAATGTGCTGTTGAAATAAATTTGCTAGTATTTTGTTGAAAAGTTTTACACCATGTTCATCAGGGATATTGGGCTACAGTTTTCTTTTCTTGTAGTGTCCTCCCCTGGCTTTGGAATCAGGGTAATACTGGTCTCATAAAATGAGTTTGGAAGTGTTTTGTCATCTTCAAACTTTTGGAGGAGTTTGAGAAAGATCAATTCCTTCCTTCCTTCCCTCCCTCCCTCCCTCCCTCCCTCCCTTCCTTCCTTCTTTTTTTTTTTTTTTTGACAGGGTCTTGCTCTGTCTCCCAGGCTGGAGCGCAGTGGCATGATCTCAGCTCACTGCAACCTCCGCCTCCTGGTTCAAGTGATTCTCCTGCCTCAGCCTCCCCAGTAGCTGGGATTATAGGCACCAGCCACCATGCCCAGCCAATTTTTGTCTTTTTAGAAGAGACGGGGTTTCACCATGTTGGTCAGGCTGGTCTCAAACTCCTGACCTCAAGTGATCCGCCTGCCTCGGCCTCCCAAAGTGCTGGGATTGCAAGTGTGAGCCACTGCGGCCGGCCTAATTCTTATTTAAATATTTGGTAGAATTTATCAGTGGAGCCATCAGATCCTGGGCTTTTCTTTTGTGGGAGGTTTTTGATTACTGCTTTAATCTCCTTACTCATTATTGATCTGTTCAGATTTTCAATTCATGATTCAGTCCTGTTAAGTTATACTTCTAGGAATTTACCCATTTCTTCCAGGTTATCCAATTTGTTGGTATATAATTGCTTCTTATATTCCTTATGATCCTTTGTATTTCTGTGGTATCACTTGTAATGTCTCCTCTTTCATTTATAATTTTGTTTATCTTCTCTTTCTTTCTTAGTCTAGCCAAACTTTTGTCAATTTTGTTTTATTTCCAAAAAACAAACTCTTAGTTTCATTAATCTTTTCTATTGCTTTTCCAGTCTATTTCATTTATTTGTTCTCTAATATTTATTCCTTTCCATCTGCCAACTTTGAGCTTAGTTTGTTTTTCTTTTGCTAGGTCCTTGAAATATAAAGTTAGGTTGTTAGGTTGTTAATTTGAGATATATTGTTTTCTTAACATAGCCTTTTTTTTTTTTTTTTTTTGCTATAAACTTACCTCTTAGAACTGCTTTTGCTGGTTGGGAGCAGTTGCTAATGCCTGTTATCCCAGCACTTTGGGAAGCCAAGGTGGGTGGATCACCTGAGGTCAGGAGTTCGAGACCAGCCTGGCCAACATGTTGAAACCCTGTCTCTACTAAAATTATAAAAATTAACTGGGCATGGTGACATGTGCTTGTAATCCCAGCTACTCGGCAGGCCGAGTCAGGAGAATTGCTTGAACCTGCGAGGTGGAGGTTGCAGTGAGCCAAGATTGCGCCACTGCACTCAAGCCTGGGCGACAGAGTGAGACTCCGTCACACACACACACACACACACACACACACACACACACAGAACTTCTTTTGCTGTATCCCGTAAGTTTTGATACGTTGTTTTTCCATCTTCCTTTGTACCAAGATATTTTTTGATTTCCCTTTTGATTTCTTCTTAGACCTACTGGTTGTTCAGGAGTGTGTTGTTTAATTTTCATGTATTTGTGAGTTTTGCATTTTTTCCTCTTGTTATTGATTTCTAGTTTCATACCATTATGGTTGGGAAGATAACTGATATAATTTCAATCTTCCTAAATTTAAGATTTGATTTGCAGCCTAACATATTATCTATCCTGGAGTGTTCTTTATGTACATGAAAATAATGTGTATCCTGTAGCCATTGTATGGAATATTCTATGTATATCTGTTAGGTATTTGTTCTATAGTGTCATTCAAGTCTGCTGTTTCCTTAATGAATTTTTGTCTGGATGATCTGTTCATTAGGAAAAGTGGGATATTGAAGTTCCCAACTATTGTTGTATTACTCTCTATTTCTGTTAATATTTTCTCTATGTATTTAGATGTTTTGATGTTGGGTGCATATAAATTTACAATTGTTATATTATCTTGTTGAATTGACCCCTTCATCATTATATAATGACCTTTTTGTCTCTTATGACAGTTTGACTTAAAGTCTATTTTGTCTGATATAAGCTTAACCACCCTCGTTCTCTTTTGGATACCATTTGTATGAAATATCTTTTTCTGTCCCTTCACCTTCAACCTATGTGTGTTCTCAAAGCTAAAGTGAGTCTCTTGTAGGCAGCATGTAGTTGGAATTTTTTTTTTAATCCATTCAGCCATTTCAGCCATTCTGCCTTTGCTTTGAATCCATTTACATTTAAATTAACTATTGATCAGTAAGGATTTACTATTGCAATTTTGTTGTTTTCTGACAGTTTTGTAGTTTCTTTCTCTCTTGCTATTTTCCTTTATGACTTTTATTTTTGTATGCTTTTATTCCTTTCTGTTTATCTTTGATGTATCTACCACAGGTTTTACTTTGTGGTTACCATAAAGCTTGTATAAAACCTCTTATAGTAGTCTATTTTAAACTAATAGCATTTTTCTTCAACTGCATAAAAATAATCTACACTTTAACTTCTCCTCTTACTTTTTCTTTTTCTTTTTTGTTTGAGACAGAGTCTTGCTGTGTCACCCAGGTTGGGGTGCAGTCACGTGATCTTGGCTCATTACAACCTCCGGCTCCTGGGTCCAAATGATTCTCATGCCTCAGCCTCCAGAATAGCTGGGATTACAGGCACCCACCACCACACCCAGCTGAATTTTGTATTTTTAGTAGAACTGGGGTTTTGCCATGTTGGCCAAGCTGGTTTTGAATTTCTGGCCTGAAGTGAGCCTGCCAAAGTGCTGGGATTATAGGCATGAGTCACCACACCCACCATACCCAGCACCACACCCAGGCTAGGCCTGTCTCTCCTTTTCACTTTTTTCCACCTACTGTATATTCACCGGAAGCTGATTAGATTGTGCCCACCAGATTAAGAGTGAATCTGCCTTCCCCAGCCCACTGACTCAAATGTTAATCTCTATTGGCAACATCCACACAGACACACCCAGGATTAATACTTTGTATCCCTCAATCCAATCAAGCTGACACTCAGTATACATTATATGCCACTAATGTCACATTTTACTTTTTAAAATATTGTGTATACATCAGCACATTATCGTGGCTATAGTTACGTTAAATATTTTTGTCTTTTAACTTTTATACTAAAAGTGATTTTATATTAAAAGTGCTTTTATGTACCACAATTACAGAGAGTATTCTAAATTTTATCATATTCTTACCTTTACAGTGAGTTTTATACTTGCATATGTTTTTATTATGTTAGCATCTTTTCAACTTGAAGAATTCCTTTTGTATTTCTTGTAAGGTAGGTCTAGTAATGATGAGCTCCCTCAACTTTTGTTTGTCTGTGACAGTATCTTTCCTTAATTATGAAGGGTAATTTTGCTGTGTATAGTGTTCATGATTAGCAGGTTTTTTTCTCTCAGCACTTTGAATATGTCATCCCAATCCTTTCTGGCCTGCAAAGTTTCTTCTGAGAAATTCATGGATAGTCTAATTAAAGTTCCCATGTATGTTATAAATCACTTTTCTCTTTCTGCTTTCAAAATTGTCTTTTCTTCTTTGACTTTTAAGATTTTGATTATATGTCTTGGTAAACATCTCTTTATATTTAATCTATTTGGAGTTCTTTGGGCTTCATGGATCTGGATGTTCCCTCTTCAGATTTGGGAAGCTTCTGTCATTATTTAAATAAGTTTTCTGCACATTTCTCTTTCTCTGATCTTTCTGAAACTTTCATAATGCATATATTGGTTTGCTTGATAGTATCCCAAAGTCTTGCAGGTTTTCTTCACTCCGTAATTCTTATTTCTTTTTTTTACTCTGATTGGGTAATTTCAAATGACCTTTCTTCAAACTTGCTGATTTTTTTCCTGCTTGATCAATTGTGCTGTTGAAGCTCTGTATGGAATTTTTCAGTTCAGTCATTATGTTCTTTAGCTCCAGATTTTCTGTTTGGTTCTTTTTTGTGGTTTCTATCTCTTTGCTGAACTTCTCATTTTGTTCATTATTGTTTTCCTGATGTATTAGTCAGGGTTCTCTTCGAGGGACAGAACTAATAAGATATATATATATATATATATACATATATATATATATATATAAAACTAATGAGAGAGATATATATATATAGGGGAGTTTATTAAGTATTAACTTACATGTTCACAAGGTTCCCTAATAGGCTGTCTGCAAGCTGAGGAGCAAGGCGAGCCAGTTTGAGTCCCAAAACTGAAGAATTTAGAGTCTGATGTTCGAGGGCAGGAAGCATCCAGCATGGAAGAAAGATATAGGCTGGGAGGCTAGGCCTGTCTCTCCTTTTCACTTTTTTCCACCTACTGTATATTCACAGGAAGCTGATTAGATTGTGCCCACCAGATTAAGAGTGGATCTGCTTTCCCCAGCCTGCTGACTCAAATGTTAATCTCTATTGGCAACATCCACACAGACACACTCAGGATTAATACTTTGTATCCCTCAATCCAATCAAGCTGACACTCAGTATTAATCATCACACCTGATATTATTTAATTGTCTATCTATGTCCTCTTGTAGTTCACTGAGCATCTGGAAGATAATCATTTCGTATCTTTGTCAGGCAGTTCATAAATCTCCATTTCTTTAGGGTAAATTACTGGCCTTTTATTTTGTTCCTTTGGTGGTGTCATGTTTCCATGATTATTTATGATCCTTGTGGCCTTGCATTGTGTCTGAACATTTGAAGAAGTAGGCATCTCTTCTGCTGGCTTTGGCAGGGAAGCCCTTCACCAGTTAGCCTGTCCTGAGATTCTGGGCAGGTAGGTTGGTGAGGTCCATGGTCAGGCCTGCTTCTGTAGTTTTGATTTCTATTTGTGCAGAGGTGGGTCTGAAACTTGAGTCCACTGGTGCAGGTCTGGAGCTTGAATCTGTCTGGGATGATCTGGCACCTGGGCCTGCAAGGGTGGGCCTGGGTCTTGGGTCCATAAGGGCTGACTTGAAGCCTGGATTCACTGGAGTAGGCCTGGACCCTGGATCTACTGGAGCTTGGGTCTGTGGTGGCTGGTGTGGCACAGGGGTATAATGGGGCAAGCTTGGACTCCGGATTTCACTGGAGTGGACCTGATTCCTGTTTCTGCTGGAGCCTGGGTCTGTGGGGGCTTGCCTGTTGCTGGAGCAAACCCAGAGACTGGGTCTATGGGGCCTGGTCTGTGGTCTGATGCTCTGGGGTCTGGCTTGGAGGTTGGGCCCATGGGGCTAGTCTTGAGTCTGGGGCCATAGGGGCCAGCCTGGCACTGTGGCAGGCCTAGAGCTTAAATCTGTGGGGGCTGACTTAAAGGCTGGGTCTATGGGGGCTGGCCTGGCGCCTGGGTCTATGGGGGCTGGCCTGGCGCCTGGGTCTATGGGGGCTGGCCTGGCGCCTGGGTCTATGGGGGCTGGCCTGGAGCCTGAGTTTTTAGGGGCTGGCTTTTAACTTGGAGCTCTGGGGCCTGGCTTGGTGCTGGGGCTGGTCTGGAGCCCAGGTCTAGGGGGATAGCCTGATGCTAGTGCAGGCCTGAGCCTGGGGCCACAGAGGATGTCCTGCCATTGGGTCTGAAGCCTGATTCTGTGGGAATGGCTGAGTGCTGAGGTTCACTGGGGTGAGCCTGTTTCTGAGGTCCACGGAAAAGTCAGGTGCTCACTTTATTCTCTTTTCTTTTTTTTTCTTTCTTTCTTTTTTTTTTTTTTTTTTGAGATGAAGTCTTGCTCCATCGCCCAGGCTGGAGTGCAGTAGCACGATCTTGGCTCACTGCAACCTCCGCCTCCTGGGTTCAAGTGATTCTCCTAGCCTCCAGAGTAGCTAGGATTACAGGCATGTGCCACCATGCTCAGCTAATTTTTGTATTTTTGTATAGACGGGGTTTCACCATGTTGGCCAGGCTGGTCTTGAACTCAGAACAGGTGATCTGCCTGCCTCCGCCTCCCAAAGTGCTGGGATTACAGGCATGAACCACTGCTCCCAGCCATACTCTCTTTTCCTCATGTTGAAGGTATCACTGTCTATGCTGTGTTTCCTGGGCTTTGGGGAAGGGTGATGCAGGCAATGTGACATTGTTTTCCTATTGTCGTCAATACACCCTTTAAAGTTTCTGTGCTTCTTTTTTTTTTTAATATATATATTTTTATTATACTTTAAGTTCTAGGGTACACACAAGGATATGTATAACAGGATGCTATTGTAGCAATGTTTGTGGTAGGAAAATAATGAAAACAAATACCACTGATATGAAAATTAATGAATAAATTATAGTATAACTATCCCATTTCTCACTTGGTATTCATCACAACGATTTATTTAGATCTTTATTGAGTAACTTGGAATTTTATTTCCATGGAGTATTATTGAGTGAGAAAGATAAGAAGCAGAAAAGCAAGCCATTAAAGTGATAAACCAAATAAACATTACAAAAAAAAAAGTTTCTGTGCTTCACCCAGGGGCTATAATCTCTTACCTGAATTTCTTAGCTCTTGTAAAGGTATTTTTATGTGTTGGTGGTTGTTTAAGTGGATGTTTCTGTGAGGAGATGAATGTCAGAAACTCTTCTTCTGCTATCTTGCTGACAACACACAAAATTTTACAAGTGGAGGACAGATATTAATGACTTTCAGGGTTTAGTGACAGGGGTAGGGTGGTAGAGGGTAGGAGTGGGAGAGAGGTGGATGTCATTAGAAAAGAGCAAAACAAGTTATTTTGGTGGTGATGGAATTGTTTAATGCCTTGACTGTGATGCTGGATATGTGGAACCAAACGTAATAAAATTTTATAGAACTAAATACACCCCTCCCACCATGAGTACAAATGAAATGCGAAATATGAATAAGATGGCTTGATTATATCAATGTTGATATCCTTGTTGTGATATTACACTGCAGTCTTACAAAATGTACAACTACCTTGTAATATAGTGGTATAATATAGGCTACAATATTACAATTGTAATATAGTTGGGTCTAGGGTAAAAAGTACATAGAATTCTATGTGTTACTTCTTACAACTATATGTGAATCTACAATTATGTCAACAAATGAAAAAACATTCCATGCTCATGGATAGAAAGAATCAATATTGTTAAAATGGCCATACTGCCCAAAGCAATGTATAGATTCAATGCTATTCCTATCAAACTACCAACGACATTCTTCATAGAACTAGAAAAAACCATTTAAAAATTCATATAGAACTAAAAAAGAGCTCAAACAGCCAAGGCAATCCTAAGCGAAAAGAACAAAGCTGGAGGCATCACGCTACTCAACTTCAAACTATACTACAAGGATATGGTAACCAAAACAGCATGATGCAGGTACAAAAACAGACACACAGACCAATGGAACAGAATAGAGAGCCCAGAAATAAGGCCACACACCTACAACCATTTGATCTTTGACAAAGCTGACAAAAAGAAGCAATGGGGGAAGGGGCACCTTTTTCAATAAATGGTGCAGGGATAACTGGCTAGCCATATGCAGAAGATTGAAACTGTACCCCTTCCTTACATCATATATAAAAATCAACTCAAGATGGTTTAGACTTAAATGTAAAACTCAAAACTATAAAAAACTCTGAAAGACAACCTAGGCAATACTATTCTGGACATAGGAATGGGCAAAGATTTCATGATAAAAATGCCAAGAGCAATTGCAACAAAATAAAAAATTGACAAATAGGATCTAATTAAACTGAAGAGCTTCTACACAGCAAAAGAAGCTGTCAACACTCAGTTTACTCTGGTTATCTGTTTAAACAACCTACAGAATGGGAGAAAAAATTTTCAAACTATCTGACAAAGGTCTAATATCCAGCATCTTTAAGGAACTTAAACAAATTTACAAGAAAAACCCAAACAACCCTATTAAAAAGTGGACAAAAGACATGAACACTTTTCAAGAAATGACATACATGTGGACAACAAGCACATGAAGAAAAGTTAAACATCACTGATCATTAAATGCAAATCGAAACCACCATGAGATACCATCCTATACCAGTCTAATGGCTATTATTTAAAAATCAAAAAATAACAGGTGCTGGCAAGGTTATGGAGAAAGAAGGAATTCTTGTACACTATCAGTGGGAGTGTAAATTAGTTCAACTATTGTGGAAAGCAGTGTGGCAATCCCTCAAAGACCTGAAAACAGAACTACTATTCAACCCAGCAATCTCATTACTGGGTATATACCCAAAGGAATATAAATTATTCTGTCATAAAGACACCTGTATAAGTATGCTCATTGCAACACTATTCACAATAGCAAAGACATGGAATCAACCTAAATGCTCATCAATGGTTGAATAAAGAAAGTGTGGTACATAGACACCATGGAATACTATGCAGTCTTAAAAAAGAATGAGATCATGTCCTTTGCATGAACATGGATGGAGCTGGAGGTCATTGTCCTTAGCAAACTAACGCAGGAACAGAAAACCAAATATCGCATGTTCTCACTTAGAAGTGGGAGCTAAATGATGAGAACACATGGACATATAGAGGGGAACAACAAACTTTGGGCCTACCAGAGGGTGGAAGGTGGGAGGAGGGAGAGGATTTGGAAATATAACTAACGGGTAGTAGGCTTAATACCTGGGTGATGAAATAATCTGTACAACAAACCCCTGTGACACGAGTTTACCTACATAACAAACCTGTACATGTACTCCTGAACTTCAAAGTTAAAAATAAAATAAAATGTAAATGAAAATTTAAAAGAGTCACCTCAAGTTTAAAAAGGCATATATAATTTTCAATGTTTGCATTATTGTAAAATTACTCTCCAAAAACGTTACTTCAATGACTCCTAATGACAGTGAAGCATATCAAAGTGTCTACCTTATTCCAAATTAAAACAACAAAGGGATACTACTTTTGACTTATCAATTTGGAAAGAATAAAAAGTTATACACATCCCACTGTTGGCCAGGGTTTGGGGAAACAGACACTCTCCCATATTGTTCATGTGTGTTGCAAGTTGGCTTCTTCAGGAAGCAGACTCTGAAATAGTGAGTAGTGGGTAAGAAGTTCATTAGGTTATATTATTGGGATCAACAACTATAGAAGGGAAGGGATCATGCAGGACTGGGCAGAGGGAGAAATTGAGCTAAGATGTCATCTCAATGGAGACCTTAGCTGACCTTAAGATAATACGGAAGCTTGGATGATCTCCAGAGTTGTCTGAAGTTGAGAGTTGGGGGATGAACTTTTTTTTTACCATCGTCTAAATTAGATACTGAATGTACCCATTGTGCCAGGACTGGGGTGGCTTATGACAGATATTGACTGATGCCAAATGACTGAGCATTTTAATCTCTCAAGTTGTGTAGTGCTTTCTTTGATGCATGCTATTAGTGAACAGAAACATCTTTACCCTTTCTGCTTACTTCCACATGTCCATCCACATGTCCCCACACTGGTCTCTGATATATCAATCATTGTCCATCTAGGCTGAGTCATTCTCTACTGCCCAGGAGCCTATGTATATTCTAACTGCAGCTCTCTTCTTTTCCACACACAATAGATAACCAGCTGTGCTATGTAGACGTTTAAATATTTTTAGAGGGTAAAAGTATTTGTCTTTAACCTTTTCTTTTACAGCTTCTGGATTTCATGCCACAATTATAAAGATTTTCCATTACAAATCTTAAAATTCATGAAATTTCAACATAACTTTTAAACCTTTAAAAGTCCTTTTAAAATCCTTTTTTATCCTTTAAGATTTATTATGGTATTAAAAGTGAGTTGAGGACCTAGTGCTATTCATTCAAAAGGCTAGTCAGTAATCTCAATAATGTTTAATACTTTATAATTTCACCATTGAAATGAAATACTACCTTATCGTACGTTAAATTCCCTGATGAATTTGATAAATACATTTTTAAAACTTCATAGTACTAAGTTGTCTTTGTATTTCTGAAATAAATCTTACTTGCTCATGATTTATTATTTTTTATGCTTCATTGAATTTTATTTAGTAATATTTTATCTAAAAATATTCATCTATTCTCAACCATGAAAATTGCCACTAGTCTTTATTTTGCTGTGTTTTAGTCTTAGTGTTTTGTGTAGTAAAAAAGATGTGGAATCCTTGATTCTAGCCTTGTTCCCCAGGATAAAGCTGAAAGTATACCTCTTTAAACTGTGTGTGTGTGTGTGTTTACTGGGAGAACACTCTCCAAGTGTGCATTGGAGATAGAGAAATCGGATAACACACTCAGGTAACCTAACTACAAGAAGAGAAGAAAGTGCCTACAGCCAGAGAACAAACAAACTATATTAGCTGTCTATTGCTTGTGCAACAAATTACTAAAAAAGTTAGTAGTGGCCGGGCGTGGTGGCTCATGCCTGCAATCCCAGCACTCTGGGAGGCTGAGGTGGGCGGATCACGAGGTCAGGGAATCGAGACCATCCTGGCTAACACGGTGAAACCCTGTCTCTACTAAAAATACAAATATTAGCCGGGCGTGGTGGCGGGCCCCTGGAGTCCCAGCTACTCGGGAGGCTGAGGCAGGAGAATGGTGTGAACCCGGCAGGCGGAGCTTGCAGTGAGCCGAGATCGCACCACTGCACTCCAGCCTGGGCGACAGAGTGAGACTCCATCTCAAAAAAAAAAAAAAAAAGTTATTAGCTTAAGACAACACACATTTATTTTCTCAGAGTTTCTGTGGGTTAAGAGTCTGGGTGTGGCTTAGATGGGTCCTCTGCTTAGTCTCTCACAGGGTTGCGATGAAAGTATTGGCAAGGACTTGGCTCTTATTAGAGGCTCGGCTGGGGGAAGGATCTCCTTCCAAGCGCCCTGAGGTTGTTACAAGAATTAATTTCTTTGCGGTGTAGGATTTATGATAGCTTACTTCTTCAAAGCCAGTAATGGAAAGTAAGAGAGACGAAGACAGTAGAGTGTGTTAACATGAAGGAGTCTTAGATAATGTAACATAATCATGATAGTGACATCCTCTCACCTCTGTTATATTCTACTGGGTAGAAGTAAGTCACAGGTCTCACCCACACTCAATGGGAGGAATCACGAAAGGACCCGAACACCAGGAGACAGAGATCATGGAAGCCATCTTGAAGTCTACCTGCCACATACACTAAGTGTGACTGCACACTTTACCTCTTGCCTCACAAAATCGCTTGAGGAGGAGTTCTGTGATGAAAACGTAAATTTGCTACCAGGTAAATAGAGACCTGACTTGAGCTGACAAAACCCAGACCGCCTGCCAAGTATTTCCCTTCTAAGTTCTCATCCACAAAATGCAATTAAAAAATCACTAATCATTTGAGAAAAACCAATCTCATAAGAGAGGTACCAAACTCACTAAGCACAAAAACTGACATCTGAGATAGTAGAATTAAAGAAGGGAAGTAGGAAATATAAACACTAGTATTAATTTCTCAGAGAGATTCAAGAGACTATCACAACCATAAAAAACTGCTAAGAAAAATAGGAAATCAGAGGACCTAAAATTTTAAAGTATGATTGCAGAATAAACCCCATTCAATAAGTGGGCTGAAAAGATGAAGACTGAATTAGAATACTAGAAGCAGGGGACGTTTCCAGAATGCAGAATAAAAGGATGAAGAGATGTAAAGAATAATAAATAGACTAAAAGCCAGGGAGGATAGACCTTTAAGTTACAAAATTGATAGCTGTTTCAAAAGGAGATAAAAGAGAATAGAGGGAAGAGAACAATAACAGAAGCAATAGAAGAAAATTTTCTAGAGCTGAAGACAGATGCAGAGTGCTGAATAGTATTAAAAAAAGATCCTCCTATGACACATTAGGTAAAACTCTAGTATCCCAGGTATAAAGAGAACATTCTTGAAGGTTCAAGAAGGAAGAAACAGCATTTCAAAAACAAAAAGAGATTACATATATATCTGACTTCTCAATAGCAATACTGGATATAAAGAGAAAATAGAGTTCAAAATTCTGAAAGAAAATTATTTTGCACCTAAAATCCTTTATTCAGAGAAACTATCAGTCAAGTATGGACAAATTAAAGTCATTTTCATATATATAAGTATTTAGGAATTTTATCATTGAGAGCCCTTATCTGAAAGAATTATTTAAGGATGTATTCCAGCAAAATGAAAATGATAGATCAAAGAAAAAGGAAAATATGGGACATAAAAAGTGATGACACAGTAAACCAGAAAACCATAGAATTAAGGATAAAGAATTTTGATGCATAATACAAAAGGGGTAACAGTTTGGGAAAAAATCTCCAGTGGCTTTCAAAGCAGGAAGTGAGAGTGGGGATCTGAGAATAGAAGTGAAACATGCTAAGGGTTTTAATAGGGCTTAGAAGATAAAAGTAGGATATGGATATTGATTAACTACCACTGTGGAGAAAAAATAGAAAATATAGAAAAAAATCGAATAATGAAACTTCATGAATTTCACAGAAGTTAGACAAAGGATAGAAGAAAACTCAAGAAAGCATAACAATAGAAAACACAAAATATGGCAGCAAAAATAAACTCAAGTATTAGTATTCAGATTACATGTGAATGAATTAAACTCCTCTATAAAAAGGCAGAAACTATAGCTACCATTTAGTGAGTGTTATTATGATTTAGGCACTGTGCTGAGCACTTTAAATAGACAATTTTA
The DNA here is from genome assembly GCF_000001405.40 of Homo sapiens. NCBI lineage: Eukaryota > Metazoa > Chordata > Mammalia > Primates > Hominidae > Homo > Homo sapiens. The sequence goes on from NC_000016.10 coordinate 25,321,285, forward strand.
TTTAAAGCTAACAATAAACTCTACAAGGTAGGTTCTATTTTTATTCTCATGTTAAAGATGAGACCCTGAGACTTAAGAGAGATTAAGCCATTTGTTTCAAGTGAGAGGCCAGATTTGAACCCATGCTCTTTGATGGTTAAGACCCATGCTGTTAATCATTCTATTAAACTACCACTCATCTTGGTTTAAACAATTACTTAAATGTTATTTGTAAGAGATAAACCAAGGCAAAACAATATATAAATTCTGAAAGTAAAGAGTTGGAAAAAGATCTATAAGGCAAATGATAACCAAGATGAAAGGAGGCAGGGACAGTGATATTAATACCCATGACATATGATGAGAACAAAACAATTTTGAGAACAGTGTGTATAGTATATACTGTTTGTATATACTATTCTGTTTATGTTAAAAATATATGTGTGTGTATGCTGTAGAATCAGTAGTGGCATGAAGGGGTGTGTATTTAGATTGTTTGAGTTGTATAATGCTGTTTTACTTGTGTAATTAAAAAAGATTAAAAAAATAAGAAATAAGCTTATTTTTTTAAACTGGAGAATAGGCAGGTGTCCAGCTGTGTAATGCAAACCAAGAGAGAAACTAGGGAGAGAGGCTGTGGATTATGTTGGGTGAATACAAAAATAAGCCTTAAAAGTGGTGATAAAAGGGGGGGATGCTTTTCAATAGAGGTGTCACGAAGCACCTTCACTCATCAAACTTTGACAATTTCCCCTTTCTATGTGTGTGTCGGGGGGGTGGTGAGGGTGGAGGATCAGGAGGCAATGTGTGAGAGTGACAGTATCAGCCACATGTCTTCTGTTCAAAGCAATGCAACGTTTTCAATCAGAAAGGAAAAATATGAAAAAGAAAAACCCTCAACTTTTCTTATTTCCTCTGAATTGGGTTGTCCGTCCCTTTGCAGTTGCTATGACAACAGCAGCCCTCCTCCTTCTTCATCTGGATCTATTTCCAAACTGAAAACAATGAATGTGAAAGATCAGAAAATAGGAAAAGCAAGTAGGCATTAAAAGCATTAGGATGATTTACCCTGGAGAAGAGAATGCTAAGAGGTGGCAATTATATTGTTCTGAGCTATTAAAGGTGACTACTATGTAAGTAGTTCCCTGCTTGGGCCCAAGATAAAATCAGATTTATTTTAACTGGAGGGAAATAGCTTTAGAGAGAAGAAGTCCCTGATAGAAAGTTCTGTGGGACTGCTTTGGCTCTGTCAGGGTAGAGTGGTGAGGAGGCTCTGAAATTTTTGTATCCTGCGGTGGTTATTATTTTCCTCTAAAAAGTTCTTCATCGGTCAAAGAACAACAACCATGACAACCAACACATGGTGCTTACTCTGTGTCGAGTGCCACTCTAAGTGTTTTATATTTATGATCTCACTTAGTCTTTACAACAGTCCTATGAGGAAGATACCATCGTTATTCTCATTTTATGGATGAGAAAACTGAAGGTCAGAGAGCTCAGCAATTTGCCAAAGGCCAAACAGCTGATGAATGGCAAAGCTGGGATTCGAACCCAGGGCACCTGTATTTTTAAGCAGTGGTAACTTCTCACAGTAGATAATCACTCTCTTGAAATGGTTCTGGTTGCACTGGGGTCTTGGAAGGAATCCTGTATAAAGCCTTAGCTGACATGAGTTCTAATCTTATTTATCCATTCATTGAGTCATATTCTTTAATAACTATTTATTGAATACCTACTATGCACAATTTCTAGGCAGGCACTGGGGAAACAGCAGAGAGCAGTACAGACAAAGCCCCATCAAGCTGGTAGTTTAATGCAGGACCACAAACCTGAACAAATAAATTAATAGGATGATTTCAGGCACTAACAGGTGCAGTGAGGGAAATAAAACTGGGCAATGAGATAGAGAAGTGGGTGGGTGGGCTGCTTTACACAGGATGGCTGGGGAAGACCTTTCTGAGGAGGTGACAATCTGAACTGAGACTTGGATGATGGGAAGGGGCTGGTCCTGTGCAGATCTGGAAGAAGGGTCTTCCAGGCAGAGGAGAAGCAAATGTAAATTTGGGAACAAGCATGAAAGCAGGACAGTGAGGTTAGAGCACAGTGATCAGGGCCAGGACAGGGGTTGCAAGTTGGAGGTGGCTTTGGATACATTTTGAGAGTTTGGATTGAGAGTCAGGGTTACCACATGGGGCTGCGCTGCTGGCATCTGGTGGGTGGAGGCCATGGATGCTGCTTACCACCCTGCAATGCACAGGAGTCTCCAGCTTACAGAATGGTCCAGCCCCGAATGTCCATAGCATCAAGGTTGAGAAACCTTGATTCCTCTATACAAGCCAAGGAAAGGAGATTATAAGCTTATAAGCCAAGGAAAGGAGATTGAAATTTATTTGAAGTGGAAGAGAATTTGTCAGATGACTTGAAGCAATAGAGTTCCTTTCAGGGATTTACGTTTCAGAAGACAACTGGCTGCAGAATGGAAAACTGATTATAGCAGATCGAGAGTAGAAGCAGAGAGAAGAATGAATTTTTTTTAACTGTCTAATTTTTGTAGTCTTAGCAGTACTTAGTCCAGATGAATGGAAATGGTGGAGTGGTTTAGAGGAGCAGCAGTGGCGACAAAGGGGTTTTCACTCTTCACCTTTCATCATTTTTGGCAGGATTTGGCAGGCAGAGGGGACCAGGCTTGCTGATGGATTGGGTATGGGTCTGCAGGAAGGGGAAGAATTAAAGGTGACTTTCAGGTTGTGGCTGGTGCAACTGGGCACATGGGCATGAGCCATGAACTTACATGGGGAGAAATGGATTTGGGGATAATGAAGAAAAACCAAGAATTTAGATTTGACAAAACTAAATAAGACATAGTTATATGAGGAGGTATCACATAGGCTGCTGGAAATACAGTCATGTATGTGATTGGCCTCACTGGGCCTTTATTTCCTCCTTTGGAAAATAAGCAAAGGGCTCTAAAATTCAACGATCCTAGAGCAATCAGGCCTGGAGTTGAGAGATTGGCTTTGGCAGACTTTGGCAATATCATCTAGTTCTGAGACACTCATCTATATCTCACTAGGTCCCTCAGAGCACCGTTACGAAGGTAGATGAGATGAGGAAATTAGTCCCATTTTGCAGAAACCGAGTTATGCTGCGTAAGAACTGACGTTTGTGCCGAGCCAGAGTGAGTGAGTTGCTGAATAATAGCCTGGGAGCATCCTTTAAACTAGATGTGGGATCTCCCCAGCAGCTGAGGGAGATTAATAGAAATAAAATCACACCATGCAACAAAAGGGGCTGTCTGGACCTCCAGGGAGAAGATAGGACTTGGAAGATTATAACCTGTGATTCTCAGCAATTTCTTTCCCAGTGGCTCAAAGGCTATTCTCTGCGTCTCCTCCCAAATCCACTGTGGTCTTGCACTCCCGACAAGGTTTGGAAAGACCTGAAGCAAGTAAAATATCTTGTTAAATTTGTTTGCTGTTTCCTTGGTATCTATCCTCAGGCTGAAAAGGGGCTCATTCTTTGACGTTACCTGGAGCCAGGGGAGCTGAGACATATTTTGCAAAAATGAGATGGTGTGAGAGGAAAAGAGGAAGATTGAGAGTGAAGTTCCTTTTGTTTTTGTTTTTGGAGGGTAGGGCAGTAGCAGGGAAGACACCACATCCTCTGCTTCTGTGAGTGATGGAGGTCGGGGAGAGCCCAGGGGAAATAATCTGACTCAGTTACTGGTAATTAAAGGAAGAATGTCAAGTCTCCCTGAGGATCATTGCTTATTGGAGAAGCAGGGAGCAGTCTTGCTTGCAGCTACTTACAGGAGGAAAAGTAAAATGAGCCCTGTGTTGACAGTGTCCTGAAGCCAGAAAAACATTCTACGAAGGGCATTGCCTCCAAGACTTGCTGGATTTATTCTGTTGAACCATAAAGCTAAGCCAAAAAAGAATCTTAGCAATTAGTTTAAGAGAGAGAGAGAGAGAGAGAGAGAGAGAAAGAGAGAGAGAAACTAACGCCGGCAAATATTTTTCCAGTGCTTGCCACATGCTAAGCTCAGTGTTATGAATGCATTGACAAAATTAGGGTCTACAGCAACTATTTTAGGCTTCTGGTCAGTATGGTTTTTATCATAACTATCCAACTTTGCCATGGTGGGGTGTAAGCAGCCACAGCCATATGTAACTGAATGAGTATGGCTGTGTTCTGGTAAAACTTTCTTTATGAAAACAGATGATGGGCTGGATATGGGCTGAGCTATAGTTTGCCAACCCCTGGTTTAGAGCATGGTTCTTACACCACACTGTGCACCAGGGTCATGTGAGAGCTTTATGGTAATGCTGATGTCAGCCCCATCTCCAGAAATTCTAAGTGTGGTCGGGAGTGGGGTCTGGGCATCAGTCGTTTAAAGAAACTCTTCAGGTAATTTGAGGCACAATCAGGGATTAGAATCAGTGGGTTTAGGATTGTGGTTTTTGCCTGGTTACGCAACAGAATTTTGTGTGTGTATGTGTGTGTGTGTGTATGAAGAATACTTATGTCTGGCACTACCCTTAGAGATACAGGTGTAATTGGTCTGGATGTGGTCTGGGGTCCAGAAATTTTTAAAGTTTCTCAAATGTTTCTACTGTAAAGCCAGAGGCAATTTCAATACAGTGTGATAATTGTTGGACAGGAGCAATTTCAGCAAATGAGTTATTTATTTATTCATTGAACACTTATATTGTAGTTTCTATGTGCTAAGCAAGTGTTCTAAGTATTGATACAATGAACTTATTTAATTTTCATGATATTTTCTAAGGTAGGTACGATTAACATCCCCATCCTGCAGTTGAGTAAACTGAGGTGCAAAGAGTTTAACTGGGAGCAAGGGACATATTTTGCCGGAAGGTGTTTTAGGAAAAACTCCTAGGAGAAGGTGATGTCTGAGAAGGATGTGTAAGAGAGCCAGGTACACGTAGGGTGCAGGAGGAAAGTGGAGTGAGGACTGCTCCCTAGATGTAGCCATGCCAAGGTATGGAGGTGAGAGATGCTGATACAGGGCAGGTGAGCCCAAAAATTGGGGCTTAGCCAGGGAGGGTTCTTGGCTTCACCCAGCAAGGAATTCAAGGGTGAGCCAGGGGTGTTAGACAGCAACTTTTACTGAAGCAGCAGTGTACAGCAGCAGCAGAGGTATCGCTTCTTGCAGAGCAGGGCTACCCTATAGGCAGTGTGCCCAGAGTAGCAGCTCAGAGGCAGGGCTGCAGTTATACCCACTTTTAATTACATGCAAATCAAGGGGCAGATTATGCAGAAATTTCTAGGAAAAAGGTGGTAACTTCTGGGTCACAGAGTCATTGTCATGGAAAGGGATGGTAACTTCTGGGTGTTGCTAAGGCGATGGTAAACTGACATGGGACACTGGTGGGTGTGTCTCATGGAAAGCTGCTTCCACCCTCTCCCTGTTTTAGCTAGTCCTCAGTTTGGTCCGGTATCTGAACCCTGCCTCCTATCTCAACAGCATGGCATCTTCTGTAAACAGTGAGTATGCAAGTTGACTTTACTGGGGTGCAGAGTGTATTGTGTTCTCAGGGACCTCAACAAGAGTTTTTTTCAGTCGAGTGCTGGGATGAATTAAGAAACCCATTTCCCATTTAGAAAAAAAAAAGTGCAGCTTATTCTCAGGGCAAATGGGAAATAGGTTAAGGAATGAAAAAAAGGGGATGAAATGAGAGTCAAGAGTAAAGATAATTCCTGATAGAACCTTGAAGAAGAGAAGAAATACATGGTGGTAATAGGAAGCAGAGATGGAATTAAGGGCAGGATTTATTTGAACTGGGAGAGACTTGAGTAGGTTTAGTGACTGGCAGGGGACAGAGCAAAGGGAGAGGTTGAAAGTGCAGGCAAAAGGGGTGAATGATGGACAGTGTTCTTGAGAAGAAGTCATAGGATCTAGAATGTGTGAGGAGGAAGGACCTTCTTCCTCTGGGAAGGAAAGGATTGTAGAGATGCATATATTTTGTAGGTGAGTGGGTAGATAGGCAGAGGAAGTGCTAGCTGATGTTTTTTGACTTGTGGCAATTTTGGTTGTAAGGAACAGAAACGTACTTAAGCTTGCACAAGAGAGGTTATCAGTTAGAATTGCATGCAGAAATCCAAGTATAGGTGCTTAGTCCAAAAGAAATCTTATGTTTTTCTCAAATATTGAGAATCTAGAGTAGGCAGATCAGGGATAGTATCAGCTACTTAAGGAAATAATAAATAATTAAAGCTCTTTCTAGATATCTGATTGACCAGACTCAGTGTGTAAATTTTGCCCTCATGGCCACATGTTTACTGTATCTCAAGCATCATGTCTGGATTCCAAGCAGGAAAGGAGTGCTGATATGGTTTGGTTGTGTCCCCACCCAAATCTCACCTTAAATTGTAGTAATCTCCACATATCAAGGGCGGAGCCAGGTGGAGATAATTGAATCATGGGGGTGGTTTTCCCCATACTGTTCTCGTGGTAGGGAATAAGTCTCACGAGATCTGATGGTTTTATAAATGGGTGTTCCCCCTGCACAAGCTCTCTTACCTGCTGCCATGTAAGATGTGACTTTGCTCCTCCTTCACCTTCCACCATGATTGCGAGGCCTCCCAAGCCATGTGGAACTGTGAGTCAACTATACCTCTTTCCTTTATAAATTACCCAGTTTCAGGTATGTCTTTATTTGCAGCATGAGGACAGACTAGCACAAGTGCAAAAGGTACATATCAGTTGAGCCTCTTCATTTTTTTCAATCAGGAAAATTTTTCCCTGGAGACACTGGCAGTAGTTTACCACTTATATCTCATTGGCCAGAGAAGGTCATATAACTCTCCTATTTGCAAGAAGGTTTGGGGAGGCAAATATATTTACTTTATTTTTAAATTTTTTAAGAGACTGGGTCTTGCTACATTGCCCAGGCTGGTCTTGAACCTCTCAGCTCAAACAATTCTCCTGCTTCAGCCTCTGAGTAGCTGGGACTACAGGCTCATGTCACTGCACCTGTCAAAGGTAAGTATATTTCATTGGTATACAGTCCCCTCAACAAAATCAGAGTGTTATTCAGGGCAAAAAGGAGAAGGGAATGTGGATAGGCAAATAGCAACGTCTACTGCAGAAGAATGCATGAAAAATCTCACCTGGGTGTGGCGGCTCATGCCTATAATCCCAGCACTTTGGGAGGCTGAGGCAGGAGGCTACATGAGGCCAGGAGTTCAAGACTAGCCTGGGCAACATAGCAAGACCCCATTTAGACAAAAAATTTTAAAAAAATTAGCCGGGTGTGTTGGTGTGCACCTTTAGTCCCAGCTACTTGAGAGGCTGAGGCGGGAAGATTACTTAAGACCAGGAGTTTGAAGCTATAGTGACCTAAAATCAGGCCACTGCACTTGAGCCTGGGCAACAGAGTGAGACCCTGTCTCTAAAATAAAATTAAAAAAAATCTCAGAAAGTCCATCTAACCAACCGAAGTAGAGCCAGACCTTACAGAGTTTGGAACTGGGAGCTAAGATGCTCCCTGTCTAATGAACAGCAGGGAATTGCTTTCTTTTCCCTGGGCATCAGCTCTGGTTTCCTTTCTCCACTCATCAGCATCTTCTGTTTATATGTTCTTTCTACTTGATATTAACCTTCACATACCCACATCGTGCTGGCTGCCCACATCACTTTCTTTCAGCTGCCTCAGTTTTGTAATTCCAAATTCAGGCAAATATCAGATTGGCTGATCCTAATTTTGTGAGCCAGGCTTACAAATTATTCATGACTGGCTAATCAATGGATGATGCATTGGACAGTGGAAGGGATCATGTGACTTGAATCTTGGCCGTGCTCTACAGGCATACATGCTACAGGAACCATGTGAGGTAGTTTCCCCTTGAAGTTATGGGGAGGGGAGATAATACAGGATTTTAACTTACTTTGGGAAGTAGAAGGCCAGGTCTTATTCTAAGGGTGATCAGAGAAGAGGAAGTTAAGAAAATTTATGCTATAGTTTGGATATTTGACCTTCATCCTCACGTTGAAATTTGATTCCCAGTGTTGGAAGTAGGCCTAGTGGAAGGTGTTTGGGTCATGGGGGTGGATACCTCATGAATAGATTAACTCCCTCCCTGAGTGGGAGTAACGAGCAAGTTCCACTGTATTAGTTCCCTTGGGAGCTGGTTGTTAAAAGGAGCCTGGCAAGTTGATCCCCTCTTGCTTTCTCTCTCATTATGGGATCTCTGCACATGCTAGTCCCCTTGGTCATCTACCATGAGTGGAAACTCCCTGAAACCCTCACCAGAAGCAGATGCAGGTGCCATGCTTCTTGTACAGCTTGTGGAATCATAAGCCAAACAAATCTCTTTTCTTTAGAAATTACCCAGCCTCAGGTATTTCTTTATAGCAACACGAACGGACTAATACAGTTCAGGAGACTACAGATCTGAAACAACTATGGAAAAAGAAACCCAGAAGATATTCACAACAGCATGAAGGGCTCAGATGAGTTTTGAGACCAGAATTTTGCAATTATTCCATTCTTTCTAATTATATGATTTCTTCCAGCAGAGCTCACAGCTAGTGAAGATGTGTGGGAGGCAATTACTGGATTCATCCAGGGCTGGCATTTTTCCAGGTAGGTGAGAAAGTCAGACATTGATACAAAAGATTAAAATATTAAAAAAGGAGCTAGGATGATTGTCAGCTGTTGCCAAAAAGAAATCTTAGAATTTAAGATCTCAGAGATGTGAGATTTCTTGTTGGATGGATGACTTTATGGTCTGGGGTGTGATCATGAGAGAAGATGGTCAAAGAAGAGTGGAGGTGAAGGCCACTGAGTTGAGCGGGCAAAAGATTTGAGAGGCATAGATAGTGAATGGGGTGCTGAAATGGATACTAAAGTCACTTGGGATAGTGGTAGTGCTTGGAACAGAGAGGAAAATGGTACACCAGGATATTTAGTAAAAAAAGAGAGTGGCTAGGAATGAGTGGGTAACTATAATGTAAAGGCATAAAGAGTTAAATCTAGAATCATTTTTGATCCTTCTTTCTTTCTTACTATCCATACCCAACAACTCAATAGATCTTATAAATTCCATCTCATAAGACTTTAATCTAACCCATCTATGTCTTCTATTTCCACTGGCATCACCCTAGTATAAGTCATACATTTCCTCCCACCTTTACTATTATGATAACCATCAATAAACACTTTTGAGACTTTCCAAGCCATTCTCTGCATTGTGATTTATAATTTGTGAAATTATGAATCTTATCACTGCTTAAGACTCTTCCATGGCTTCCCACTGCTCTTAGGATAAAACCTATGTGGGAAATTGTATCAGTGTTCAAAATATTTGATGCTCTTCCTGGATAAGGGTTCTACTTCCCTGTCTCACTAATGTTAATCATGGCCATGTGACTTGCAGGGACTCTCTATGCAGGAGGATTATATATTCCTACTCTGTTGAACACAAATGTAGCCACGTGGCTTGCTTTGGCTAATGGAATGTGGGCCAAAGTGATGTGTGTTATTTCTAAGCAGAAGCTTTAAGGGCCAGATATATGGCTTCTCTTTTCTCTCTTTTTCCTCTTTTATAAGACTAGCATTGGCCCAGATAAAGACTGATCCATCAGTCCTGAAGGCAACATGAAGACACGACCCACATGGACATATAACATGAATGGGAAATAAATCACTATTTTAAGATGTTGATATTTATTATTGTAGCAAAACTTAATACAGTCTGTAAGGCTCTGAGTGATTTAATGATTTGGTCCGACTTCTCCAGCCTTATCTCTCAAACATCTCCCCCTTTACATCACTTAATCTTATTTTTCTTCCAGATCCCAACTTAAATGTCACTTCCCCAGAAAAGCCTTTTCTAACTTCCCTTCTCCCTTGCAGCTCTGGACTAATTTAGATCACCTATTATTCTAGTTCATAACACCTTATTCTTTTTATTCATGTCACTCAAACACAGTCTGTAATTTTTTTTTTGTGAGTGTGATTATCTGTTTACCCCAGGAGAAGGTAAGTTCAGAGAGGGCAGACATTAGGTGGGTGTATTTCTTCATTATATTGCCGTGCCTGGTATACAATAAGCACTCAATTAAAATTTCTTCATCAAGTGGACAGATTTGAGTCCAGATTACAGGTGAGTCCAGAAGTCAGAGACAGTCTGATGCATCAAATATGAAGAGCTGGGGTGGAAAGCAAGAAATGGATCCAGTGCAAATGAAGACAGGTTGTGGATCAAAGGGAGTGGTGGTACGTGGAGAAATAATCAGATGCAAAAGTTTACAAAGGAGAGGTCACTTATAAGATGCCAGATGCCATTTCTACAGGCGGGGAGGTAGCTGTTCAGGGCAAAGAGCTGATGTGTACACTAAGCTACACCCAGCCCTTCCTCTCTCCTTTTCTCATTTTGTTTTTTCTCATTCCATCAACTTGTGGAGCATCTTCTGGATATTGGACTTTTTGGAGGATGCAGTAATAAATGAATTAATAGCTAGTTTCATGAGATTACCAAATGGAGAAGACAGATATGAACCTAGTAAGTCAGGCACAGTGGCTCATGCCTGTAATCCCAGCACTTTGGGAGGCTGAGGCAGGAGCATTGCTTGAGCCTAGGGGTTCGAGACCAGCCTGGGCAACATGGTTGATATGGTTTGGCTGTGTCCCCACCCAAATCTCACCTTAAATTGTAATAATCCCCACATGTCAAGGGCGGAGCCAGGTGGAGAGAATTTAATTATGGAGGTGTTTCCCCCCATACTGTTTTGCGGTAGTGAATAGTCTCACGAGATCCGATGGTTTTATAAATGGAGTTCCCCTGCTCAAGCTCTTTTGCCTGCTGCCATATAAGGGGTGCCTTTGCTTCTCTTTTGCCTTCTGCCATGATTGTGAGGCCTCCACAGCCATGTGAAACTGTGAGTCCATTAGATCTCTTTTCTTTATAGATTACCAAGTCTTGGATATGCCCTTACTAGCAGTGTGAGACCAGACTAGTACAATAGTGAAACCCTATCTCTACAAAAGCAAAGCAAAGCAAAACAAAACAAAACAAAAACAAAAACACCCAAAATTAGCCAGGTGTGGTGGTGCATGCCTGTGGTCCCAGCTACTTGGGAGGTTGAGATGGGAGGATCACCTGAGCCCGGGAGGTGGAGGTTGCAATGAACTGAGATTGTGCCACTGCACTGAAAAAAACAAAAAAACAAAAATCAAAACAAATAAATAAACAAACAAAAAACAGTAATAGATGAATCTTTCAAAAGGGAAATTCAGAGACATGGGAAATTTCAATGAGAAATAAGCCTCTCTTCACCCTTCCTGTCTCTGTTCCTTCTAATCAAGTGTCAGGACATTGCCATTGATTCAGAGAATCAATTTCCAGAATTTTATTTATTAAAATTTAAAACTTTAAAATCAAAGTAATAGTTATACATGGTAACAAGTCATATAATACAGAAGTGTTTACTGACAAAAAGCAACAGCCTTTCATTCCACCTGAAGTCTTCTCCCTAGAGGCAACTAACTTCTTTTTTTTTTTTTTTTTTTAACTATTTCTGTGTTTAGTTCTGTTTGTTTCCACTAGAACTTTGAGCACTATACTTACATCTCTATTTTTTGGCTTATCTACTGCCGGCAATTTTTATTTCTGTTTACAGTGTTCTTCTCCTTAATCTTTGCCTGCCCCAGTTTTACTCATTCTTCATGGCCTCAACTTAGGAACCACTTTATTTAAAAAGACCATAATCCCGTGGTCATAGCAAATTTCTCCACTAATCTTCTGGTGGTCATGAGCTACTGTGGTCTAGGGTCACTCAAGATGATAATAACATTATTTCTGTCTGGGTCCTGTTCAGTTCATGTGAAATGTCACAGGCATGTTCAGTGGGATGCTGCTGGTATATATGGGGAAGGAGACAGATGAAGGAATATGGGTGGGGCTCTAACAGGACCAGCTACACTTCTACATTCTTCGTATTAATTCCTATAGTCAGTCTTTCCTCTGTCTTCCACCGTATCTTGATGGAACTATACACCTTTGGTATATTCTACCTTCTTTTGTCAGTTCATGCTTTTCTCTTACTTTCCTGTAAGCTTCTGGGGGCAGAAACCATGTTTGATTCATCTTTTTATCCTTTCATGGCTTAGCAGAGGTCCTGCCACAGAGAATCTATTTACTCAATAAACGTTCACAAAATTGAATTGTGGGGGACACCATGGCTCCCCGGGGCACTATTAAATCAGATCCCTTCTTTCTTACCACCACCAAAGGATAATGTCAAGACATGGGCATTGATTCGGAGAATCCATTTCCAGAATTTTACCTATTAAAATTAAAAAAAATTTAAATCAAAACAATAGATATACATGGTAACAAGTCATGAAATACAGAAACACTCACTGACAGAAAACAATAGGTGTTCACTCCACCTGCAGCTCTCTCTCCAGAGGCAGCTTTTTTTATTTTTATTTTTTAACTATTTCTGGTTTTACTTCTTCTGTCTGTTTCCACTAGAACTCTAAATAGTATACTTACATCTCTATTTTCTGACTTATCTATGGCATGCAATTTTTATTTCTTCTTTGTGATGAAAAATGAGGATTTAGATTTAGTTCAGACAAATAACCCTTTCTCTTCTGTCCCCTTCTGAATATTTGGTGCATTTGTTTTTGGTTCTTCTAAATTTACATTTTCAACTTTATGCAATATAGTTTGTACACAGTTTCTATCTTCCCATTTTAAATTTTATCGGTGCTTTTTTCCTACGTTCTTTTTGAGATGGGGACATTATTTCCTTTCATTTTTCTTCCTGCCTCTACTCAACTCTCACCCTCCCCTTTTCTGTTACCCTTTTACTCTCATGTTGCCAAGACACTTAACAGCTACATTCTGTTCTTTAACAAACAGTTAAGTTGTTCTTTGCCAATAGGTTGACACTGAAAATAGAATACAAACTCATGCTTTCGTTATTATAATTATGTAATGGTCATTCACACCTGGAGCAGGGATTGAACTAAAATTATATTTTCTTCTTTACAGATCTAAAGTCACAACCCTTGGGTCACTCAAATAAGAATGTCCTAAGCCTCAAAGTTAAAAGATTTTTATGTTCTTACGGCAGTGGCTTAAAACCACACCACATTTAATTAGCTTCATATTTAGAGCATGACTTTCTCATAGTTTTTTAAGCCTGGAGTTTCTAATTGCTCTTTTACTTGTTGCCAAAAACATAATGTTCCTTTATCATATCTTCAGCTTTTCCACTCTCTCAATCAAATCATTTCTGTGTGTATTTCTTTGGTACATTCTCTCTTGAAAGACCTCTTGTTAGGAATGGGGAGTGGGGGACGGGGGGATGAATTCTTCTTTATTTTTGAAACATTTTAAAAAGAAATATAATTTTAAGGCCGAGTGCAGTGACTTATGCCTGTAATCCTAGCACTTTGGGAGGCTGAGATGGGCGGATCACTTGAGGTCAGGAGTTTGAGACCAACCTGGCCAGCATGGTTGAAACCGCATCTCTACTAAAAATACAAAAATTAGCCGGGCATGGCGGTGCATGCCTATAGTCCCAGCTATTCGGGAGGCTGAGGTGGGAGAATCACTTGAACCCGGGAGGTGGAGGTTGCAGTGAGCCAAGATCGTGCCATTGCACTCCCACCTGGGTGACAGAGTAAGACTCCATCTCAAAAAAAAAATGAAAGAAATATAATTTTAGGTGTGATTGTTACCAACAATATTCCAGATTCTGAATGATCCCCATGCCAAGCCTCTGGCTTTCTCACATTTTATCTGTCTCATGCTGGCTTTTCTCATATTTTCAATTTTGTTATTCTTTGTGTCTTCATTTACTTGCCAGTAAAATGGGGATAAGAAGCTCAAGTTATATCACGGGAAAATGATAGGAAATATAACTCTTGACCCTCTTTCGGAAAAAAATCTACATACAAGCTATAGTCAACACCTACATATAAGGTTATTAAGCTTAAAACAGAATAAACATAGCTTGGGAGAAATCTTCCTGTGAATAGCATAGGGAGATTCTAAAGTACATATTACTTTTATTTCTGTGATAGGGGCCATTAATTCATGATCTTTGGATTGGAGCACAGCCTGATATTAGCTTCAGGACCAAGACTTTCCAATGCCTGAGGGTGGAAGCATAGATGCCATGTTGAACCACATGCCTGATCCTTGGTGGGTGCAAATTCTGTCTCCTGCTTCTCAGTTTTAGGGAAAAATCCCCATGCAGGATTGATACATGGAGAAGAAAAACTCTTGGACTATTGCAGACCTCTTTCCTCTCAAAAGGAGCAGAGATCTCGTTAAATCTATGTGATCTTATCCTCCACTCTGAAGGCTAACACAGGGCTTTGGGTTACTCAGAATTAAAATGATTTGGAGGTTCCTTCTCACTATCCCTTAGAGTCTTGGTTTAAGGGGTACTTAGACAGATCCCACCTAACTCAGTAGACTAGGTTAAATTCCCTAGCAACATATGCTTTTAATTGGCCAAAGCTCTTTCCTTCTTTTTTTAAGTGGTAGATACTCAAATCAAACTTGTTTAAGTAGAAAGGGAAATAACTGAAAAGACCATGCAGCATTCATGGATAGCTCCATGGTGTGTATAGGGGCTGAGTTTATATTATGAAACTTGTCTGTCTCTCGTTTTTTCTTAACATTTGCTGCTGGCCCCATCTCTTACCTTCCCTTCCTCTCCTTTTCTTCCTCCCCTTCCTTCCCTTCTTCTCCTCTTCCTTCTTCTCTTCTTTCCTTCCTCTCTCTCTCCTTCCCTCCCTCCCTTCCTTCCTTCCTTCCTTCCTTCCTTCCTTCCTTCCTTCCCAGCCTGCAGAACTGTGAGCCAACTAAACCTCTTTCTTTATAAATTACCCAGTGTCAGGTATTTCTTTCTTTCTTTTCCTTTCTTCCCCCCACTCCCCCTTTTGTTTTTTGAGACAGAGTTTCACTCTTTTACCCAGGCTGGAGTGCAGTGGCATGATCTCAGCTCACTGCAACCTCTGCCTCCTAGGTTCAAGCAATTCTCCAGTCTCAGCCTCCCAAGTAGCCAGGACTACAGGCACGCACCACCATGCCCGGCTAATTTTTGTATTTTTAGTAGAGATGGGGTTTCACCATGTTGGCCAGGCTGGTGTCAAACTCCTGGCCTCAAGTGATCTGCCTGCCTCGGCCTCCCAAAGTGCTGGGATTACAGGTGTGAGCCTCTGCACGTGGCCAGGATTTCCTTTCTTCATAAAGCTGAATACTATTTCATTGTATGTGTAGAACACATTTGCTTTATCCATTCATCCACTGATGAATGTTTAGGTTGTTTCCATATATTGGCTGTTGTGAATAAGCCTGCAATGAACACAGGAGTGCAAATATCCCTTCGAGATCCTAATTTTGATTATTTTGGATAAATATCCAGAAGTAGGATTGCTGGACCAAATAGACAGCAATGCAATAATAGTAGGAGACTTCAGTGCCCCACTTTTAATAATGAATAGAAAATCCAGACAGACAGTCAATAAAGAAACATCAGACTTGAATAGCATTGTATTTAATAGGCCAAATGGACCTCACAGATATATATATATACACACACACATGAACAGCCTATTCCACCCAAGTCCAGAAGTTTACTCATTCTTTTATTTTTATTTTTTTAATTTTTTATTTTTTTTATTATACTTTAAGTTTTAGGGTACATGTGCACATTGTGCAGGTTAGTTACATATGTATACATGTGCCATGCTGGTGCGCTGCACCCACTAACTCGTCATCTAGCATTAGGTATATCACCCAATGCTATCCCCCCCACTCCCCCCACCCCACCACAGTCCCCAGAGTGTGATATTCCCCTTCCTGCGTCCATGTGATCTCATTGTTCAATTCCCACCTATGAGTGAGAATATGCGGTGTTTGGTTTTTTGTTCTTGCGATAGTTTACTGAGAATGATGATTTCCAATTTCATCCATGTCCCTACAAAGGACATGAACTCATCATTTTTTATGGCTGCATAGTATTCCATGGTGTATATGTGCCACATTTTCTTAATCCAGTCTATCATTGTTGGACATTTGGGTTGGTTCCAAGTCTTTGCTATTGTGAATAATGCCGCAATAAACATACGTGTGCATGTGTCTTTATAGCAGCATGATTTATAGTCATTTGGGTATATACCCAGTAATGGGATGGCTGGGTCAAATGGTATTTCTAGTTCTAGATCCCTGAGGAATCGCCACACTGACTTCCACAATGGTTGAACTAGTTTACAGTCCCACCAACAGTGTAAAAGTGTTCCTATTTCTCCACATCCTCTCCAGCACCTGTTGTTTCCTGACTTTTTAATGATTGCCATTCTAACTGGTGTGAGATGGTATCTCATTGTGGTTTTGATTTGCATTTCTCTGATGGCCAGTGATGATGAGCATTTTTTCATGTGTTTTTTGGCTGCATAAATGTCTTCTTTTGAGAAGTGTCTGTTCATGTCCTTCGCCCACTTTTTGATGGGGTTGTTTGTTTTTTTCTTTATACACATTTATTTTTTGTTCTGGAGACAGTAATGCAATATAAAACCTATTGAATGGTTACTTCTGTGCCACTTATTTCTGCGTTTTAAAAATTATTTTTAAATTTACATATGCTTTTTTTGGATGTACAGTTCTGGGAGTTTGACAAGCCCATAGACATTGACTTTAGTACCTAATTTTGCATTTGTACCTTTGTATTTTTTTTAGATGCTCTCCTTTCCCCAAATGACAGTCAGCCCTCTGTATCCTCAAGTTCCACATCTGTGGATTTGACCAACCACAGATGGAAAATACTAGAAAAAAACTACAATTAAAAAAATAATGATACAATAGAAGATAATACAAACAAAAAACAATGCAGTATACCAATTATTTATGTAGCATTTACATTGTATTAGGTATTATAAGTATCTAGATATGATTTAAAGTATATGGGAGAGTGTGTGCGTTATATGCAAATACCATGTCATTTATTTATTTATTTATTTATTTACTTTTTGAGACGGAGTCTCACTGTCGCCCAGGCTGGAGTGCAGTGGCGCGATCTCGGCTCACTGCCAGCTCCGCCTCCCGGGTTCACCCCATTCTCCTGCCTCAGCCTCCCGAGGAGCTGGGACTACAGGCTCCCGCCACCCCTACCTGCTAATTTTTTGTATTTTTAGTAAAGATGGGGTTTCACTGTGTCAGCCAGGATGGTCTCGATCTCCTGACCTTGTGATCTGCTCTCCTGGGCCTCCCAAAGTGCTGGGATTACATACGTGAGCCACCACGCCAGGCCTGTGTCATTTTATATAAAGGCCCTGAGCATGGATTTTTGTATCTGTAGGGGGTCCTGGAACCAATTCCCTGCAGATGCTAGGGGACAACTGTATACAAGCTTTGGGCTCCATTAAATTAGAATTTGCTTGGCTCAATTTCTTTGTTTATTGACTGGCTTTCCAGTGATTGCATGGTCATTGTCTGTTTTCCTTATTACTATAACCCAGCATCTAGCGCAGTGCCTGGCACATGATAAATGCTCACTAAATATATAACAGGAAACTGTGGGTAAAGCAGTTCTCAGCAAACTCCTCCATTCCCAGATCAATCCTGGGACATATGCAATGCCTATTATGAGGACTTAGCGTTGCTTGAGCCACTGGGGCTCGCGTTCCCAGGAATGCCTACCAGTGTCTCAGTGTCCTCTATGTTCATGTGCTTCCTATTTTCTTTTGCTATTTTTCTATCACAAGGGTTTCAGTATCCAAAAACATCAAGTCTTGTTTTTCGCTAGCTTTAGTTTGCAAGATTGGAATTTTATCTTGGTCCTTTTTCCTGAATTTCTACTTGAGCCCTTTATGGTTCGTTTCCAAGTCTGGAGTCTTGATTCTGAATCCTAGCCCCCAAGGAAGGGTTTCCTAATCTTGGATCAATCTTCCCGGTGTTAATTGCCTTGTTGCCTGAGTTCTAAGAGGTGTCCAGTGTGGAGGCCCAGACTTGGACGTCTTATCATCTCTTGGATCCATGATTAATTAATTCCCTCAACAAATCTGTATTGTATACTATGTGCTGGGCATTGTGTTAAGGTGGACAAAACAAAAATTATCATTGACTCTGCAGAGCTTTCAGTCTAGACTGGGTTGGGGGAGGAGTAAGAGAGAGACAGAGAAACAGAGAGAGGAACCAAGCAATCAAACAGACAAGTGAAATGATTTTAATAACAGTGCTGTAAAGACAGTAACTATGGGATTGAGATAAAGAACACCTGGGGGGCTGGGGGATGTGTGCCACCTTGGATTTGTGGCCAGGCCATGCTGAAGAGGTGACTGGAGTTGACACCCAAGGAATGAGAAGATGTTAGCCATGTGACGAGTGGAGAAAGTACATTTTGGAAAGAGGGAGCAAATTGCATGAAGACTCCAGGGTGGGAAAGAGCTCTGTGGGTCTGAAGAACTGAATTAAGGCCATCTGGGGAGAGAATGGTGATGGAAGGAAGATGAGGTTGTAAGTAGGGGCCAGGTGCTGCAAGGCATTTAGGCCTTGGTAAGGAGCGTGGATTTTCTCCTGTGTATTATGGTAAGGCACATATGTGTTTAAGCAGGGGAAACTCCTAATAAGATTTATGTTTTTTAAAATTTTTCAACTTTTATTTTAGAATCAGAACATACATGTGCAGGTTTGCTGCAAAGATATATTGCATGATGCTGAAGTTTGGGGTAAGAATGATCCCATTACCCAGGTGAACATAATACCCAATAGGTAGTTTTCAGCCTTTTGCCCCCCTCCCTCTCTTGCTCCTCTAGTAGTCCTGTATTAGTCTGTTCTCCAGCTGCATACCCAAGACTAGGTAATTTATAAAGTAAAGATGTTCAATGGACTCACAGTTCCACATGGCTGGGGAGGCCTCACAGTCATGGCAGAAGAGCAAGGGACATCTTACACAGTGGCGGGCAAGAGAGAACTTGTGCAGGGGAACTCCCCTTTATAAAACTATCAGATCGACTGGGCGCGGTGGCTCACACCTGTAATCCCAGCACTTTGGGAGGCCGAGGCAGGTGGATCACGGGGTCAGGAGATTGAGACCATCCTGGCTAACACGGTGAAACCCCGTCTTTACTAAAAACATAAAAAATTAGCTGGGCGTGGTGGCACGCAGCTGTAGCCCCAGCTACTCAGGAGAATCGCTTGAACCTGGGAGGCGGAGGTTGCAGTGAGCCAGGATTGCGCCACTGCAGTCCAGCCTGGGCAACAGAGCGAGACTCTGTCCCAAAACAAATAAACAAACAACAAAAAACCATCAGATCTCAGGAGACTTATTCACTGTCATGAGAACAATATGGGAAAGACCCGCCCCCATGATTCAATTACCTCCCACCGGGTACCCCGATGACATGTGAGAATTATGGGAGCTACAATTCAGGATGAGTTTTGGGTGTGGACACAGCCAAACCATATCAAGTCCCCAGTGTCTGTTGTTCCCATCTTTATGTCCACACTTACCCAATGTGGTACATATACACCATAGAATACTACACAGCCATAAAAAGAACAAAATCATGTCCTTTGCAGCAGCATGGACCCAGCTGGAGGCCATTATCCTAAGCAAACTAACGCAAAAACAGAAAACCAAATACCACATGCTCTCACTTATAAGTGAAAGCCAAACAGAGGATTTATGTTTTAAGAATATTCTTCCTCCTGCTTTGCAGAGAATAAGTGCCAGGGCAGGGCAATCTCTATGCAGCCCTCCACGGTTTATGCAAACCACAATGTGAATGGTACCCTCTGGGGTGTTTCCTGGAAGCAGCACTTCTAGAAAGGCAAGAGTGGAAGGAGAAGATGATTTCAGATGGCTCTCCATGTGGGCTGTGTATTATACCTCCCTGGGGAGTTGCTAAAGACACAGTCACTCAGGGGTGTCTCCACCCTCAGGCTATTGTAAATCAGAGCCTCTGGGAGTGGGGCCAGGCATCACTGTAACTAGTGTTGCGAACCATAGCTTTAGAAGGATGTTACATCAGCCCAGGCAAGAGATGATGGTCATTTGGACTAGGATAGTGGTAGTGAAGAGAGAAAGAGGTGGAGGAACTTTGAGGTACAATAGACAGGCTTGGCTAAATGTGGATAGGGGATGAACGTGAAGAATCAAGACTTACTCCCAGGTTTCTGGTTGGGGAATTACTAGAGCAATGGTTCTCACTCAAGCATGCTTCCGGATCACCTGTAAGCCTTGTTAAACCACCTTCCAATCTAAAAAGTGACAAAATAGATGGAAAGAAATGAAGTTTTGAAGTTTTGTTAAATTGGAAAGTTTTCAGCCATGATTTCTTTAAAAAAAAATGTTATTTGTTATTGTTGTTGTTGTCCTATCCTCTTTCTTCTGTCTTTCTGGTTCTCTTGTGACAAAAATGTTAAATGTTTTGCTACAGTCCCACGGGTCCCCCGGAAGTGGAAGTCTGGGCTGTCTCACTCAGTCTGCTGGTGTGGTTGGACACAGGGCCACAATTTTTCTATGGTGTTTGGATGTAGTTAAGTGGTTATATTGTCCAGAGTTTTCTCTCTTGCTAGATTGCTCTTTTCCTGTTCTTTTTTGTTTTTGTTTTTTGGCAGAAAGATTGGGCTTTTATACAGGCTTTTTTGTTAGCTTCTTCAGCTTCAAGTCTGGGATACACAAAATGAAAAGAAACCAAGTGAGCAGATCCACGTGTTGTTCCTTGATCCCCAGCCAGTTTGCTTTCTCCTCATTTCAGAATCCTTTGCTTGTTTTATATGTAATGTCAAGGGTTTTTAGTTTTACTTAGTAGGAAGAATAGGGAAAATATATCTTTTTTATCTTCCCAGAGGCACAAGAACTGAAACCAGTTTCTAGAAAAAAAAAAAAATGTCTATTGGTTGGGCACAGTGGCTCAAGCCTGTAATCCCAACACTTTGAGAGGCCAAGGCGGGAGGAACACTTGAGCCCAGGAGTTCAAGACCAGCATGGGCAACATAGCAAGACCTCTTCTCTACAAAAAAAAAAAGAAAGAAAGAAAGAAAGAAAATTAGCCGCGCATGGTGGTGTGTGCCTGTGGTCTGAAGCTACTCGGGAGGCTGAGACAGGAAGTTCGCCTGAGCTCAGGAGTTTGAGGGTGTAGGGAGTCATGATTGTGCTACCGCACTCCAGCCTCGGTGACAAAGTGAAACCCTGTCTTGGAAAAAAAACAAACAACAAACAAACAAAAAACAATTTATAAGAGAAAAGTCTCTCTCTTATTGTATCTTCTTTTCCAAAAAAGTTATGAATGTTAAGAGCCTAGAGTATATCCTTTTATTCTTTCTCCATACACATTTACAAATATGCACATGCAAACACACACACACAGAATATTTGTCATTGTTTTTACCCAAACGAAATCATACTGTATATATTCTTGCAACTTCCTTTTCTCATTAATAATACATAATGGATACCCTTTTGGGCTAACAGTCATAGATCTAACTCATTCTTTATATTAGCTACTTAATATTCCATAATATGGAAGAGCCATGGTTACTTAACTTGTTTTTAGTTTTATTGCCTTCACAAATAATAATTTTATTTATATAGGATAGATTACCAAAAAAGGACAGATCAAGATAAACAGTACATGTACTATTTTTTTTTTTTTTTGAGATGGAGTCTTGCTCTGTCACCCAGGCTGGAGTGCAGTGACAGGATCTTGGCTCACTGCAACCTCCACCTCCGAGGTTCAAGAGATTCTTATGCCTCGGCCTCCCAAGTAGCTGGGACTATAGGTGTGCACTACCACACCTGGATAATTTTTGTATATTTTAGTAGAAATGGATTTTGCTATGTTGGCCAGGCTGGTCTCGAACTCCTGGCCTCAAGTAATCCATCTGCCTCAGCCTCCTAATATGCTGGGATTACAGGCTTGAGCCACCACGCCCGGCCAGTATATGTACTTTTAAGTTGAATAAACATGGCATGGTTATGGTTCCACAAAAGGCTCTGATGACTCACATTTCCCCAGTGACATGACAATATATGTTTCTTCTAGCATCTTGCCAGCTCTGGGAGTTTCCTCTCATTTTACTTTTTTTTTGTTTTTTTTTTGAGGTGGAGTCTCGCTCTGTCGCCCAGGCTGGAATGCAGTGGCACAATCTCGGCTCACTGCAAGCTCCGCCTCCAAGGTTCATGCCATTCTCCTGCCTCAGCCTCCCAAGTAGCTGGGACTACAGGCATCTGCCACCATGCCCGGCTAATTTTTTTTTTTTTGTATTTTTAGTAGAGACAGGGTTTCACTGTGTGAGCCAGGATGGTCTCGATCTCCTGACCTCATGATCCGCCTGCCTCAGCCTCCCAAAGTGCTGGGATTACAGGCATGAGCCACTGTGCCTGGCCTCATTTTAAATTTTTGCCTTTGTCGGGGTGAAATAGTATCTCATTTTTAATTAACATATATTTATTGGCCTGTTCCTGCCTTTTTCCATTTTCCTGTTGGGTGTTAGTATATTTCTCATCAGTTTGAGAGAACTCATTTAGCAGTTTTATTTGTTATATGCATTGCAAATACATTGTCTCTGTTTAACTCCAACCTATTACCAGAGCATCTGTGAACCTTTCCTCTAACACACTGAGCATGTTGCATTGTCCCTTGCTGACAATTGCTGTCTCTGCTAAAGGCTGTCTTCCTTAAGCTAAGGACCATTTTCTCAACTTCGTAGCTCTAGTCCCAAGCAGTTATTTGTGCATAGTAGGTGCTTAAAGGGTTTTTGAATTAATTGTTGAATTTCTTTCTCAATTAAAATGGTCCCTCGGTGTTTTCCTTCCTTTGTACCTCCCTAAGTGACACATTAATTACAGATGTTCCATCAAGTGTCAAGCTAACCTGAACAATTACAACTTGAAGCAAAGAGCACAGCCCAAATGGCGACATCTTCATCCTCGGAGATGAGCTGTTTGCATGAGGAAGGACAAGAAAATTGCACCATCTGCCTGGATATAGATAGAAAGACTTGGCTCCTGCAAGACATCGCATGAAGGAGGGGGGATGCACTTACTTGTTATTCCAAGCTATGATGGCTATTTTCATGTTATGTGTCATTTGTGGAACAATCTGATGTTACGGTTGGCTCAAAGCTTTTATGCCTAATGATCTGCTTCAAGGAGAAGGAGTGAAATAACGAAGGAAGTCCTTAATCCTTAGTCCTATGGACTGTCCCCCACTCTGGGAAACTAGAGAGGTCTGTGGTCAGCCAATGCTGCAGAAATAAAGTATGACAGAGAGTAGAGGGTTGAAAGGAGGTTTCAAGAAGGAGGAAGGGTGTGTGGAGGATAAGAAATGGTCCCCAGACAGTCTTGCTTCACTTCATTTCAAAGTCGTTTGCTTGTTTTATATATAATGTTTGGGGGTTTTAGTTTTACTTAGCAGAGAGAATAGGGAAAGGTGTACCTCCTTTATCTTCCCAGAGGCACAAGAATAGGTATGAATGGACATAAAGCATAAATGTATGTAAGGGACTGAGTAGACAGAGGTGTCTGGGGAGCATGCAAAGATTGCAGAGAGAACCCAGTCTTTGAAGTTAGACAAATGTCAGTTCTAATCTTCCCTATGTTACTGACTTACGCCATGTATTCAGACTAATTGATCACCTTAATGGCACAAGAACTGACAGCTACAGACACCAACCCCTCCTCCATCCCATCTCTCTGTGGCTTTGCCACAGAAAATCTCCATGTTCTATTCTATTCCACATCTTGTTGCTTTTGTGTTATGACTACTGTTGCTGACCCTTGAGTCTGAATTGAAGTTTGCTTTTAGGCTGACTTCTTAGATTCAACCTTAGATGCAACAAGATTCATCTTATTTCTGGAGGGCACCCTTACTTACCCAGGATGAGAAGACTAGTTTTTCTTTCTTTTTTTTTTTTTTTTCAGATGGAATCTCACTCTGTCATCCAGACTGGAGTGCAATGGTGTGATCTCAGCTCACTGCAACCTTTGGTTCCTAGGTTCAAGCCACTGTCCTGCCTCAGCCTCCCAAGTAGCTGGGACTACAGGCATGTACCACCACCCCTGATTAATTTTTGTATTTATAGTAGAGATGGGGTTTCACCATGTTGGCCAGGCTGGTCTCGAACTCATGACCTCAAGTGATCCGCCTGCTTTGGCATCCCAAAGTGTTGGGGTTACAGGCATGAGCCACCGTCCCTGGCCCTGAGAAGCCTAGTTTTTCTCTTATTCCATTTTCATAGCTAATTCTTGCTCCTGAGACCCCAATGTCAAAAAAGCCCAGCTGTCTATATAATCCTACCAGTCCCAGAGAGGGTGCACCTGGTCATGCTAGGACATCCTCCCTTGGCCAAATTAAATGTTCCTGAGCAGGGTCATGCCATCTCATATGGCAGCTCCTGCAATAACCATGTGACATGAGTATGGTGAAAGAAGAGGGAAATGATGCTGGGCAGAATAACTATCCAGAATCAAAGTGAGCAAAGAAAATGTGAACAAGGAAAGCAAAATGAAGATGATAGCATTCATTAATATGTATTACCCAGAAAAACATTTAAAAATGTCAAAGAACTACATACAAAAATCAAAAGACAGAAAAGAAAACCCCGAGTAAATTGAAAGACATGGCATTCTCCTAATTAGGAAAAGTCACTATTTTAAAGAGGTATGATTCCTCCCTAAATCCATACATGAATGGTTACAATTGAGTCCCAATATTTTTGGAATTTAGTAGTGTATTAGTCTGTTCTTACATGGCTAATAAAGACATATCTGAGACTGGGTAATTTATAAAGAAAAAAGGTTTAATTGACTCACAGTTCTGCATGGGTGGGGAGGCCTCAGGAAACTCACAATCATGGCAGAAGGGGAAGCAAACATGTCCTTCTTCACATGGCAGCAACAAGGAGAAGTGCAGAGCGAAGTAGGGGAAAAGCCCCTTATAAAACCATCAGATCTTGTGACAACTCACTCACCATCACGAGAACAGCATGGAGGTAACTGCTTCCATGATTCAATTACCTCCCACTAGGTTCCTCCTATGACATGTGGGGATTATGGGAACCACAGTTCAAGATGAGATTTGGGTAGGGACGCAACCAAACCATATCAAGTTGTTTGATAAAAACTTTCCTCTAGGGGAAAAATCATAGACCTAAGAACAGACAAGAAAATCTTGAAACAGAAGAATGATGATAAGGGACCACATACAATAACATATTATGAAGTTACAATAATAAAGCAGTATGGCACTAGTCCAGTGGAAGTATGGAACAAAATTTGAGAGTCCAGAAATGGACAGATCAGAATTCAGTGTCTAATAAAAATGGAATCTCTCATTGGTGAAGGCAGGAAGGGGTTATTCAATCAATGATGTTGTGGTACAATTGTCTATTCATTCAGGAAATAATTAACTGAAATTCCAAACTTCATCAGACACAAAAATCAATTGAAACTTAATTAAAATCTAAATAGGAAAAAGAAACACTAAGGGTGTCATAACACTATTAGTTATCACAAAAGCCCTAAAAGATAGCCATTTGATCCCAGTTTTGAAGATGTAAACAATGAGGCTCAGACAGACCAAGCGGCTTACCTGAGGTCACACAAAATCACACACCAGGAGTTCATAAGACATCCATAGTCACTTTGTTCTCCAGATGTCCCCATTAGGTAAATTTACCTTACAGTTTTCATTTAACCCAGCTCATAACTCCTAGCAAATGATTATTCTTTCTAGCCTAGGGTAGTACCCAGGCAGACAACCTGATGAAGACTTAAGTTCAAAAGACGATTCAGGCGCATACCTCCCCTCTCACATTGTGAGTGTTCCCCAGGGAGGGTCAGCCATTCCTTGCACAGACTCCATGGAGAAGACCATCAGGGGAAGTTGGAGCTGAATCAGACCCAGTGAGATTCTGGTGCTTTAACAGCATGGCTGCTGTTCTCACACTGCTATAAAGATACTGCCTGAGACTGGGTAATTTATAAACAAAAGAGGTTTAATTGACTCACAGTTCTGCATAGCTGGGGAGGACTCAGGAAACTTATAATCATGGCAGAAGGCAAAGGGGAAGAAGGCACCTTCTTCACAAGGCAGCAAGAGAGAGAAAGAGAGTGTGAGAGCAAGGAAGGCCACACTTTAAAACCGTCAGCTCTTGTGAGAACTCACTATCATGAGAACAGCATGGGGGAAACCGCCCCATGATCCAATCACTTCCCACGAGGTCCCTCCTTTGACATGTGGGGATTACAATTTGAGATGAGATTTGGGTGTGGAAACAGAACCAAAGTATATTAATGGCTTAAGATTGTCCTGAGGGAAAATGAGCAGGTACACCCTAAAAAGATGGTAGGTCCCCTGCCTACCCACTCTATCTCTTCTCACCAAAGAGTTTCTCCCTGGGGAACGGAGGCTCAGCCATGGCACACTCTTCCCAATCATGTTCCAGGACTGAGAGAGGAACTACAGGGGGCAAGAGACACAACATTAGGCACTCAATGCATTCAGGGTTGTAGTAGGGTCCCCATGGGGTGCTATACAGAATAGAGGGAGGCATAGTTGACTCTAACCCTAATCTCTACTGCCTTCCGGTCACCCCTAGTCTCATCCATTTCTTCATCTCCTCACATTTTCTATAGCATTCTCCAAGTCTAAGTCTAAGCCTCCCCAAGTCTCTTTCAGACCTTCCTGTTTCCCCTGTCCCTTCCAATTGCCTGTTTCTCCTGGTCTTCCTCCTCATCTCAGATTACTTCCCAACCCCTGTCTGTCTGCCCCCATCACACAGTTTGCCCCAGTCACTCCCCTGTGCTGCACATTCTAAACAGTCCCTCCAAGTCGCTTCCATCCCTCTACCTAATTCACAGAATAGAGAGCCCCTTTGGGAAAGATGTGTATGAGTTTCTCAGGCAGAAGAACTGGAAATAAAATTCCAGGCAAAACCGCCATGGGGATAACCAGGGAAACATCAAGTGCTCTGCAAACAGAAAAATTGTCAGCCACCTGAGTGAGGTGAGCATTTGTGTGGAGTGATGGGAGCAGAAGCTTGAGATGCTGACATCAGCCATATTGTGAAGGATTCAGTATTCTACACTAAAAGAAGCTGGACTTAACCCAATAGGAAATGGAAATTAATTGAAAAGGAAGTTCTGGAAGGCACTAGCCCCCTTCTTGACGGGATTTATAAGATACAATGGAAATCCATACCAATGAATTTATAATTTTTTTTTAATTTGAGACAGGGTCTCACTCTGTCACTCAGGCTGGAGTGCAGTGGCACAGTCTTGGCTTGCTGCAACCTCTGCCTCCCAGGTTCAAGCAATTCTGCCTCAGCCTCCTGAGTAACTGGGATTACAGGCCCCTGCCACAACACCCAGCTAATTTTTGTATTTTTAGTAGAGACAGGGTTTCATTATGTTGGTCAGGCTGGTCTCGAACTTCTGACCTCAGGTGATCCTCCCACCTCAGCCTCCCAAAGTGCTGGGATTACAGGGGTGAGCCACTGCATCTGGCCCCATATCAATGAATTTCTGTCTTAAAAACCCTGAAGATATCAGGAGTCCAAGACCCTCATCTGCACATTACTTTTAGTGATGCTGGTTATATAAACAGAAATGCATAAGGTTGGTGCTATCTAATAATTCTGTTTTTCTAGTAAGTCCAGGGAACCATAGCTGTCAAGCAGTGTCTTGGATGCTGCTTGTATAAATAAATCCTCTTTCTGCCTTCAGATCCTTTCTCCAGGCTCCTTCCTAAGGGTAATGGGGATCTCAGCCCCTGCTTCTACTCAGGGCCACCTTACTCTTCCCAGAAACAAACACTGTTCTCATATTCTGTCCATTCTGACCTCATGGACATTTAAACTCTTTTGCAATACATTTAAATTTAAATACATTTGCAATATGTTTAAGAACTTGGCAAACAACTTTTCTTTCTCTAAATATCTCTCTGTCTCTGTCTCCTTTACTGCCCCGTCCCTTTTTCTTTTTTCCTCTCTCTTGCAAAAATGTGCACAAAAAATTTTCCTATGAATATAAAACCAAAAGCATCATTATTTTAATTCAATTTATAATGGACATAAATTTTAATTTACTGGTATAAATAATCAACAGCTAAAACTGCACACAACAAACCTTGTTATTGACTACACATTGACAGAAGAGTCAAACTTTACTTATAAAAAATTTAGGTCTGTGAGTTTTGACCCAGGAAAAAAAAATGGACTTGATAGAAATAATGACTATTACACAAAGTAGAAGACAAGATCAATACAATTTGATATGGACAATACCTAATCAATACATCAGATTTTGTTTCAAATTTTAAATGGAAAAGAATTGATCCAAATGAAAATAATTTCAGTAGAGTTAATATTTTTGGAAATGGTCTAACTGTGCTATGTAGAAAATTGATCAAGGGATTAAATTGGCTTAATGGAATTCACTCTGGAAAACACTTTCTGGATGAAAAGTCTATCTGAGTTGATATAATTCTAATTAAAAGTCTTGAATTCAAAATGTTCTCAGGGTCAAAAGAGCAAGAGCAATTGTCCTCAAAGTCAAAACAGAGGGGTTAAAATGATGAGGTCAAAATGTCCTGTGGCATAGCAACCATTTTAAGTGGACACCACGCTGGGCCACTTCAGTTTGCTGCAAAGCAGACCTTTTTATCTCCCGCTCCCAAAAAATAAAAAAACAAACGCAACTCTATGGCTCTGTAGGAATAAAGTAGTCACACAGGGATATTTGAGTCTGTTAGGTACCTGGAAAACTAGTAAGAACAGAGAATAACAAGCGAGAACATAAAGAAGAACATTTATAAAATGAGAATAAGAGTAGAACCTACTCTTGGGATATTATGAGGATCAAATGAGATAATCCCTAAATACACTTAACTTTGCTGGGAGTGGTGGCTGGTGCCTATAATCACAGTATTTTGAGAGGCCAGGAAGAGAGGATCTCTTGAGCCGTGAGTTCAAGGCCTGCCTGGGCAACATAGCAAAACCCCATTTCTATAAAACATTTTAAAAAAATTAGCCGAGTGATATGGTTTGTCTGTGTGCCCACCCAAGTCTCACCTTGAATTGTAAAAATCCCCACATGTCAAGGGTAGGGCAAGGTGGAGATAATTGAATCATGGGGGCTGTTTCCCCCATACTGTTCTCATGGTCGTGAATAAGTCTCAGGAGATCTGATAGTTTTATAAATGGGAGTTCCCCTGCACAAGTGTTCTTGTCTGCCACCATGTAAGATGTGACTTTGCTCCTCCTTCACGTTCCACCGTGATTGTGAGGCCTCGCCAGCCATGTGGAACTGTGAGCCAATTAAACCTCTTTCCTTTATAAATTACCCAGTCTCAGGCATGTCTTTATTAGTAGCGTGAGAACAGACTCATACACCGAGAATGGTGGCATGTGCCTGTTGTTCGAGCTCCTCAGGAGGCTAAAGTGGGAGGATCGCTTGAGCCCAGGAGTTTGAGGCCACAGTGAGTTATGATTATGCCCCTGCACTCCACCTGGGAGACCAAAGATTTACATGTTAGTTATGAAACTCGGCTAAACTTAGAGAAACTTCTTATACTTGTGCTCCTCCTCCAAACTCAACTCCTGCCAACTCCTACTCCCCGTTTCCCAATGAATGCAGTGGTGCAAACACACTCATACATACCCCATCACAAGGAAATTCACAAAGTTCTGACCTTCTGCCATTGCTCTGGCTGTTCCTCTTCCTGTAATGCCCTTTCTCTCACCCCCAGTTGGAAGATATTTATCTGTTCTTTGCAACCCACATTAATGTCATTTCCTCTATACATTTTCTATTGGCTCTTCTGCTAGGATCCCAGAGCCCTTTCTCCATATCCTATTACCTCATATTATAGAAGTTTGTGGTTATATCCCCCAAAAAAACAAGTGTTCCTTGAAGACCTTTTTCTCTTTGAGTCCTCAGCACCTGGCAGCTGGCAGACACTCAGTAAATGTTTGCTGAGGCCAGATTTACTAATGACACCCAAATTAGGCTAACTCTTCCCATTTATTAGTGCAATCTGGTCTATTTTGCAAAGAGAATTAGATTGTATTGCCTTTGAATAGAAACACTTCTGGCTGGTAAGAGAAGTTCTAACGAAATGCCAATTTAAGTCTAGGAAAAAGATTCTGGAAGAGGTTCCACAGAGCTGTGCAGACTTTTGCCTGCAAAGATTTGTGACTGTTGGATTTATAAGAAGTGTTCCTCATCAACAGAGATTTCCTTTCTGACATAGTCAAAAGAGATTCAGGAACTATCCCCCTCACAGCTGCAGAAGCCTTAGGGAAGTAGGCCGCGTTGGCTTCTAGAATGGTGTGACGCCAGGAGATGCATTTCATCTCAATTTACCATTGTAGGATGATAACTTACTGAGACACTAACATGCTGAAGAATTACAAGAGTAAAAGTGCATTTGTGCTTTGGAATCTGAACTTTTTCCTCTCTCTGTGTGAGAAAGTAGCAAGGCCTTTGTCTTCTCTTTCTTCAATGTGTTTGCAAAGCAGGAAGTCAAAGTTCCAGGCCAGGCATGGTGGCTCATGCCTGTAATCCCAGAACTCTGGGACGCCAAGGTATGTGGATCATTTGAAGCCAGGAGTTCGAGACCAGCCTGGTCAACATGGTGAAACCCCACCTCTACTAAAAATATTTGATAGCTGGGCGTGGTGGCGGGCACCTGTAGTCCCAGCTACTCAGGAGGCTGAGGCAGGAGAATTGCTGGAACCTGGGAGGTAGAGGTTGCTGTGAGCCAAGATCGTGCCACTGCACTCCGTCCTGGGCAACAGAATGAGACACCATCTCAAAAAAAAAAAAAAAAAAAAAAAAAGTCAAAGTTCCTGAAAGACAACGTCTCTCCTTGGATTTTATGAAAACTTAAGACTACTAAGAAGATGAGACTAGGCGTCCTGGAAGAGGATGGGAGATTCGTGAGTGCCCAAAGTTGAGTACAGGGAGGAAACACTAAGAGGAAAGAGATTCCAACCACAAGAGGAAAGAGACAGAACTCTTTTTTTTTGAGATGGAGCCTTGCTTTGTCACCCAGGCTGGAGTGCAGTGGCATGATCTTGGCTCACTGCAATCTCTGCCTCCCAGGTTCAAGGGATTCTCTTGCCTCAGCCTCCCGAGTAGCTGTGACTACAGGACTACTAGCCAGCCCACCACCATGCCTGGCTAATTTTTGTGTTTTTAGTAGAGATGGAGTTTTGCCATGTTGGCCAGGCTGGTCTCAAACTCCTGACCTCAAGTGATCCACCCACCTTGGCCTCCCAAAGTGCTCCCAAAGGGAGCCACCGTGCCCGGCCAGAAACTCTTGGTAGTAAGGTTGCTAATCCATGCCCCAAGAGAGCCTGAAAAACTTGAGAGGACTTTTGGGGAAATGACTGTGTAGTGAGCCCACACCCAGCATGCCCAGACTTTCAGCCCGTGAGAATGTTCATGCCCAGGCACAACATGGAAGCTGAGCTTGCTATTTTCAAGGTACCAGGTGGGCTCATTATAGATAAGGGGTATGGACTAAGACCAGAAGGGACCTCCCCAAATATTTTATTCCACCAAAAACCCCACACCTCTTAGGTGGGCTGGACAAGTAGTGTGACCTTCAGTAAAAATAATATATGTAGGCTGCTGATTTGGAATTTGGATGGAATTAAAGAAAATAAAATAAAGGGAATGACATTTCTTGCACATTCTTTATGGTGGTTGTGAATTCATAGCTATATCATCAGAATGCTTTGATGGAGAACATGAGGACATGTGGAACCTGGCCACTTACATGGAAGGTACCATCAACCCACGTCTTCCCTGACAAGACTACTCCTTGCAGGTCCTCAAGGGCTCTGCAAACATGTCTTTGTTTCCTGATGGCTCAGAAGCTGTTAGGTCAAGGTTGAGCTCACCTGGGTGTGTTGCAGCTGGATGCAGATCAAACTCCTCATGTTTCACAACCAGAATTTAGATGCATTGAACTCATTGGTTACTACCAATATTTAAAATTCCAAAGCTTCTGAGTATATTTGTGTTTTTCATGAATCAGAGTAGTATATTTAGTTAATACATATGTATCTAATTTTATTATGGACCAGGCAGGGTGCTAGGCATAGAAGATGCAATGGGGAAGGAGCAGTTTTTCCTGAATTTTCTATTGCCTTCTTATGTGGGACTGCAGGTCTGGGATTAACAGCCAGCCTTCTGAGAATGTGCATCATTGTGTGTTTGCAATAAGAGAGGAAAAGAAGAGAAGACTGTTGGTCCGGATGTTTTAAGAGCATCATATACCGAAGTAGTGACTTAGTGAGCTCCTGCAAGGTGAACCGTGTTAGAGAACGCCTGAACCTATCTCAGCACATGGTATCACCTTCCATCTAGTTCTGTGTCTCTCAAGTCTGTTGATTAGAAGAATCCCCTGGGGAGCTTTAAAAATATGCCAGTGTTCAGGACTCTTCCCCTAGACCAATGAACTCAGAATATAGAAATTGACCACATTATGGAATGTATTAAACACGCTTCCAGGTGATTCCAAAGTACTGATGCCTGGTTCCCATCCCTCATGGATTCTGATTTAACTTGTCTATGCATGACCTGATTTTAAAAGCTCTTCCAGTTATTCCAATCATCAGTTTGGTAACTATTGGACACAATGTGTGCTCCCTGCCCCACGAGTGTAACTTGGGAGCTTATTAGAAATGCAAATTCTCTGCCAGGCACGGTGGCTCACACCTGTAATCCCAGTACTTTGAGAGGCCGAGGCCGGTGGATCACTTGAGGTCAGAAGTCTGAGACCAGCCTGGCCAACATGGTGAAACCCCATCTCTACTAAAAATACAAAAATTAGCTGGGTGTGGTGGCATGCACCTGTAATCCCAGCTACTCAGGAGGCTGAGGCGGGAGAATCACTTGAATCTGGGAGACAGAGGTTGCAGTGAGCCAAGATGGCGCCACTGCACTCCAGGCAGGTCAACAGAGTGAGACTCCGTCTCAAAAAAAAAAAAAAAAAAAAAAAGCAAATTCTCAAGCCCCACTCAGACATATTGAATGGGAAATTCTGGGAGTAGGTCCCGCCCTTCCAACAACAGCAGAATACATGTTCTTTTCAAGTGCTCATGGAACACATACCAAGATAGAACATAACCTAAGCCGTAAAACAAACATCAACAAATTTGAAAGAATTGAAATAATACAGTGTGTTCTCCAACCAAGATGGAATCAAACTATTTGAGAAACCTACATAATGCTGAAATTCTAGCCAGTGCAATGAGGCAAGAAAGGGAAATAAACACAGGTTGGAAAGGAAGAAATAAAATGACCCCTCTTTTCAGATAGCATGATTGTCTACTTAGAAAATCTAAAGGAATCTACAAACTAACAACAACAACAACAAAAACCCACCCTTAGAACTAATAGATAAGTCAGTACGGTCACAGGATACAAGATATACACACAAAAATCAATTGTAATTCTATAAACTAGCAACAAACATGAAATTGAAACAATACAATTTATCATAAACCCCCAAAATAAAATACTTAGTGTAAATCTAACCAAACATGTACAGAAGTTTTATGCTGAAAACTACACTATGTTGATGAGAAAGAAATCAAATAAAAGTTAAATAGATGTAGAGATGTACCATGTTCATCAGTCGAAAGCCTCAATGTAGTAGACATCAATTCTCAAATTGACGGTTTCATTGCAGTTTCTACCAAAATCCCAGCAAGATATTTTGGAGATATAGACAGGATTATTCTAACATTTATATAGAAGGAGCTACAGCTGGGTGTGGTGGCTCACATCTGTAATCCCAGCACTTTGGGAGGCCGAGGCAGGTGGATCACCTGAGGTCAGGAGTTCAAGGCTGGATGAAATCCCATCTCTACAAAAATACAAAAATTAGCCAGGCATGATGGCGGGTGCCTATAATCCCAGCTACTTGGGAGGCTGAGGCAGGAGAATCACTTGAACCTGGGAGGCAGAGGTTACAGTGAGCCGAGATCACACCACTGCACTCCAGCCTGGGTGACAGCATTACTCTGTCTCTCTTTCTCTCTCTGTCTCTCTCTCACACACACACACAAAAGAAAAAAAAAAAGAAAAGAAAGGAAATACAATAGCTAAAACAAATTTGTAAAAGAAGAATAAATTGGGAGGAATCATGCTGTCTGATTTGAAGACTTACTACATAGCTACAATAAACAAGACTGTATACTATTGGCTAAGTTAGGAAAGAAACAAAAAATTATAATTTGTCACAGATATTTTATAAGATGAAATAAAAATAAATGTTTAGAAAATGAAACAAAAAACAAATGTATATAAAGCATTCTTTTTTTTTATTGTCAGGCTTGGCAGACATAAAATTACTCTGTTGAAATCACTAAAAAATTTATAAATGCTTACTCTCAATCTGTGCATTTTGCTGTGGATTATGGACTGGCACCAGTTCCTGGAGCAACTTTGAGTAGCGCTGCCCTGGTTGGGGAATGTTTATTAAGCAGGTATGTAAAATACTGTTATTAATCACAGTAGGCTAGACCAGAGGTTCCCAAGGTGTGGAACACTGATCTCAGGGGGTCTCTAGGATTCTTTCAGGGGGTCTTCAAGGTCAAAAAGATTTCAAAGTAAAACTGGAACCATTTAATAATAAAACTGGCACTTAGGATGAATGAAGGCAGTGGTGGCAAACAGTATCAGTATTCACTATATTCTTACAGTGAATTTACATTTGAAAAGAATACCACTTTCACTTATAAAAGTCCTTGAGGTAGCAGTACAAATTATTAATTTTATTAAATCCTAAGCCTTGGGTACAAGTTCTTTTATTATTCTGTATGATGAAATGGGATGTACCCAGCACTGCTACTGCAAACCAAAGTGTGAAAAGCACTTATGCAGTTGAGTTGCAAGTCCAACATTACAGAGATTTTTCAAAATATAAAACAATGCCACTCTTCTTACTAAATTTTTGTTTTGGAAAATAAGGTTATATTTAATGACCTAGTTGCTTTTTAAAGTGCAACACCATTTTACTTGAAGGAATGACAGACAAACTATGGCTATTCGGACACAGATATTTGGCAGATATTTTCTTTAGAATGAATGAAAAGAGCCTATTTAAGGGAAGCAACTGGCAGGATGTATTTGTTGGAGAGACAAAGTTTATCTTCCAGGTGAAAATTAGAATTTTGAAAAACTTGTATCTGCCACTGTAAGCGTAATGGCTTCTCAAATTTTAGAGTCATTTCTGATGAAATTGGGCATATTAATTGCTATGAT
Organism: Homo sapiens; assembly: GCF_000001405.40. Taxonomy (NCBI): domain Eukaryota; kingdom Metazoa; phylum Chordata; class Mammalia; order Primates; family Hominidae; genus Homo; species Homo sapiens. Next base: position 25,356,542 of record NC_000016.10, read on the forward strand.
TTTTAAATTTTGTATAATCAAATGCGTCAACATTTGGAAGAGTTTCATAACTCAGTGAACCAATATTTTCCAAATAACCAATGAACAATGTTGCAAAATCATGCAGAAAAAAGGTCCATCAGACTATAAGACAGACCAATGTATTGTAGTGTAGTGGAGTATGAAAGGTTCATTGATAGGATTTCATATTTTACATTGCAAATAACCTTTAAGAAAATAAGCACTTGTCAAAGTTTGTTGTAGTTTCAAAGAAAAATAGCCACAATCATCTGAAAACATTATTACAGTACTCTTCCTGTTTCATCCACACATCTGTGTGAGGCTGGATTTTCTTCATTTATTTCATCCCAAACAACATATCACAACAAACTGATTGTAGAAACAGAGGAGAGAATCCAGCTCTTTTCTATCAAGTCATATGTTAGAAAGATTTGCAAAAATATGTAAAACGATACCTCTCATCTCACTAAATTTTTTTGTTTTGAAACAAAGCATTATTTTATTATTCATAAAGATATTTTATTTATAACATGTGATGAGTTATTATTATTATTATTTTTAGAGACAGGGTCTCATTCTATCACCCAGGCTGGAGTGCAGTGGTGCTATCATAGCTCACTGCAACCTCGAACTCCTGGACTCGAGAGATCCTCCTGCCTTGGCCTCCCAAAGTGCTGGGATTGCAGGCATGAATCACTGTGCCTGGCCAGTTATTATTATTATTATTATTATTTTTTGAGACGGAGTCTCACTGTGTCGCTCAGGCTGGAGTGCAGTGGCATGATCTCAGCTCACTGCAACCTCCGCCTCCCAGGTTCAAGCAATTCTCATGCCTCAGCCTCCCGAGTAGCTGGGACTACAGGTGCATGCCACCACGCCCGGCTAATTTTTGTATTTTTTAAGTAGAGATGGGGTTTCACCATATTGGCCAGGCTAGTCTCAAACTCCTGACCTTGTGATCCCCCTGCCTCGGCCTCCCAAAGTGCTGGGATTACAGGTGTGAATCACCGCACCCGGCCCGTTATTATTAATTTTAAATAAACAGATAAATATTTTTAAATTTTCTGCTTTGATTTCTAATATGGTAAAATTTTCCAGTTATAACCCATACAGACAGGACTTCTTTAAGATTGTAAAGGGATCCTGAGGTCAGAGTTTGAGAACTACTGATCTAGACCATGCTGCTGTCCTCCAGGCCATGAGTTGCAGATGGCATAGCTAAAAACATGGAAGCGGCCTGGATCCCTGGGCTAGAGGAGGGCAACACAGAAGAGCCACCCAACTACGTTGGATTGTTATGTAGATGAGAAATCAGCCTTCATAAATTTTGAGGTTTGGGGTTTGCTTGCTATGTAGCATAGCCTGGCCTAGTCTGCCTAATACAGCTCTGTGGTTTTTTTTTGTTTTTTTTTTTTTTTTGAGAAGGAGTCTCACTCTGTTGCCCAGGCTGGAGTGCAGTGGTGTGATCTCGGCTCACTGCAACCTCCACCTCCCAGGTTCAAGCGATTCTCCTGCCTCAGCCTCCTGAGTAGCTGGGACTACAGGTGCGTGCCACCATGCCCAGCTAACATTTTTGTATTTTTAGTAGAGATGGGGTTTCACTGTGTTAGTTAGGATGGTCTTGATCTCCTGGCCTTGTGATCCGCCCCCCTCAGCCTCCCAAAGTGCTGGGATTACAGGTGTGAGCCACCATCCATGGCCTATCTCTGTGTTTTAAGGGGATCATTCTGGCAGTAGTTTAAAGGGCTGGACTGGGATGGGGATGTGGATTCAAGGTGAGACTGAAAACAGGGAAATGAATTCGTAAGATTTTCCATTAGTCTAGTTCAGGGTCTGAACTGATGCTATGGTAGAGAGGTACAGCTAGGAAGGGAGAGGTTAGGATGTTTCCAAGACAGAATTACCTGCATTTGATTACCAGTCAGTGGGGCCGGGGCGGTAGGGATAAGGGAGGAGACCACTCCTCATATTGTCTTATGACCAATTTCTGCCTCAAAGAAAAAGTAGGGGTTATATACCCAGTAATGGGATGGCTGGGTCAAATGGTATTTCTAGTTCTAGATCCCTGAGGAATTGCCACACTGACTTCCACAATGGTTGAACTAGTTTACAGTCCCACCAACAGTGTAAAAGTGTTCCTATTTCTCCACATCCTCTCCAGCACCTGTTGTTTCCTGACTTTTTAATGATCGCCATTCTAACTGGTGTGAGATGGTATCTCATTGTGGTTTTGATTTGCATTTCTCTGATGGCCAGTGATGATGAGCATTTTTTCATGTTTTTTGGCTGCATAAATGTCTTCTTTTGAGAAGTGTCTGTTCATATACTTCGCCCACGTTTTGATGGGGTTGTTTGTTTTTTTCTTGAAAATTTGTTTGAGTTCATTGTAGATTCTGGATATGAGCCCTTTGTCAGATGATCAGGTTGCAAAAATTTTCTCCCCTTCTGTAGGTTGCCTGTTCACTCTGGGTATATACCCAAAGAATTATAAATCATGCTGCTATAAAGACACATGCACACGTATGTTTATTGCGGCACTACTCACAATAGCAAAGACTTGGAACCAACCCAAATGTCCAACAATGATAGACTGGATTAAGAAAATGTGGCACATATACACCACGGAATACTATGCAGCCATAAAAAATGATGAGTTCATGTCCTTTGTAGGGACATGGATGAAGCTGGAAACCATCATTCTCAGCAAACTATCGCAAGGATAAAAAACCAAACACCGCACGTTCTCACTCATAGGTGGGAAATGAACAATGAGAACACATGGACACAGGAAGGGGAACATCACACACCGGGGACTGTTGTGGGGTGGGGGGCGGCGGGGAGGGATAGCATTAGGAGATATACCTAATGCTAAATGACGAGTTAATGGGTGCAGCACACCAACATGGCACATGTATACATATGTAACAAACCTGCACATTGTGCACATGCACCCTAAAACTTAAAGTATAATAATAATAATAAAAATATTATATGAAATGGGAATAAAATATTATTTGCTAATTAATAAAAAAGAAAAAGTAGGGGTTAAAGAAAGACAGAAGTGAAATCAGTAGTCAGACAGCCCGGCACCACACCCTGGGCCTGGTAGTTAAAGATTGACCCCTGACCTAACCGGTTATGTTATCTATAGATTCCAGACATTGTATGGAAAAGCACTGTGAAAATCCCTGTCCTGTTCTGTTCCATTCTGATTACCAGTGCATGCAACCCCCCGTCACGTACCCACTGCTTGCTCAATCGATCACAACCCTCTCACGCAGACCCCCTTGGAGTTGTAAGCCCTTAAAGAGAGGACAGGAATTGCTCACTCGGGGAGCTCGGTTTTTGGAGACATGAGTCCACTGATGCTCCCAGCTGAATAAAGCCCTTTCCTTCCACAACTCGGTGTCTGAGGGGTTCTTGTCTGCAGCTCGTCCTGCTACAGGGGATTGACAGGGAGAAGCCTTCAGAAGTTGGATTTTGGTTTCTGGGGAAATGGAGAAGTGATTTACAAGATCAGCAAGTCAGTGTGCCTTGCAGAAATTTTGTGTGTTTTGAAGGGAAAGGGCAGGATGAGTTCTACTTTAAACATCTAAGTTTTAGTTGTGGCCCATCTGAGGCCTATTCAGACAGAGAATAACAATTAGTACTTATGTGACTATTACTATGTATGATACATGATGTTAGGCACCAATGATACTAACTCATTTATTAAGAATATATGAAGAAGATATTTTTTTTTCTCGCTCTGTCACCCAGGCTGGAGTGCAGAGGCGTGATCTCAACTCACTGCAACCTCTGCCTCCCAGGTTCAAGTAATTCCAGGTGTGAGCCACTGTGCCCGGCCCTTGAAGAAAGTATTCTTATTATCCCCACTTTATAGTCAGGGAAACAGACATTGTTACCCATCTGTTACCCACCGCAGTGCCTACATGACTTAGCTGAATTCATACTCAGCCTTAACTCTGCCTGTCTTTAGGAAACAGGCTGTCTGTGGTCAGAAGTTCTTCCTTAGGACTAAACTGGTCAAAGATGGCAAAATCCAAAATGGCAGCAACTGGACCTCTGAAGAACCTCTAACTTCATTATCATCCAATTTCCATACCAAATGACACTCCCTCTGGCACCATACAGTTGACAGTCACCATGACAATGACTGGAAAAGACCACAGAAGGAAAATCTCCTCCCCTTTTTAGAAAAAGCATGGATATTCCTCCCCTTGCTTTTTATCCCCAACCCTTTCATTAATGATACCCCCTATTGGCCGGGCGCGGTGGCTCACACCTGTAATCCCAGCTCTTTTGGAGGCCAAGGCAGATGGATCACGAGGTCAGGAGTTGGATCCCAGCCTGACCAACACGGTGAAACCACGTCTTTACTAAAAATACAAAAATTAGCTGGGCGTGGTGGTGTGGGCCTGTAATCCCAGCTACTCAGGAGGCTGAGGCAAGATAATCGCTTGGACCCGGGAGGCAGCAGTTGCAGTAAGCTGAGGTCGTGCCAAGCTCCCACTTCTGCACTCCATGGCTATCAAAGAAAGCCTGCACTGCTTGATGCTCTCTTCTGGTTGCATTTTTTTTTTTGAGACTGAATTTTGTTCTTGTTATCCAGGCTGGAGTACAATGGCGTGATCTTGGCTCACTGCAACATCTGCCTCCCAGGTTCAGGCGATTCTTCTGCCTCAGCCTCCCGAGTAGCTGGGATTACAGGTGTTCACCACCACACTCAGCTAATTTTGTATTTTTAGTACAGATGGGGTTTTTGCCATGTTGGTCAGGCTGGTATTGATCTCCTGACCTCAGGTGATCCACCTGCCTCGGCCACCCAAAGTGCTGGGATTATAGGTGTGAGCCACTGTGCCTGGCCTCACTTCTGGTTTCATATATTGGCTTCATGACGTCAATCAGGAAAGAGCTCACCTTTTGATATAACTGGGATCCCTAGTAACAACATGGGAGTGTAGTGACTTCTCCGAAGATCACCCAGCTAGTGAGTGACAGACTCAGGATTGAGACCCAGGCACTTGAGTTCCAGAGTCCACGCTTCTAGTCACTATGCTGTTTTATCTCTGGATGCTCAATAGCTGGTTAACAGTCTGACTCCAGGGTTCAAAGAGAGCTCTGGATTCTTCCAGGCATTACATTGTATATTTGTTAAATTCCACCAGAAAGCCCTTTATCTCCATAAGGAGAAGACTTTTCCCTTTGTTTGGCCATATTAGGAGCTGCAGGGTTGAGCAAAGTGTTCTGATCTGATGGTCTGTCTGAAGGTTGGCAGCTCCTCTCAGAATCCTCCACTTAGAGCAGAGGATCCCACCTTTCACAAGCCTGGCTCAGCCAGCCAACACAAACAGGGAAATGAATGTGAAAAATAGTGGGTAGCCGTGAGGGCCTTCCAAACAACAGCAAGAATTCACCTTCTCTGGCTTTGAGACTCTGGATGAACGAGTAAAGTGCATTGCACCACTCACCTTGTATTCTATTTAAATGGTGCACTCTGGAGTTGCTTCGTGTTGGCATACCTCATTGTCACCCACTTAGCATCAGTTTCCTGTTTTCCTGTGGACTGCTGTTCGAGTCACTGCATCAGTATTTGGCATCACTTTTTGTGTTAACTTGATCATAATAAGATCCTCCATTCTGTTCTTACCTCATTAAACAGGATTTGGAATCTTACCCAGTGTTTTGCATTGCCACTTTTATTTGGTGATGCTGGCATAGTGTAGGTGCCCGACTCAATATCTCAGAGGGGAAGAGGTGAAGAAGGAAAAAAAGATCTCAGATTGCAGGTGAGGCTTCTGCAGGAAGCTGGGAGGGAGTGGCCCTGATAGGCATTGCTTTGTTGGTTTATGGGACCTTAGATGGGAAATAAAAAGAATGCTCAAGCTCCCTCCAACCCTATCCTGAGAAACCTCTGTTATAGCCAGGATGAAATCTGTAAGATATTAATATGTATTTCAAGATGTATGTCAGTGTCCTTGACTTATGGTTGAATTCAACCATAGATAGTGTAAATGGACAGATGTACAATTCCAGAACATCTCATTGAAATAAAAGCTTTATTTCTTTCAGGTTCAGATTCATATGTGTAGCATACTTCCTATGTTCCAGGCTCTCTTATGACAGTTTTTAAAAGTATTTATTTGTACAGTATTCCAGATGTTAACAGCCTGGGTGTTCCTAGGATCTTTGTCATACTGGGGTCATCTTGGCCTTTAAAATTTATTTTTATTTTTAATTAATTTTTTAAATTGTTATGAATTTAGGGGTACAAGTGTAGTTATGTTACATGGATATATTGTGTAGTGGTAAAGTCTGGGATTTTACTGTACCCATCAACTATATACTGTACATCGTACCCGATAGGTAGTACCATAGTACCCCGTTCCCATCCACCTACCTTTTGGATTCCTCAATGTCTATTATTTCCATCTTTATGTTCCTGTGTGCCCATTGTTTAGCTCTGACTTATAAGTGAGAACATGCAGTATTTGACTTTCTGTTTCTAAGTTACTTCACTTAGGATAATGATCTCCAGTTCCATCCATATTGCTGCAAAACACATAATTTCATTCTTTTTTATGGCTGAGTAATATTCCATGGTCAATAGATGATTGGCTTTAATACAGTCATCTGTTGATGAACACTTAGGTTGATTTCATGACTTTGCCATTGCTTATAGTGCTGCGATGAACATATGAGTGCAGATACCTTTTTGATTAAATGATTCCTTTTCCTTTGGGTAGATACCCAGTAGTGGCATTGCTGGGTCAAAGGGTAGCTCTATTTTTAGTTTTTTGAGAAATCTCCATACTGTTTTTCATAAAGGTTGCACTAATTTACATTCCCACCAACAGTGTATATGTGTTTTCTTTTCTCTGCAGCCTCCTCAGCATCTCTTGTTCTTTGACATTTTAATAACAGCCATTTTGACTGGTGTAAGATGGTATCTCACGGTCGTTTTAATTTGCATTTCTTTGATGATTAGTGATGTTGAGCATTTTTTTCATATAATTTAAATAAAATTTGTGTTAGCTTTGTAAACATCAGAGTCCCAGGAGGAAAGAATGGCATACTCTATAGAGGTTAACTGGGAAACTCACACCTGGGTTTCTTGGCATTCCAAAAGTCTGCACATATGTTCTCTGTATGTAAAGCCTTCAATGAATGTTGGAAATGCCTTTTAGTATCTAGAGGAAGCATCCCAAGTAGTATAGGCTCAAGGACTAAGGAGCCAGTAGGAGTTGGTGAAGCACATGGAAATAGCACCAGCAGGGAGCTGTGACCAGCCTCAGGCACGAAGAAGAAGGGAAGGGAGAGACTAGCAGTGTTATTGGAAACTGAAACAGCTGTAGACATGGAAGAGGGCCAGCCAGCTAGGAGTGGTGGCAGTAGGTGGATTCAGGGCTCTATTGGGGGCCAGGACTAAATACCCCACCCTCTGAGCTCTTGCTGCTGCCTCCCATTGACTGCTCCTATCCAGCAGGCAGAGGGCGAGGGATGTCTGGTGATTCAATCTGTGGAGCTAATTATCCTCCTGGACACAGAACAGAGCTGTGAAGAGTGTGGAGTGGAACTAGGACACACTTCTACCTCATATGCAGTAGGAAATCCAATTTTTCAAGAGGTTCTTAGAGACCATAAAGCAGGAAAGGAGACCCAGAAGAAACTAGGTTATATGCCATCACAGACACCCCCTAAGATGTAGAGGGTGTCTGTGATGACATATAATCTAGTTAACCTAGCTTAAACTAACGAATATTTATTGCTGCCATGTAAGCAATAGTGAGAGGTCAGCCCCACATGGTCACTCAGGGACCCAGGCTAATGGTGCCCTATGTTCTTATAGGTTCCAGAGGGAACATGAAGCCTTCTCAGTGCTGAAGACGGAAGGGAAGTGTGCATGCCCTTTCCACTGCTTTGTCCTGGAAGTGACAGACATCATCTCTATTCACATTTTATGAGTCATCTCTTCTTTTCTTTTCTTTTTCGAGATGAAATCTCATTGTGTCACCCAGGCTGGAGTGCAGAGGCATAATTATAGCTCACTGTAGCCTTGGCCACCTGGGGTCAAGTGAGCCTCCTGCCTCAGCCTCCTGAGTAGCTGGAACTACAGGTGCACAGTGCCATGCCTGGCTATTAGGTTAATGCAAAAATAATCACGGTTTTTGTCATTGCTTTCAATCTACATTTACTTTTACTGCAATTGCTTTTGCACCAACCTATACTTTTTAATTTTTTTTGTAGAGACAGGGTCTCGCTATGTCACCCAGGCTGGTCTTAAACTCCTGGCTAGCTCTTATTTTTTAGCTTTGTTTCCCTGCCCTACTTGAAATCCTTTCCCCTCTCCTGGAATTTCTCCCCTCTCCCCACTAGATTCCTGTTTATTTCTTTTTTTCCTTTTTTTTTTTTTTGAGATGGAGTCTCGCTCTGTCACCCAGGCTGGAGTGCAGTGGCACCATCTTGGCTCACTACAAGCTCCGCCTCCCACAGGTTCACGCCATTCTCCTGCCTCAGCCTCCCGAGTAGCTGGGACTACAGATGCCCGCCACCACGCCTGGCTAATTTTTTGTATTTTTAGTAGAGATGGGGTTTCACCATGTTAGCCAGGATGGTCTTGATCTCCTGACCTTGTGATCTGCCTGCCTCAGCCTCCCAAAGTGCTGGGATTACAGGCGTGAGCCACTGCGCCCAGACTTCTGTTTATTTCTTATACAAACCAGTTAATTATCTGTTTTTTTCTTACCCTAGAGTAACCTGGCTTTGTTTAGAATGGCTCAGTTCATAAGCAAAAATATCTATTAAGTATATTCTCATGAAAGAATAGGTCAATTCACTTCTTGAGAGAACTCCTGAGGTTAGCTTAAAAAAAACACAAAACCTCATTTTTCCCCTGACTTACACTTTCTTTACTTAAAAATGGCTACATTAAGAGTTAGAGAGAAGCTCTAGGCTATTTACCTATGGCCACGTAGAATTTGACTCATATTTCTTGACTCTGTGTCCATAGCTCTTTCCTTTATCTGACACCATTTCTTTTCTATATTCTCTTCCTAGAAAAAAAAAAAAAAACGCTCTTCCCTTAACACCATCTGCCTGGCTTTTCTTTAATCTTGTGCAGTTCAGCTCTGCATATCAAGAAGCCAACACCTTGGTAAGAATCATTAATTTTCAGAAGCTTTTATTTCCGTGACTCCAAAGATAATTGCTAAAAATAGGTGTATTCCCTGCAAGATGCTGTTAAAATCAACTCGTTTTGTGGTCAGGCTTCCCAAAGGCACCAAGGCCGTGTTGAGAATGCAAGTGTTTTAGCAGCTGTGACAAACTTATCCCATGAACAGGCATGCAGTCAATAATTAGTTTTCAGAGGCAGCCTTTGGTACTCGGAGTTAGAAGCAGGTGGGTACACATGCCTGGAGATGCCCAGGTAGACTTGGAATTTCCCAAGAGGGGAACGTGCATCATTTTTCAAAAATGCAGGAGTGGCATGGGGAAAAGAAGTTAGCTGGGAAACTCACACCTAGGTTTCTTGGCATTACAAAAGTCTGCAAATATATTCCCTGTATGTGAAGCCTTCCATTAATGTTGGGAATGAATGCCTTTTAGCATCTAGAGGAGGCATCCTGATTAGCATAGGCTCAAGGTCTAAAAGAAACTAGAAGCAGGTTACAAGTGGGTACAGTTCTTAATTTCTGTAGTCCCCACTTAGGTCCGTAGAGGGAGGTAGTTCTGCTAATGCTTCTGTTTTCTTTGCAGTGTGGGGAGGAAGTTTATGCATTTGGGCAAGGCATGGCTTACTTCCTCATTGGGTGATCCAGAGGCAACTGTTACACTTTTCCCTCTCCCTCTGTCTGTGGTCATCCTTCCTCCACCTCTCCCTCTCTTCCTCCCTTCCTGTCTTTCTCTGTGCTTCTTTGTATCTGCCGTCCTTCCTCTTGTGGACCGATCTGCTCCCAGGTACAACGAGGACTGGCATTTCCTTCTTCTTGTAGAGACCAGGCAGACTCTTCTGTGTTTGCCTTTTCACACACTCTTCTGTGTTTACAGCTTTTCAACCTGTAACTGGGTGGGGAAATCTGGGTCATGCTGGTCTGAAAGTCTAGATTTGTAAGGGGAGCCATGCGATGCTCTCCAATTGAGCTTCATAAGGAAAACTAATTCTGCAGTTGATCCTCCTCTGGCTCTTTGAATGTTTCCCTCAAATAGGTTAGAATCCACAGCAGGAGGAAAGGGCATGACTAATGTCCCTGAATTTTCTGCACACGGATGGCTGGCTGGGAACTCTGAAAAGTTCTACATGAGGACTAGCCCTTGAAGACTAAGGACGATGTGGGGAAACACATTTCTTATTATATCACAATGTCACAGAGATATTTATATTTTTCTTGGGGTCAACAGGGGTTCATTCTCTCAGTGATCGGGGGTGAAGCCAGGTTGGGAAAGCAAGGGAAATTTGCCTCAACACAGGCTATTGCATGCAGTGGATGCACTTTTTAAATTTAAATTTATGGCTTTTTGCTAAGATCCATGGTTTAAAAAAAAAAAAAAAAAAGAGTATAGGCTGGGCGTGGTGGCTCATGTCTGCAATCCCTGCACTTTGGGAGGCCGAGGTGGGTGGATTGCCTTGAGCTCAGGAGTTTGAGACCATCCTGGCCAACATGGTGAAATCCCATCTCTACTAAAAATACAAAAATTATAATCCCAGCACTTTGGGAAGCCAAGGCGGGTGGATCACGAAGTCAGGAGATCGAGACCATCCTGGCTAACACGGTGAAACCTCATGTCTACTAAAAATGCAAAAAAATTAGCCGGGCGTGGTGGTGGGCGCCTGTTGTCTCAGCTACTTGGGAGGCTGAGGCAGAAGAATGGTGTGAACCTTGAGGGCAGAGCTTGCAGTGAGCCGAGGTTGCGCCACTGCACTCCAGCCTGGGCGACAGAGCAAGACTCTGTCTCAAAAAAAAAAAAAAAAAAATTAGCTGGGCATGGTGGCATGCACCTGTAGTCCTAGCTACTCAGGAGGCTGAGGCAGGAGAATTGCTTGAACCGGGAGGTGGAGGTTGCAGTGAGCTGAGATCGTGCCACTGCACTCCAGTCTGGCAAAAGAGTGAGATTCTGTCTCAAAAAAAAAAAAATTAAATTTTATCTATTTATCTTCTTTACATATATATTTTTGAGACAGGGTCTTGCCCTGTCACCCAGGCTGGAGTGCAGTAGTGCAATTATGGCTCACTGCAGCCACCTAATTTTTAAATTTTTTTGTAGAGATAGAGTCTCACTACGTCGCCCAGGCTGCTCTCAAACCCCTGGCCTCAAGTGATCCTCCCCACTCAGCCTCCCATATAGCTAAGATTAGAGGTGCATACTCTTTTTTTTTTTTTTTAAATTTCAACTTTTTTTTAAGACTCAGGGTATATGTGCAGCTTTGTTGGGTATATTGCGTAATGCTGAAGTTTGGGCTATAAATGATCTTTTCACCCAGGTAGTGAGCATAGCACCCAATAGGTAGTTTTTCAACACTTGCCCCATGAGTCCTTTCTCCCTCTGTTAGTCCCCAGTGTGTGTCACTCCCATCTGTATGTCCATGTGTAGCCAATGTTTAGCTTCCACTTATAAATGAGAACATGCAGTATTTGGTTTTCTATTCCTGCATTAATTCACTTAGCATAATGGCCTCCAGCAGCATCCATGTTACTGCAAATGATATTGATAGAAGCAGGAGGCAGATAAGGGAGGGCCCCGGGAGAATCTCTGACCCGCCCTACAAGTGTTTACATCAGATGCTTATGTGCAGATGAGCGAACTTGCTCAGGGCTTTCTGTGGACGTGCCCACCATGGACTGGGGGCCGGCCTGCACACTGGGAGAATGGGGTGGAGCCACTGGGGATTTGCACCTTATGCAGGAGGGAGGAGCCTGGCCTCTTCAGCTCCTGTGTGTGGTGGCCTGGTATTTAATCTGTGAGGTGGGAGCCTGTTGGCAGGACCTCTTCTTTTTTTCACTGGGAGATTTTTTTAAATAAATTCCACTCTTGACCGGGTGCAGTGGCTCACACCTATAATCCCAGCACTTCGGGAGGCCGAGGCGGGTGGATCACCTGAGGTCAGGAGTTTGAGATCAGCCTGCCCAACATGGTGAAACCTCGTCTCTACTAAAAAATACAAAAAAAAATTAGCTGGGCATGGTGGTGGGTACCTGTAATCCCAGCTACTTGGGAGGCTGAAGCAGGATAATCGCTTGAGCCCGGAAAGTGGAGGTTGCAGTGAGCCGAGATTGCGCCATTGCACTCCAACCTGGGCAACAAGAGCAAAACTCCATCTCCAAAAAAAAAAAATAATAATAATGAATAAAATAAAATAAAAATAACTTCCACTCTCCTCACCTTTCAATGTGTCTGCGTGCCTAATGTTTCCTGGTTGTGTGACAAGAACCCAGATTTTAGCTGAACTAAGGAGCAAAAGATACTGCATCAATAAGACTTCAATCTTTTTTTATGGCTGTGTAGTATTCCATAGTGTAAATGTACCACATTTTCTTTATCCAACCCATTGTTGGTAGGCACCTAGGTTGATTCCATGTCCTCGCTATTGTGAATAGTGCTGCAATGAACATACAAGTGCAGTTATCTTTTTGGTAGAATGATTTATTTTCCTTTGGGTATATACCTATAGTGTGACTGCTTGGTTGAGTGGTAATTCTATTTTTAGTTCTTTGAGAAATCTCCAGACTGGTTTCTACAGTGGTTGAACTAATTTACATTCCCACCAACAGTGTATGAGCGTTCCCTTTTCTCTGCAGTCTGGCTAGCATCTGTTATTCAAAATACTCTTTAGTGACTGCTACATCTTCCCTGCCTCATAATCACCACCCTGTTACTACACTTCTGGGGATTACTTACCAAATAACATCCCTGTAGCCAAGTCCTAGACACTGCTTTTGGGGAAACCAAAATTAAGATACTAGAAGACCTCTTGGGTGTCAAATGTTTGGAGCACTAAACATTGGTAAGTGGAAATCCAATTTATTTCTTTCTCACCTTATCTAGCTTCTCATCCAGAATTAAGGGAGTATGAATGTCAAGTTCTGATCAAGTTAAGAAAATAGGTATTAAAAGAGATTTTAATGGTACATTGAGTATAGCTTGAGGAATTAAAAAGTAGGAAAGGCATGATTTGGGGCAAAAGTATATGACAGAGGTCATCACTTTTATTTGAATTCTGTAGCAAGTGCTAGCAATAGTAGTGGTGGAACTTTGCCAACCACAGGAATTATTAAAAATTTTAAATCTTTGTCAGTTATATGAGGTTGAAAATAATGGTAGCATATTTGCTGTTTTCATTCATGTTTCTTTAATTATAGTTGGCAGAGAGCATTTTTTCCTTATATTTACTAATCACTTATTTTTTCTGTAACCTATTCTACAAATTACTTAACAAATCATTTTGATGGTAGATATTTAGATCAAGTCTCCTTTTTAACTATTTTAAGAACTGCTACAATATGCATGGGGAAAAAATCCAATCTTCCTCATAACTGGGGTACTGCAAATTGAAAGAACAATATCATTTTTGTATACCTTTTTGTCATAAACATTGAAATGTTTGGTAATACCCTATGTATACAGTTTTTGCAGGAAAATTGGCACTAAGATTGACAGTGTAAATTGGTACACTGTTTTGGAGGGCACTCGAGCAATTTCTATCAAAATTTAAAATATGCGCATCCATTATTTCAGCATTTCAAGAGAATTTGTCCTGCAAATATGCTTACATGAAGTTGCAAATATTACGCTTTATTTGGTGTGTGTGTGTGTGTGTGTGTGTGTACGTGCGCATGTGCATGTGTGCGTGCATGCATGCTAGTCTATGCATGAAGAGTAGATTAGCCAAGAAGGAGAATTAATCAAGGCTGCTGACTGACTCCTTCCTGAATTTAATCCTGAGGATGATGCAGAAGAGAGGTAGAGGCTCATGCATCCTAGAACCTAACTAAAATGATGGAAGTCGTTTGGAGAGGGAGCAAGTGGTTGATTGTCAGTGTGAAAGAGATAGAGAGGCCCAGGTGCCACAGATGGTAGATAGGCAGGGTGAGTTGAACCCTCTCTTTGCTACTTAAGCCTAATGTGAGTCTGAGGCACTTGGAGCAATAGCAAGGCAGGGCGGGAGTGCTGTGGAAGTGGTGAGCTTGTAGCTGAGTCCAAAGCTCATACTGCTTGCTGCGTGACAAGCAATCAGTTGAGAGACAAGGTGTTGGGGCAAGGGAGGCGGCTTTATTTCCGAGAGTCAGCAAGCTGAGAAGATGTTGGACTGGTGTCCTAAAAAAGCATCTTAAACTAACATGAATTTTGGGCTCCTTTTATGTGAGGGGAAGGGAAAAGAGGAGCGTGGTTGAGATCAAAAGATGACTGCTGACCACAGGTATCTGGGTGGCATTGGTCAGGTCACAATGCTCCTATAAAACATGTCTTTTTCTTTCTTTTTTTTTTTTTTAGACGGAGTTTTGCTCTTGTCACCCAGGCTGGAGTGCAATGTAGTGGCACAATCTCAGCTCACTACAACCTCCGCCTCCCAGGTTCAAGCGATTCTCCTGCTTCAACCTCCCAAGTAGCTGGGATTACAGGCGTCTGCCACCATGCCCAGCTAATTTTTGTACTTTTAGTAGAGACAGGGTTTCACCATGTTGGCCAGGCTGGTCTCAAACTCCTGACCTCAGGTGATCCACCCGGCTCAGGCTCCCAAAGTGCTGGGATTACAGGCGTGAGCTACTACGCCTGGCCAACTCCTATAAATCTTTAGTATAACATTGATACTTGTGTGTGCACCCTCCTTATCTCCTCGAGGGCTAGTTTTGGGAAGGGACTATGATCATCCTTGCTTTAAGGTTAAACTATAAACTAAATTCCTTCCATAGTTAGCTTGGCCTACATGCAGAGATAAGCACAAGCAGTTAACCTAAAAGATAACACCGTGGGGGTACGAGGTTAGGAGAAAAATGGAGTTAGTCATGCGAGGCCTCTTTTTCGCTGCTACAAGCTGATGCGGAGATCTGCAGGTTTGGCCCCTAGATAGTCCTGAAACCACCATTGTGAAACTATAACTGAGAAAATTATTACAGTGAAAGAGATCTGACCTAACCAATTCCATCTTGTTTCTAAACTCCAAGCTGTCCTTCTTCATTCCTGGGAACTTTGGGATAAATTTAGTTTATAGTTTAACTTTGAAACAAAGATGATAACAGCCCTTTCCCAAAATAAACCCCCTTCCTCCCTGAGGACTGGACTGCCTTTGCAGACTAACAAATTAGCCACAAAATTAGAAATTATGGTTTAGGAGTCATGCAGCTGGAGGGTGCAAGATTCTGACCCTGCTCAAGTTGCTCCTGGGGTGGCATCACTATTGTCAAATCTAAGATCAGTGCTTGAGATCTTTTGCAGGCCCTGCACTTGATGCATCATCTGGCACCACCTACATTGATAAACTGGCTCATCTGATCTTGTGGACCCCTCCCAGGAACTGACTCAGTACTAGAGGACAGCTTAGACTCCCTGTGACTTCATCTCCCACCCAACCAATCAGCACTCTTGGCTCACTGGCCCCTGCCCACCAAATTATCCTTAAAAACTCTGATTCCCAAATTCTTCGGGAGACTGATTTGATTAATAATGAAACTCTGGTCTCCCTCACAGGTGGCTCTGCGTAAATTACTCTTTCTCTGTTGCAATTCCTCTGTCTTGATAAATCTGTCTAGGCAGCGGGCAAAGTGAACCCTTTGGGCGGTTACAGTCCCAACAGAGGACGGTATCCCAAGGAGAACAGCACTGCCTGCAGCTTAGGAACTGGTCCATTTCCGGGGCTGGACACGGTGGCTCATGCCTGTAATCCCAGCACTTTGGGAGGCCAAGGAGGGTGAAACACCTGAGGCCAGGAGTTCAAGACCAGCCTGGCCAACATGGTGAAACCCTGTCTCTACTAAAAATACAAAAAATTAGCCGGGCGTGGTGGTGCACACCTGCAATCCCAGCTACTCAGGAGGCTGATGCAGAAGAATCGCTTGAACCTGGCAGGCGGATGTTGCAGTGAGCTGAGACCACGCCATTGCACTCTAACCCGGACAACACTGTGAGACTCTGTCTCAAAATAAATAAATAAATAAATAAATAAAAATAATAATTAAAAAATAAATAAAGAAAAAATAAAAATTCTAAGCTCCTCCACCTCCCATCCCCAACTGACTGAACAGACCCTCTCTGTGCCAAGGAGATTCCAGAGAAACCTGAAAAATGGAATTCCTGGCCATGACCCGAAGGGAGGTCAGATGTCTCCCCCTTTTGGAGTTTAGGCACAATTGACCCACATTAACGGTAAAATAGAGATCATAAGACTGACAAAACAGACTCTGTGTGGCAGTAAGACACCACATTCCAATCTGACTCTGGTATAGTGTCACATGACAGAGAGCAGGCCCTGAAGGAAATAAAAATATTTTACCCCAAATTATATTTTTTGATATATTTTGAAATGGCCCTGCAAAGCCATCTTTTGAGGGGGAAATATGCATCTCTAGAGCATCTCCTTTAATGCAGCCAGGCCTTTCATGGATCTGGGAGAGATTAACTAAGAGTATGACATCTTTTAAGGTCTGAAAAGAAACACCATCTATTCTCTCTGAAGGCTGCTTCCAATGAGGCTTCATCTACATAATAAGAACCTTGGTCTCCACAACCCACCTTAACTCAGGCTTCATTCTACAGACTTCAAGTCTTCAGAAAAAGCTTAACTCTTTCAACTAATTGCCAATCAGAAAATCTTTGAATCCACTTATGACCTGTGAGCTCTCCCAAACCCCCGCTTTGAGATGTCCTGTCTCTTTAGGCTGAACCAATGTGCACCTTCCATGTATCAATTTATAATTTCGCCTACAATTCCTGTCTTCCTAAAATGTATAAAACCAACTTGTAACTTAATCACCTTGTCTTACCAGTTGAAGGTGTCCAGGTTCTTGGTGTCTTGAACAAAGAACTGGACAAAATGCACAAACAAAGCAAGGAAAGAATGAAGAAACAAAAGCAGAGATTTATTGAAAATGAAAGTATACTCCACAGTGTAGGAGCTGGCCCAGGCATAGGGTCTCAAGAGCCCCATTACAGAATTTTCTGGGGTTTAAATATCCTGTAGAGGTTTCTATTGGTTACTTGGTGTATGCCCTCTGTAAATAAAGAGGATGAAGTAAAGTTACAAAGTCATTTACTCATTGTACGCCCTATGTAAATGAAGAAGATATTTTCTGTCATAGCTGAAGTGTTTCCATTTGATTTAGTTCTAGGAAATCAGCATGAATCTGCCTTATGTTCCCTGCCTCCAGATCCTATTCTCTCTCTCTTTGTTTCTTTTTTTTTTTTTGAGATGGAGTTTTGCACTTGTTGCCCAGGCTGGATTGCAATGGTGTGACCTTGGCTCACTGCAACCTTCACCTCCTGGGTTCAAGTGATTCTCCTGCCTCAACCTCCTGAGTAGCTGGGATTACAGGCATGTGCCATCACACCTGGCTAATTTTTTTTTGTATTTTTAGTAGAGACGAGGTTTCACCATGTTGGTCAGGCTGGTCACCAACTCCTAACCTCAGGTGATCTGTCTCAGACCCTATTCTCTTGCCTCAGGACACATTTTCCCAGGACCTCTTGAGACTGTTCTCAGGGCCACAGTCACTCACATAGGCTTGGAATAAGTGCCTAATTTACAGAGTCTGATTTCTTTCATCAACAGTACTGAAGCACATTCTGGTGAGAGAGACAATAAGCAAGTAAACAAAATAACAACACAACAACAACAAACAAAAACTTACATACTAATAAATACAATGAAGATAATAGCATGTGGTAGAGAGCAATGTGTGGGTGGAACAGGGATGCTTTATGTAGGGCAGGGGTGTCAGCATGAGGCTTTCTGAGGAGATGATGGTTGAATCAAGATCTGAATGATAAGTAGGAGTCAGCTCTGTGAAGATCTGGTGGGAATAAGGCAGGAGAATAGGGTCTGGAGACAGGGAACTTAAGGCCAATTTGTGCTAACTTTCTAAAACAGAAAACACCAACGTCTGGGGGCAGGAAATCAAAGGCCAATTAATAACAACTTCCTAAAGCTACATCAAAAGGGGAAACTCCATTTCCCCACCCCGAATAACAAAGGATCAAAGGCTACTTTCCCTACAGCTCTCCGCCTTCTGCCAGGTCTCAGATGGAAAGGGAGAATGTCTTGGATTGGCCTTGGGCCAAGCAGGGACCATCCCTTCATCTATAGGGCACCAATTCACCTCAGCTTTTAATTAGCCACAGACCAAATCCTTCATCCAGATAAGGGGTAGCTGATAAGAAACTACAATGGAATACTTAAAGACCAGAACACTTTGTAACCCGGCCCTTGAGCTGCTTGCTTGGGCCCACTCCCACCCTGTGGGGTGCTTTCTCAGTTTAATAAATTCCTGCTTTCGCTGCTTCCTTCCTGCATTTTATTCCTCTGCTACTTTTGTAGGATTTTGTTCAATATTTTGTTCAAAACGCCAAGGACTTGGACAACTCATAGTCAAGACCCTCCACCGGTAACAGGAACACATTCCAGGTAGAAGGAGAAGCATCTGCAAATGCTCTGAGGCAAGAATGACACATTCTTCTACCTTCTCTTCTGTTTTTTCCTCATTTCTAGTAAATTATTTTTTAATTTTTAAAATTTTTATTATTATTATTTTGTGAGATAGCGTCTTGCTCTGTCACCCAGACTAGAGTGCAATGGCATAATCTCGGCTCACTGAAACTTCCACCTCCTGGGTTCAAGTGATTCTACTGCCTCAGCCTCCCAAGTACCTGGGATTACAGGTGCACACCACCACACCCGGCTAATTTTTGTATTTATAGTAGAGATGGGGTTTCACCAAGTTGGTCAGGCGGGTCTCGAACTCCTGACCTCAGGGTGACCCGCCCACCTCAACCTTCCAAAGTGTTGGGATTACAGGCATGAGCCACTGGATCCAACCTTTAGTAAATTATTGAATAAATGTCTACACTGTAGCAACAATGTCCTCACAATCTTAATCCCCTGTGACCCAGTTTCTGCTCCTACAGCTTGGCTGAAACTGTTCTCCTGATGGCCACCAATGTTGTTAGCAGTGGCCAATCTGCATGGGTCGGCAGCAACCTCAGTTCTTGCCTCCTCAGAAGAAAGAATTTAACTGAAGGGCATAAAGCAGAAGGAGAGATGGAGGCAAGTTTTAGAGCAGGAGTGAAAATTTATTTGTCAATTTTTATTTTTTATGTTTTTTTATTTTTTTGACGAAGTTTTGCTCTTATTGCCCAGGCTGGAGTGCAATGGTGCAATCTTGGCTCAATGCAACCTCCACCTCCTGGGTTCAAGCAGTTCTCCTGCCTCAGCCTCCCAAGTAGCTGGAATTACAAGTGCCCACCACCACTCCCAGATAATTTTTGTATTTTTAGTAGAGATTGGGTTTCACCATGTTGACCAATCTAGTCTCGAACTCCTGACTTCAGGTGATCCACCTGCCTTGGCCTCCCAAAGTGTTGGGATAACGGGTGTGAGCCACCGCACCTGGCCTGAAAATGAATTACAAAGCTTTAGAGCAGGAATGAAAGGAGGTAAAGTACACTTGGAAGAGGGCCAAGCAGGTGACTTGAGAGAGTCAAGGGTGCACTTTGACTTTTGACTTGGGGTTTTATACATTGGCATTTGTCTGAGTTGCTACTTCTCCAGTGATTCTTCCCTCATGGTGGGCTCTCTGCATACATGGTGGCCTACCAGTGTTTGGGAGGGGACCACCGTGTGCAGCGTGTTAACTGGAGTTGTACACATGCTCACTTGAGGCATTATTCTCTTACCAGCCTGTTGTCCCTAGGAGGTCATATACTAGTTAAACTCTGCCATTTTGCCTCTTAGTGTGCATGCTTGAGCACACTCACCCAACTCCTGAGATCTTATCAGGAAGCTGCTGATCACCAATTTCAGTTTTTTTTTCTAGCTATAGGGAGACTGTCTTTCCCTGGCACTGGCTGCAACCAATTATTATTGACCATCACCTGATGGTTGCCTGACATTCCTTGTTCGGGGGGTGGTGGGACAGGGGGAGCCCTCTCCTGCCCTGCTCATGCCTGATGAGCTACCTATTGTAATAATGTCTTTCTAGGTGTGACAGTGACCTGAGAATAAGGAAAAAGAAACAGAATGTTAGACCCTGAGTCCTTTTGTCCAGTAGTTGGACATCAGTAGCTCAGCCTCATTCTGTGAGACAGTAGATCTTTACCAGGGTAGGGAGTATAGGAGAAGCCTTTATAAGACATGAAAGCCCCCTTAGACTCCTGTAAGCTGTATTGGGTGTCCATCTTTGTGTTTCTCTAGTCTCTGGCCATAGCTGTTCTCTCTTGATGTTACCTGTATGGAATGTTCTTTCTCTTTGATCTTTACTAGGCTGCCCATTTGTCATTATTTAAACTGTGATAGATGGAATTATAGATTCAATCTATCTGTGATAGATTGGCCCCACATTCTCCCTTGTTTTTTTTGTTTGTTTGTTTTTGTTTTTGTTTTTTGTGTTGTTTTTGAGATGGAATCTCACTCTGTCACCCTGGCTGGAGTGCAGTGGTGCAATCCCGGCTCACTGCAACCTCCACCTCTTAGGTTCAAGTGACTGTCCTTCCTTAGCCTCCTGAGTAGCTGGTGTTACAGGCATCCACCAACACACATGGCTTATTTTTGTATTTTGAGTAGAGTTGGGGTTTTGTCATGTTGCCCAGGCTGGTCTTGAACTCCTGGTGTCAAGCAGTCCACCCATCTTGGCCTCCAACAGTGCTGAGATTCCAGGCATGAGCACCCACACCCGGCCTCTCCTGTGTAATAGTATCATGCATCCATTTGTCATGGCCTCATGGTGGGTAGCATCTACTTTCCTGTCTCTTGGCTGTTACTTTGGCTACTGGGATATTAGTAGACATGATGCAAGCAGAGGCTTGGGATGCGCTAGGTGGGCTGGACTTCATGCATTCCTGTCATTACTGTAGGATGGAAATGCTCCAGGAGTCCAACCCATCCCCCAAAAAGGGGAGACAGTGCAGCATACATGAACCCAACCCAGCCTGGATCAGCGAAACCCCAGTGAACCAACAGATGTGTGAGCAAGAAATTCACATAAGTTTGACATAAATATAACTTAATACATATGAAATGAATAAATAAATCTTGCATATACTGCAATTGTTTATAGGCTTGTCTGTGAGCTCTTTGGGGTTGGGGGTAGGAACATTGCTGCATAATAGGGGCCATCAATGGTCCAGGTAAGCAGTAGGCACTCTGAATACTTTTTGGAGGAGGTCTGAGTCTTCTTCAGGAATCTCTCTAGCAGCCTCAGCTTCCATTTGTTGGCTATTCACGCAGCAGTCAAGGCAGACTCCTGCTAAATTTTCATGGATTTCAGAGTTTGGTCTTGTGAGTCCTGATTTTATGGCCCTTTTCTTATTGACATGAATTCTTATGTGTATTCTCCATTTTGAGTGATCTTCAAGGCTAGACATTCTCCCAAGCCACTAGGTATCCAGGACATGCTGCAGAATGATCTGAAGGTGTGCATGGTGATGAGGGGTGATTTGATGTCTGCTCATCATGGAGGATGAGATGGACAGATACATTCCCACGTGTCATCAGTGACAATAGAGATGCTACCTGATTTACAGGTCTCCTAGGGCACTCCCATTGTGCATTAAAATGTCTATGTTGGAGTGTACTTTGTCTGAGTGTCTTGGCTCTGGCCTTGGGGATTTAAAAGATAAATTCACTCACATTGGCTTTGTTGGCCAGACAAAGCTCTGGGTGATAATTCTAAAGTAAGATGTCTGTGTAGAGAACGCTAAGATCTATCTGCATGAGGTGGAAATCGTTTGCTTTTGGTCCAACATGTTTTCTCTCTCTCTCTTTTTTTTTTTTTTTTTTTGCTTTTTCTTTGGGAAAATGACCTTTCCCCATTGAATATTGTATTGGCGTGATTGTCAAATGTGGTACTTGTCTTAATTTAGATTGCCACCAAAGTAATCTTAGGTAAAGACGTTGAGTTCAAGTAGTTTATTTGGGATGTGATTTTGAGAGAGATTCAGGATCTTGAGATGAGAAGTTCATCGTGTGCTTGCAGCTGTCTACTGAAATTACATGCAAACTCAGGTGAGCCAAGAAGATAGGGTTTATCAACAGCATCTTCCTTTTTTTTAATTTTTGATTTTAATTTCTGTGGGTACAAAGGAGATACAGAGCAGCATCTTCTTACTACCATTTCCTCTTCTGGCTAAATGGTGGACCCAATCCCAAGCTGGTCCAATCAGATACTCTCTTTCTGAAATCTGAGAAGAATAGCATGAGGAATGGGAAATGACTGGCTTCTGTTCACCTCCATGATGGAATCCAGGAGTGACTGGTCACTAGTTCTTGCCACCCAGATGCCCAGAGTGGCACCAATTTACATCCTTTTGGTTGTTCAGTTTTGCCTTCAGTTCTCTGAGCTTCCCTATAAAACTTTCCAATAAATTCTGTTTTGATTAAATTGGTTAGAGCTCATTTCTATGTTGTGCATACAAAACACCCTGACAGATTTCCTGAGTGTCTTAGTCTATTTTCTGTTGCTATAACTGAGTACCTGTAATTTATTTTATTTTATTTATTAATTTATTTTTGGAATGGTATCTCACTGTTACCCAGGCTGGAGTGCAGTGGCACAATCTTGGCTCACTGCAACCTCTGTCTCCTGGGCTCAAGTGACCCTCCCACCTCAGTCTTCCAAGTAGTGAGGACCGCAGGCACATGCCACAATGCCTGGCTAAGTTTTTGTTTGTTTGTTTGTTTTGTAGAGATGGGTTTTTTCCATGTTGGCCAGGCTGGTCTCGAACTCCTGGGCTCAAGCAATCCGCCCACCTCAGCCTCCCAAAGTGCTGGGACTACAGGCATAGACCACAGTGTAGACTAGGTAATTAATAAAGAAAAGAAATGTATTTCTTACAGTTTTGGAGGCTGGGAGGTCCAAGGTCAAGGGGTTGCCTCTGGTGGAGGCCTTGTTGGTGGAGACTCTCTGCAGAGTCCCAAGGTGGGACAGAGCATCACATGGTGAGAAGGCTCATGAGAGATGTGCAGGGGATAGGCCCCCAAATCTGGCCATAAACTGGCCCCCAAACTGGCCATAAACAAAATCTCTGCAGCACTGTGACATGTTCATGATGGCCATGATGCCCATGCTGAAGGTTGTGGGTTTACCAGAATGAGGGCAAGGAACACCTGGCCCACCCCAGGGCAGAAAACCACTTAAAGACATTCCTAAGCCACAAACAATAGCATGAGTGATCTGTGCCTTAAGGACGTGTTCATGCTGCAGATAACTAGCCAGAGCCCATCCCTTTATTTCCCGTTAGGAATACTTTTAGTGAACCTGTAATCTATAGAAACAATGCTTATCACTGGCTTGCTGTCAGTAAATATGTGGGTAAATCTCTGTTTGGGGCTCTCTGCTTTGAAGGCTGTGAGTCCCCTGATTTCCCACTCTACGTGCTATATTTCTGTGTGTGTGTGTCTTTAATACCTCTAGCACTGCTGGGTTAGGGTCTCCCCGACTGAGCTGGTCTCGGCAGAGATGGACAAACTGGCTTTGATAACATACCCACTCTTGTGACAACTAACCCACTTTCTCAATAACCCATTCATCCATCAATTCATAAATGGAGTAATTTATTCATGAGGGCAGAGCTCTTATGACCCAATCAATGCCCATAGGTTCCACCTCTCAACACCGCTACATTGAGGATCAAGTTTGCAACACATACATTTTGGGGGACATGCCCAAACCATAGCCCTGGGTCTACTCTGTCAGAAAAAACAAAACAAAACAAAACAAAACAAAAGGCTTTTCATGTGGCTGGAAATGAAAATGGCATGCTTTGAACTCTCAGCAAGAAATCAGACAATGGAATAATCTTTGCCCACATTTGCTGAAGAGCTCAAGACCCAGCCCTCATCCTTTGCTTTTGCTTTAGATAACTCACTTTCCCCAGGGTACCCTACTTATCACCCTGAGCTAATCATGAGTCTCTGATATTGCTCTTGGATAATCATATAATGTAATATGGTGTAGTATAATACAGTATAGCATAGCATGGCATAGTAGCTAAGAACATGGAAGCTGGAGCCAGACTGTCTGTGTTCAAATCCCAGCACTGCAGTTTACTGATTATATGATCCTCAGTGAGTTACTTGGTCTCTGTGACTCAGTTTTTTTTTTCAAACTCTAAATATGAATAATAATAGTACCTATATTGTAGTGTTGATGTGAAGATTAAAGGAGTTGACACAGTACTTGGCATATACGAAGTGCTATGTATTTTTTTTTTTTTTTTTGAGACAGAGTCTCACTCTGTCTTCCAGGCTGGAGTGCAGTAGCATGATCTCGGTTCACTGCAACCTCTGCCTCCCAGGTTCAAGTGATTCTCCTGCTTCAGCCTCCCAAGTAACTGGTATTACAGGCATGTGCCACTACACCTGGCTAATTTTTTGTATTTAGTAGAGACGGGGTTTCACCATGTTGGTCAGGTTAGTCTCGAACTCCTGACCTCAGGTGATCCACCTGCCTCAGCCACCCAAAATGCTGGGATTACAGGCATGTGCCACTGTGCCCAGCATACAAAGTGCTACGTAAATATTAGCTATTGTTATGCCTAAGGGACTTACCTGTGTGAAGATCGGCCTATAAGTCTCTGTGCTTTTTGGATTCCAAATCATGCTTCCTCAACCTGTGAAAAGCATAGATCAGCTGCCCTTTCTTGGGCCTGGCTCAGTGTTTGCATTAGAGAAAAGGGAAAAGTACATTCCAAAATCACCTACTATCATCTCAATTTCTAATAGGTTAGGAAAAAAAAAACCCAAATCGCCTACAGGCATCATGACAGATATCTCTTTGAAGATCCTAACAAGACCCCTGAGAGACAGATACTATTATTGCCAACAGAAATGCTAGCGTTTCTCTCAGCCACAAAATTATTTTTTTTAAATTTTTTAGAGAAAGGGCTTCACTCTGCTGCCCAGGCTAGAATGCAGTGGTATAATCATAGCTCACTGCAGCCTCAAACTCCAGAGCTCAAGCCATCCTCTTGCCTCAGCCTCCCAAGTAGCTGGGATCACAGGCATGTGCCACTATATTTGGCTAATTTATTTTTTGTAGAGATGGGATGTCAATATGTTGCCCAGGCTGATCTGAAATTCCTGGGCTCAAGTGATCCTCCTGCCTTGGCCTCCCAAAGTTCTGGGATTACAAGTGTAAGCCATTGTGCCAGCCCAGAACAACTATTAATATATCCAATATGCAAAGAACTCCCATGAGAAGAAACAAATAAACCACCTGACAGGAAAATGGGCAAAGGCAATGAGTGGACCCCTCACTGAAGAGGATATCCAAATGGCCAAAGGTTATCTCTAAGGATGCTCAAGGACATGCAAATTAAAGCTAAAATAAGATCCCTTTTTTTTTAATCCATTAGACTGGGAAAAAACTAAAAAGAGAAGCTATTTCAAGGTGACAAAAATGTGAGAAAATACTTTCATACGTTGCTGGTGGGAATATGAAATGTGACAACAAGGAATACTAGGAAAAACTTAAGTGTTAAGCTACACAAATGTGTTACCAAGCAATCTTACATTCAATAATCAGACTATGGCCGGGCACGACGGCTCATGCCTGTAATCTCAGCACTTTGGAAGGCTGAGGTGGGAGGATCACCTGAAGTTGGGAGTTCGACACCAGCCTGACCAACATGGAGAAACCCCATCTTTACTAAAAATACAAAATTAGCCGGGCATGGTGGCACATGACTGTAATCCCAGCTACTTGGGAGGCTGAGGCAGGAGAATCGCTTGAACCTGGGAGGCAAATGTTGCGGTGAGATCACGCCATTGCACTCCAGCCTGGGCAACAAGAGTGGAACTCCATGTCAAAAAAAAAAAAAAAATCGGGTTATATAAATTAGAGCATCTCTCTGTTAGAATATAATGTTCAACGTTGTTTCTTTGTGGAAAAATTGGAAACTAGCCTGAATGTTCATCAGTACAAGACTGATTGAATACGTGGGTCCACATATGGAATGTAGTGCAGTCATTAAAAACAGTAAGTAAAAATAAACTGTGGTACATCCCTTTTATGAAATACTACTCAGCAAAACTGAGTGAACTATTGGTACACACGACTTAGAGGAATCTCAAATGCATTATGTGGGACAACAGAAGCCAATTTCAAATATTGTGTGATTTCATTGATGTGACGTTCTTTTTTTTTTTTAAGATGGAGTCTCACTCTGTCACCCAGGCTAGAGTGCAGTGACATGATCTCGACTCATTGCAATCTCCGTCTCCCGGGTTCAAGTGATTCTCCTGCCTCAGCCTCCCAAGTAGCTGGAATTACAGGCACATGCCACCACACCCAGCTAATTTTTGTATTTTTAGTAGAGATGGGGTTTCACCATATTGGTCAGGCTGGTCTTGAACTCCTGACCTCAGGTGATCCACCTGCCTCAGTCTCCCAAAGTGCTGCTGACAGATCTGTCTTTGAAGATCCTAACAAGACCCCTGAGAGACAGATACTATTATCGCCAACAGAAATGCTAGCCTTTCTCTCAGCCACAAAATTATTTTTTTTTAATTTTTTAGAGAAAGGGCTTCACTCTGCTGCCCAGGCTAGAGTGCAGTGGTATAATCATAGCTCACTGCAGCCTCAAACTCCAGAGCTCAAGCCATCCTCTTGCCTCAGCCTCCCAAGTAGCTGGGATCACAGGCATGTGCCACTATACTTGGCTGATTTATTTGTTGTCTCCCAAAGTCTCAGTCTCCCAAAGTGCTGGGATTACAGGCGTGAGCCACCATGCCTGGCCGATGTGACATTCTTGAAATGACAAAACTATAATGTTGAAGAACAGATTAGTGGTTGTTGGGGCTTAGGGATGGAAGGAGGGTGTGACTACTGGATGTGAAGGAACTTTTTGGGGTGGTGGAAATGTACATGTTTATTGTGGTGGTGATCACGTGAATGCAGACATTGCTGAAATTCATAGAACTATACACTCCCAAAAGGTTGATTTTGCTGTGTAATAAGTATAAAACATGTTTAACGACATCAAAAATGAGTTATATCTATACCGATTGACTGGGCGGGGTCTCCTGATAATTTAGGATGAAAAAAGTTGTAAAACAAGGTGGATACCATGATCTTATTTTTGTGAAACCAACCAAAAATCCTTTCTATGTATGATTATGTGTTTGTGTATGTTTCCATGAGTATAAGAAAGAAGTGGAAAAACACTCTCTAGGCTGTTAATATTGGTTATCTCAGGAAGGCTGGAATGGAAGGGGAAGCATTAAGAAGTGTTTCTTTGTATATCTTTGCATTATTTCACTGGTTATATTGAGCAAATACTACATTTTTAATTAGAGCAAGAGAGCCAGATAAAATTAATAAAGGAAAATTAAAGAAGTCAGAGAAAATCAGAAGGAAGGCTAGTAAGAAAGAAGGCAAGAAAAGTCCAAGAGAGAACTGGTTGGTGGAAAAGTGGCAAAGAAGTGACCTTCAGGGTTCAGTGGGGTCTGTGAAGTACCCATTAAATCTCCAAATCAGAAAAATACGAGTGTTGGCCAGGCATGGTGGCTCACGCCTGTAATCCCAGCACTTCGGGAGACTGAGGCGGGTGGATCAACTGAGGTCAGGAGTTCAAGACCAGCCTGGCCAACATGATGAAACCCCGTCTCTACTAAAAATACAAAAATTAGCTGAGCCTGGTTTCAGGTGCCTGTAATCCCAGCTACTTGGGAGGCAGAGGCGGGAGAATTGCTTGAACCCAGAGGTGGAGGTTGCAGTGAGTCAAGATTGTGCCACTGCACTCTAGCCTGGGCGACAAGAATGAGACTCCGTCTCAATATGAGTGTTGCTGGAACTACAGGAACATTCTGCACCTGGAGCCAGGGACAAGCTGTGATTCAAGGGTTAAGACTTGGGCTCTGGTATGGTTTGGCAATATGTTCCCACCCAAATCTCATGTTGAATTGTAATTCCCAATGTTGGGGGAGGGACCTAGTGGGAGGTGATTGGATTGTGGGGGTGGAATTTCCCATGCTGTTCTCGTGATAGTGAGTGAGTTCTCACAAGATCTGATGGTTTGAAAGTGTATGACACTTCCTCCCTCACACTTTCTCTCCTGCCACCACATGAAGAAGGTGCTTGTTTCCCCTTCACCTTCCGCCATGACTGTAAGTTTCCTGAGGCCTCTCAGCCATGCTTCATGTTAAGCCCGTGGAACTGTGAGTCAATTAAACCTCTTTTCTTTATAAATTACCCAGTCTCAGGTAGTTCTTTACAGCAGTGTGAGAACAGATTAATACAGGTTCATTTCTAGGGCTCAAGGCAGCTTTCATGGCTCTCCTTTGTTTTTTCTGCATGTTCGTTTGTTCACCTGTGCATCCATCATCCATCACCCATCTACCTTTTGTTAAATGCCTACTGTGTTCTTAATTTTAAAACTTATGCTTCGTGTTTCCTCTGAATCATAATAAAATCCAAAATAAAATCCAGTGTTGTGTGCTGGTCTTTAGAGGCTACAATAAATGAAGACACTGGGATCCTTTACTAAGATTTTATTTCTTTTTTAAAAAAATGTTTTCAACTTTTATTTTAGATTCAGTGGGTACATGTGCAGGTTTGTTACCTAGGTATATTGCATGATGCTGAGGTTGGGAGTATGAATGATCCCGTTACCCAGGTAGTGAGCATAGTACCCACCAGTTAGTTTTTCAATGCTTGCCCCTCACTGCTTCCCCACTTTAGTAGTCCCCAGCGTCTATTGTTGTCATCTTTATGTCTGTAAGTACTCAATGTTTACCTCCTTCTTCTAAGTGGGATTTGGTTTTCTGTTCCTGTGTTAATTTGCACAGGATAATGGCCCCCAGCTGCATCCACGTTGCTGCAAAGGATGTGATTTCATTCTTTTTTATGGCTGTATTGTATTCCATGGAGTATATGTGCATATTTTCCTTATTGAATCCACTGTTGATGGGCACCTAGGTTGATTCCATGTCTCTAGTATTGTGAATAGTGCGGAAATGACCATATGAGTGCATGTGTCTTTTTGGTAGAACAATTTATTTTCTTTTGGATACATACCTGGCAATGAGATTGCTGGGTTGAATGGTAGTTATGTTTTAGGTTCAGATTTTATTTCTGAGATTAAGCTTCATGGACCATTCCTCCTGGAGTATGTGGCGGTGGCAACTCTACATAGGGGAAACCTGTATGCACTCAGTCTTCAGAGCCTCTGAAATAGACATTTGGGAACCTCAGGATTTGGTGATAGACCTTGCAATGGGTCACTCTGTTACCTTGGGAGTGTCCAGGGCATCTTCTCCCAATTTCCTGTTGTGATTGATTAGAGAGATGTTCCCCATACTATCAGAACAGGTTTTTTTTAAATTATACTTTAAGTTCTGGCATACATGTGCAGAGCGTGCAGGTTTGTTACATAGGTATGCAAGTGCCATGGTGGTTTGCTGCACGCATTAACCCGTCATCTACATTAGATATTTCTCCAAATGCTATCCCTCCCCTAGCCCCCCACCCGCCAACAGGCCCCGGTGTGTGATGTTCCCCTCCCTGTGTCCATGTGTTCTCATTGTTCAACTCCCACTTATGAGTGAGAACATGAGGTGTTTGGTTTTCTGTTCCTGTATTAGTTTGCTGAGAATGATGGTTTCCAGCTTCATCCATGTCCCTGCAAAGGACATGAACTCATCCTTTTTTATGGCTGCATAGTATTCCATGGTGTATATGTGTCACATTTTCTTTATTCAGTCTATCATTGATGCACATTTGGGTTGGTTCCAAGTCTTTGCTATTGTGAAAAGTGCTGCAATAAACATATGTGTGCATATCTTTATAGTAGAATGATTTACAATCCTTTGGGTATATACCCAGTAATGGGATTGCTGGGTCAAATGATATTTTTGATTCTAGATCCTTGAGAAATCGCCACACTGTCTTCTACAATGGTTGAACGAATTTACACTCCCACCAACAGTGTAAAAGTGTTCCTATTTCTCCACATCCTCTCCAGCATCTAGAACAGGGTTCTTAAGTCAAACTACCTGAGCCCAAATCCTAGCTAAGTCACTTACTGACTGTGTGCCCTTGGGCAAGTTTAATGCTATGTCTGGGGTTCTCAGTTTCCTCATCTGTAAACAGTGCATGAAGAGTAAATGTGTTAATAGATGAAAAGCCCTTGAAACACTGTCTGCTCAAAATACGCTTTATGATCAGTATTCTCACTGTAGTTGCTGATAATTAAGTGGCAATGAGTTGCATTGACTAGATGCATAATACAATAATCCATTGGATTGTGTTGAATAACAGAAGACAATGAACATAAAACATAATAACATTTATGTTACAACTATATGTGTTTGTATATATGTGTGTTTGTGTGTGTGTAAGTATATTTTTCCAAGTTTGTATGTATGTACATATGTAAATTTGACAAGACATTGAGAAAAGTCTGAAAGAACATACCCCAGACCATAACATCTCAGAAGGGTGGATTTGGGAGAGGATTAAATGGGAATTTACTTATTATTTTATGCTCTTCCATATTGTCCAAAAATTTATCATCAATATTATTGTTTTTGTAATTTAAAAAGAAAAATAAATGAAAAGAATCAAACAATTTTAAAATGGAGATAAACAAATCAAAGAATCTCTTTTCATCTTCTATACAGAAAAATTACTATTTTTCAGAGTCATTCGTTGTATGAGGTTCTCAAAGGCAGCCATAAAAAGGATATATATATATATATATTTTTTCCAATATTAAGGCAATTTCTGGGATTGTTGATCCTTATGTGAAGTTGAGATGTATCTGATATAGATCCATGAGGTCAGTCTAATAAATCACTTTGCTGGTTGCTGCATTTGAAATTCAAAGCCCGGAGATACAACTCTCCATGTCTAGGGCTCCCCAGGTGCCACTCATCCTGATCCCCCTTGCCCACAGCCTTGATGGGCTGGACTCACAGAATTTGGAGCTGCACATTTCTCTAAATAATCTCACCCTCTTCTTCCTAAAAAAAAATTTTTTTGAGACAGCGTCCCACTCTGTGAGTGTGGTGGCATGATCATGGCTCACTACACCTTCCACCTCCCGGGCTCAAGCAATCCTCCCATCTCAGCCTCCTGAGTAGCTGGGACTACAGGCATGTGCCACCATACCCAGCTAATTTTTTGATTTTTGTAGAGACAGGGTTTCGCTGTGTTGCCCAGGCTGGTCTTGAACTCTTGGGCTCAAGCGATCCTCCCATCTCAGCCTCCTAAAGTGCTAAGATTGCAGGTCTAAGCCACCATGCCTGGCCCCTGTTCTTTAAATATGCTCCTCCAAGTTAGTCTACCTGAAGTACCCAGAGAGAGCTTATTGCTATGGAGAACATAGTCAGAAGTCTGCTTTGGTCCTGTTGGAAAGCTATAAAACATTTATCATTGTGGACCAAGCAGATGATATAAAAGACCAGGGTAGCTACAGTGATGACAGGCAGATTCTCAGGCAAGACTGACTCAAAGTGTCTGAAACTATTTTATCCATTCCCTTAGAAATGGGATCTCTTTAGGGACAGACTCACATTGTCTAGACACACTGAGTCTAATTTACAAACCAAATTTGCACTATTACAAGGAGGGAAGATAAACCACTGCAGTGACAAGAAGTCTCAGGTCTAATCCTTAGGACACCCTTCCAGTAATTAAGGCACCTGGAAAATGGGAAAAGATGTGGAATGGATGATTGGAGGAGACTCAATTTGGGAACCATGTAACTTTGGAATTACCATCAGCTGTGTGACTGCAGACCTTTGGTAAAATTCTCTGAAGCGTTTATCATCTGAATAATAGAGATAATAGTACAACTTTAAAGTGGATTTTTAGAAATAAACTGAGACTTGCAAGCAGAGTCTTACTGGGGAGACATACTTGTAAGAAAGTGAGAATTGTAGAAGGGATAAACTGACCTGCAATGTGGCTGTAACTGAGATCTCTGGAACTTGGATAGGGACTTCAGAGTTGGGATAACCCTTCAAGTTGTCTCAAATTGGGAGAGAAGGGCTGAGCCTTTGAACCTTTACATTAATCAATCTGTGGCCATATACCATGCCGAGGGTGTATGACCTTGGATGATGTCATTCCATATAACTGAGGGCAGTTTTTAGTGAGAGGTACAGCTGTGGGCTTCTAACAGCCTCTATTCCCAGCAGTTAGAGTGCATTGGTTTTGAAGAGGGGATCTTGACAGCATTTCCCAGTGTCCACTATAAGTCTATACTTTATAAGTTTGTAGGGATTATACAAGTACTTAGCGTAATGCCAGCTACACTGCATAATATCTAAAAATACTAGTTCTTTTTCCTTCTCCTTAGAAAAATATTTCTCAATCACTTTGGAAGGGTATGGGAGATGTTTTATTCTGTTCTATTTTACTTACTTACTTATTTATTTATTTATTTTTTTTTTGAGATGGATTCTCGCTCTGTCACCCAGGCTGGAGTGCAATGGTGTGATCTCGGCTCACTGCAACCTCTGCCTCCCAGGTTCAAGCAATTCTCCTGCCTCAGCCTCCCAAGTAGCTGGGACTACAGGTGCCCGCCACCACGCCCAGCTAATTTTTCTATTTTTAGTAGAGACGGGGTTTCCCCATATTGGTCAGGCTTGTCTCGAACTCCTGACCTCAGATGATCCACCTGCCTTGGCCTCCCAAAGTACTGGGTTGTTTATTAATTTTTGCAGCAGAGAAAGAAGTTTAGTCATAAGGATGTTGAATGAGGAGACAGGAGGAAATCTCAAATCCACCTCTCTGAGGAGTGTGGGACCTGGGATTTTAAGGAGTTTGGAGTAGGCTGAGGTTGGCAGGTGGATCATTGGTTGAAGAATGCAGGGTGAAGTCGCAGGATGAGGAGATGAAGAAACTGCATTTTCATGCTGATTCAGTTCCTTTGTGGGGCTCTTCAAACTGACTGACATTAGCCCTTCTGCTGGAATTCAGGACCTGTGTCACTGAAAGTAGACCCACAGAGCTGCAGTTTCTGCTGCCATTTCCTCCTCTGATGTCCAAGAGGCCAGAGTCCTCCTCTTCTTTGCCATGTTTCTGGAGCTTACAGGTGAGCGCAGGGCCAGTGAAGGTTTCTGCTTTAAGGTCATCTCCTGCTGCTCATTAGTGATGCTGCTCTTCATCTCTCCTGTTCCATTTTAAACCAAACGTTTTCAGTGGACAAAACCACTACATCTACCATAAATATTTCTTTGCCTTGGACAGTACAAACACTGGCAAAGCCTTAAACTCTAATTTTCTCCATCAGTCATCACAGAACCCATAGACTCCTGACAGGCAAGTAACTTGGAGAGGGTTTACTCTTTACATCATTAACATAATGCCATCCCTCCCCATAATCTTTTTGGTTGAATTTTGGAGACTTCCTTATGCCTTCAGGAATACAGTTCAAGACGTGTTGCCCAGGCAGTTGAGGATAAGTGAAGAGGAACATTTTTAGCACATGACTAAGGTCATTCATTAAACATTGATTTTTAAAAATTGGCTTTAGTAGCACAGGTCACCTTTTCTTGAATTTGAATTCAAACTTTCAGGGAGGCTCCCTTGTCAGAAATTCTGTACAATCACTACCCAGACCATATACGCTTGAGAGAATTTTTGATTCCTATTTCTTGTTTTATGTTCTCTGTCTTCTTATATCACTAAGCAGTATTGAGAAAGGGGAGGGGCAGGTTTGGAAGGAGCAATAATGGGGTACTTGTGGTTATTTTATTTTGATGTTTTTGGTAGGTGAGATCATCTGGAGGAGGGACACCAACTCTAGGGTATCCAATATAAAGATCCAGTACCTTGGTGTTTAGATCAGTGAGCAAGGTGGCTGAAGCAGAATAATCAGAAGAATCACATTTTTACATCAAAGTAATCCTTATAATGATTAAGATTTTATTGGTTATAATGTAACTAAAGGCAACTCAAGATAGCTTAAGTAAGAAAATTTATTTTCTTAGTTAAGAAACCATCAAGGGCAGGGGTACAGAGGGGTCTTTAGTAATGGACTTCAGTCAGGAAACCCAGGCAGACCTCTTTCTCATTTACTCACTTCTGTTTCTCTCTGTGTATATGCTTCTGTAGTATAGTGGCCCCTTCCCTGCTCTCTTTCTTGGATCTTTTGTTCTGGAGGAAGCCATGTTATGAGGAGACTCAAGCACTCCTGTGGAAAGGTTTATGTGGTGAGGAACTGAGGCCTCCTGCCAGCAGTGAATGAGTAATCTTGGAACTGGATTGCTCAGCCTCAATCAACTTTCAGAAGACTCTGGGCCCAGCTGGCATCCTGACTGAAAACTCATCTGAGACTGTGAGCTAGAACAATACAGCTCATCCCCTGTGGAATTCTTGAGTACTAGAAACTACCTAGAAACTGTGAGAAAACATGCTTACTCTTTAATCCACTGAGTTTTGTGCTAATATTTTACACATCAATGGGTAACTAGTATATAATGCAAATAATCACTGCCAATAACTCTTTATTCAGAAAGCAGTCATCATGGAGGGGAGTCTTAGTCTTACTTCCAATTTCCAGAAAGAAAGAATCTGATTGATGCTTCCTGGGTAAAGTACTCAGATGTTGTCTTAGTCCATTTTTAGTTGCTATCACAGAACACCACAGACTGGGTAGCTTATAAAGAAAAGAGATTATTTGGCCTATAGTTCTGGAGGCTGGGAAGTTCATGATCAGGGACTATGTCTGGTGGAGACCTTCTTGCTGTGTTATAACATGGTGGGAAGACAAGAGAATGCATGAGACAGAGAGCAAATGGGGGCTGAACTTATCCTTTTATCAACAGCCTACTCCTATGACAACTAACTCACTCCTACAGTAATGGCATAAATCCATATGGCCTCTTCATTCATCCTAATCACCTCTTAAAGTTCCCTCCTTTCAGCACTGTCACAATGGCCATTAAATGCCAACATGAGTTTTGTTGAGGACACACATTCAAACCATAGCAGATATGAACCAATAAATTGTGGTTAAGGTAGTGAGTAGTGTCATATATTTATAAGGGACTTTCCACTGTAACCCTGTATATGTGAGGTATTTTGGTGAGGAGTAACTGGGATACCCCAAAGTAAGTTTCACACTGGAACAGGACTTTGTTTCTTTTGTCACCAGTTTTTCTCCTAAGGTAGTTGAAGCTTACCTTGGTTATAATACAGTTGTTTGAGGTTAGGTATCAATGCCATGTGTGAAATAAAGTGTGTGACTGACTTTTATCTGTATGTTTTCAAGATTGGTGGGCTTCTTGTGTTTTGGTGGCCTACCCCTTGCATGCCTGGTTATACTGAGGTGTTTAAACAGCCTCAGACTTGCCTTCTTGGCTACTTTCAAGTTGCTGAGCATTTTCCAAAATTTCTTCTGATAACTGCAGTAAATCTTTTTCAGGAAGCGCCCATATCCCTTATTATGTATGAAAAAAACTTCAATGTATCTGGCTTTTCAAGAAACAAATCCGGCTGGGCATGGTGGCTCACACCTGTAATCCTAGCACTTTGGGAGGCTGAGGGGGGCAGATCACTTAAGGTCAGGAGTTAAAGACCAGCCTGGGCAACATGGTGAAACCCTGTTTCTACTAAAAATACAAAACTTAGCCAGGCGTGGTGGTGCACGCCTGTGGTCACAGCTACTCAGGAAGCTGAGACACAAGAATTGCTTGAACCTGGGAGATGGAGGCTGCAATGAGCTGAGATTGTGCCACTGCACTTCAGCCTCTGCGACAGAGCGAGACTCCATCTCAAAAAAAAAAAAAGAAAGGAAAGGAAAAGAAAAGAAAGGAAGAAAGGAAGGAAGGAAGAAAGAAGGAAAGAAAGAAAAAAGAAAGAAAGAGAAAGAAAAATCTGCTAGAATTTCTTCATCTTTGAAAATAAGTCTATTGGGAGAAAGTAAACACAATGAGTCTTGATGTAAATGAGATTATAGGGAGAGGGTTACTTGTTATAATGCTGGCATGTATTTCACAACTTCTGAGTAAATAAACTTGTTTTCAGGTAATCACCATTGCAAAAATAAACATTTCCTAAGACACACCTGTGTATATCCTCAGGATTTAGGGGTTACATTTAAAAGATGGTAGCACCTTTGAAATTATTATGTCTCAGAGGAACTGCTTTTAAACAAGCTAGCCAGAATACGATTCATAATTATATGGTTGTAAAGTAAATATGACTCTGCTAAAAATGGACTTTCATCTCCATCCATTTTAATATTTGTATATTTGTTAATAGAATCCTCAGAGCAAATATAAGTAATCTTTAGATATAACCCTTTCTTAGCAGC
Source organism: Homo sapiens (assembly GCF_000001405.40). NCBI lineage: Eukaryota > Metazoa > Chordata > Mammalia > Primates > Hominidae > Homo > Homo sapiens. Next base: position 25,393,007 of record NC_000016.10, read on the forward strand.
ATATTATAGCTAACTCAGTGCCTTCTCTTCTGTGCATGCCAGCAGTCTTGCCTTTCCTTTGAAACTCCCTCATCTAATTGTCAATTAAGGCTTAGAGGCTCTTGGTGCCAGCTTAGAACATTTAGCCTATCAGCTGTAATTTTTAATCCTGATTTGTGTCTCTCATACTTATTGGCCAATTTTTCCTTACAATGACATTAACTTGTATCAATCCTAGTTTATGGAGTATATTGTGAGTTTTCAAATTTTACTGAGAAGTTTAGATTGGGCTGCTGATTTTAATCCAGAAGTCTTTAGTATGAACATTTTGTACTCTTTTGCCCATATTACTCCATATTTCTGGAATATCTCACATTTCCAGAATGATTGAGCCAATTTATACTGCTACAGATAGTTTATGAGAGAGTTTTACACCTTCCTATACTGAATATTTGCCAGTTTAACAGACCTTGGTCATTACTAATTTTCTGGAGAATCAATTACTCAATTAGTACTTTGGGTCTAGAAGTGAAAGATGATTATATGTCCCTAAAATGTCTTTAATTATTAGTATCACTTAATATTTGTACTTATTTACATTTTTTCTTATATCAATTGCCTATTCACGATCTTTGCTTTTTTTCATTTTAGAATTAGGATTTTTAAAAAATGACTTTAAAAAGCTCTTTTTATAGTAAGAATAGTAATCTAATTTATTTCATGGTGATTCTAAGCTTTACGGATTTCTTTTATAAGTCTTTGAAATAGTTTGTATAACATGAGTGTATTAGTCAAGGTTCAGCAAGGAAGCAGAACCAATAAGATATACATATTTTTATATATATAGATGTAGATAGATATAAATGTATAAGAAGATACTTATTATGGGATCTGGCTCGTGTGATTATGAAGGATGAGAAGTTCCATGATGTGCCATCTGCAAGCTGGAGACTCAGGAGAAAGCCAGTGATGTAATTCAGTCCAAATCCGAAGGCCTGAGATCCAGAAACTCCAGTATCCAAGAGCAGGAGATGAATGTCCCCACTTGAAGACAGAGAGAATTTGCCCTTCCTCTGACTTTTTGTTCTATTTAGGTCCTTCCACACTGATGATGGATTTTTTTTTTTTTTTTTTTACTCAGTCTACTGATTAAAATGTGAATTTCCTCCCAAAACACACCAAAAACAATATCTGGGCATCACTTAGCCCAGTCAAGTTGAAACATAAAATTAACCATCACGATGGGCAACTCAAAAGTAAAAATTATTCCACATCTTCTCCATTGTGGCTAATCTGCTGGCTCTAACCCTTATTTTATACAGAGACCAGGTAGAAATTTTAATTCAGTGTGGTGTTGCGGAAAAAGCTTGAAGTTTGGAGTTTAAAAAAATCCTGCATTTACTTCATAGCTCCACCACTTTCTGTTTTGAGTAAGATATTTAAGTCTCACAGTATCAGTTTTCTTAGATACAAGCTAAAAATAATGCCAGTGGCTGCAATGCTGGATTATTGGATCAAATTATATAAACCACATGAAAATGCTTCATAACTTGCTCTGAATCTAATTCTTGATGGTCAGTCCTTCTGAGCTTCACTTTCAGCTGCCAGGATTCACAACACAATTGACTTGGATGAAAGTTAAAGAAGTAGACAAATTATTTTGAAATGAGCAGAAATTTCAGTAGTTTCTTTGTGAGCAGTGACAGAAAGGCATTTCTCATTTTTATAAAAATAATAATCTTGTAAGTTAAATGGCTAAAGAAAAGGATGGCAGTCTGAGGATTTACTCAGTACTGTGAAATTGGCCCAGCAGAGGAGATTCAGTCAGTGACAGTGGGCAGAAATATTACTTTCACTTCTCAGACAACACTAACTTGTCACTAATGACGCCTATACTTCATTATTACTAATGTCCAAAGAGAGTCATGTCGAATAGGGTTTAGTCCCTCTCTTGATTCATCCCTATGAAACACTTCAGAGAAAAACTGATTCCTGACCAATGAAACATAAAATGAAAACCCTCTACATTTATTCTAAAGTCAGCATGGATTAGTGGAAATGAACACTAAATTATGTCAAGAAACTTAAGAATATAAGATGTCTCCCTCCGTCTTTTTTTTTTCTTTTTTTTTGAGATGGAGTCTTGCTCTTTCACCCAGGCTGGAGTGCAGTGGTGTGATCTTGGCTCACTGCAACCTCCGCCACCTAGGTTCAAGCAATTCTCCTGCCCCAGCCTCCTGAGTAGCTGTGACTCAGGCACATGCCACCACCCCCAGCTAATTTTTGTATTTTTAGTAGAGACAGGTTTTGCCATGTTGACCAGGCTGGTCTTGAACTCCTGACCTAAAGTAATACACCTGCCTCAGCCTCCCAAAGTGCTGGGATTACAGGAGTGAGCCACTGCATCTGGCCTAAGAGGTCTCCTTTTTAAAGAGCATTTTAGTTCATCATTTAATCTTTCTGAGCCTTAGTTTTCTAATCTTTCCCAATAACTTTATAGATATGCCATGCTAATTGGATAAGAACATGTATTCAAAAGCTCTTTGCAAGCTGTAATCATGTCATAAATGTAACCACAATAAACATAACTTTAAACATAAAGAATATTATTATCTGGATAGGTAATGGCAGAACAGTAATTGAGAGAAGTTTAAGAAAATGGAAAAGGAATGTTCTCTGTGTATTAAGACTTTCCACCAGCTTTGCTCCTGTAATTTAGGTATGCTTCCATCAGGTGGTGATAGTGGGCTATGCTCATTTGATCTGAGTAGCAGGGTAGATCTGGTAGAGGAGCCAACCTTATAATTCACTGTGAATCCTAACTTGGTATCCAGACCTCCAGGACTAACTCAGATTTCCATCAAACAGGCAAGATTGTCACCAAAGCCTCCAAATAACCCCCTTTCCAGGTTTTTTTCTTTCCCCTCAGCTGTATCTCAGCCTTGAGCGCACTTGAGATTTTCCTTCACATTTTCACTATCTGTCTTTCCTTCTTAACCTCTTTTCAGAGACCACGCAATCAAACCTTTCAGGAAAAAGAAAAATAGAAGAGCCACTGCTTACATAGAAAACAGCATTTCCTCCTCCCTACAGTGTCAAAAGCATTATTTCTTCTCTTTTACCCATCTGAAGAAAAGTTTCCCCTTTACTTTACTTGCCTCAGTCTTTTTCACTACTCCAGTCACCTTTCCCAGCAAACTTAGTATTCATAGAAGAGACTGTTCATACAGTAAATATTTCAGTGATAGTTTCTTTTAGCAGTAGACTTTGGTTACACTCTTCCAGGAAGATTTATTTGGAAATACATTCCTTAAAGGATTACAATCACTTTGGGGACATTTATAGCTGAATTAAACATACACTTTATAAAAAGTCATGTCAAAAACTGCAATTACTTTTGCACCGACTGAATAATTTCTGCATCACTTAGTAGGACTGAGTTCGGTTGCCTGTATTAGGAAACTAAAATTAAAACTGATTTAAAAAGAGAAGTTTGTATATATATATATATATATTTTTTATTATACTTTAAGTTCTAGGGTACATGTGTACAACGTGCAGGTTTGTTACATATGTATACATGTGCCATGTTGGTGTGCTGCACCCATTAACTCATCATTTAACATTAGGTATATCTCCTAATGCTATCCCTCCCCCCTACCCCCACCCCACAACAGGCCCCGGTGTGTGATGTTCCCCTTCCTGTGTCCAAGTGTTCTCATTGTTCATTTCCCACCTATGAGTGAGAACATGCGGTATTTGGTTTTTTGTCCTTGCAATAGTTTGCTGAGAATGATGGTTTCAAAAAAAAAAAAAAAGAGAAGTTTATTTCTCTTCAATGTAAAACAAAGTCTGGAGGAAGCCTCTCAAGTCTATAAAGTCAACTTCATGATTGACCCAGCTCCTTGTATCTTTCTGGTAATATAAGCCATTGGCTTTTAGCATCAAGGCCACTTCATGGTCAAAGATGCCTGCTGGGTCTCTAATCGTCATGCCTGTATTTGAGGCAGGAAGATGGAGGAAGAAAGGAAGGGAAAGGAGGCAGATGTCTCAGCTGAAGTAACTTCTTTTACAAAGCTTTCTTGGAAGCTCAACCCAACATTTCCATCTACATTTCATTGACTAGAACATAATCATATGGCCACATGTAGCCTCAAGGAAGGTGGGGCAGAGTAGTTTTTTATAAATGCACTGCTACCTCAAATAAAATCAGATTTCATTGTTAGTGAAGGAGGGAAAAATAGACAATTTTTGGCAACTGGCAATCTCTGCTGTAGTTCTTTTTTTCTTTTTCTTTTCTTTTCTTTTTTCTTTCTTTCTTTTTTTTTTTTTTTTTTTTTTTTGAGACAGGGTCTCACTCTGTTGCCCAGGCTAGAGTGCAGTGGTGCAATTTTGGCTCACTCCCAGGCTCAAGTGATCCTCCCACTTCAGCCTCCTGAGTAGCTGGAACTACAGGTGTGCACCGCCATACCTGGCAAATTTTTTATTTTTTAATTTTTTGTCTCACTATGTTGTCTAGGCTGGTCTCGAGCTCCTGGGCTCAAGCAATCTTCCTGCCTTGGCCTCCCAAAGTGCTGAGATTACAGGTGTGAGCTACTGCACCCGGCCGCTACCTCAGTTGTATACCACATCCCTTGATGTAGTGTTTTTAAGCTAAATAAGTCTTCTAGTCATCTTTTTTAGCTGATTCTATTTCACATTTCTCCCTGAGTGTTCCTCCCTTAGAGAACATTCTGTAAGTTTTCCAGATGTAGGAGGGACAGTAATGTGATTGGTCAAAGTTTAGGTCTTTGCTGGTGGATAGACTCATTGTACATTAAACTACCAATGTATGATTATGGTACTCTCCTTCTTCCTGTCTTCCTGCATCTGAGAGAGAAGCTGATCCAAGGGTCTGAATCGTTTTCATTTCCTTGATTTTCTTACCTTATATATGGGGATAAAATAGATAAAATTGCCCAAGGAGAAAAGGAGAAGAGGACATCAATGTTTAAAGAATAGGCTGAGGAAGATCATATACCAAAGTACAAAAGATGGAGAAATATCAGTGATATGGTTTGGCTGTGTCCCCACCCAAATCTCATCTTGAATTGTAGTTCCCACAATTCCTATGTGTCATGGGAGGGCCCTGGTGGGAGGTAACTGAGTCATGGGAGTGGGTCTTTCCCATGCTGTTCTGGTGAAAGTGAATACGTGTCATGAGATCTAATGGTTTTATAAGGGGGAGTTTCCCTGCACAAGCTCTCTGTTGCCTGCTGCCATATAAGATGTCCTTTGCTCTTCTACCATGATTGTGAGGCCTCCAGCCATGTGGAACTGTGAGTCCATTAAATCTCTTTCCTTTATAAATTACCCAATCTTGGCTATGTCTTTATCAGCAGTGTGAAAATGGGCTAATACAATCAGCTTCCTCTAATCCAGTATATAAAATCAAGAATTTAGAACCTGTGAGATTTGCCATAGGACATCATGAAATCTGGTTAATGGCCTTTTGGAATGCTATGAGTGACATAAACACTCTTATGACAAAGGTCAAAGTTTGCACACTGTCTCTGCACCACTTCCACTATTCTGTCATCAGGTGGACACTGTGCTGTTTTGGGAAGGGAGCTTTGGAAGTTGCTGTGATTTTGGCAGTAATGAAGTATTTTTGATAGCTTTCCTCTGGTGCAGGTTTGCTCCAGGATTTTATCTGTCTTCTGTGTTATGGGGCCCACCGTGGCCAATATAATCTTCTAAGATTCTGTTGCCATGAGTTCTCTGTCTGAGTTATGCTGTCCTGGGATTCCAGTGATCATGGACAAAGTGTATGTTTAATAGTGTAACATGTCTAAATTGGTTGTCCACTGAAACTAAAATTCAACATCCCAACACAAAATCATTTATTCCAAGTGTATCTCTCCTTTTGTTTTCTTTCTTTCTTCATGTCAATGAAGATCAAAGCCTTACTATTATATTCAATGCCTTTCCCTCACCCTGTTGACCCAAGCTGCATCTCATCAGCTGCCTACTGAACCCTTTCAATATCTCGGTATTTATTCCTGCATCTCCATTCCTTCTTCTACTACCCTAGACTAGGTTTTCATAATTCTCACCTAGGTTAATGTGGCAGCTACTTAGGTAGTGGTAGCCTGGGATGGAAAAAAGCTGATTATTTTGGTGAGCATGTCAGTGACAGAAAAATTTATATTACAGAAGGGCAGGAAGGTAATGATAAAACCTAGGGCTTCAGGGGTTTTCTCAAGTATTGGAATAAATCACAGTATATGTGCCACCAGTGCAGATCATTTCAGGTAATAGAGAATCACAAAGTAAGAAAGCATATATATATATATATATATATATATATATATATAAATCTCTTTTTAATTTTTTTAAAATCAATGTAATTCCTGTAAATAATTTAATTGTGCAATCCTGCAAACATTTTAACAAAGATCAGCAGTCACTGACCACCTCTACCTGACCTTTGAATCCAGTTCCCAAGAGGCAACCATTTTCAACACTCAGCTTTTCTGATATTTATCCTCATATTTGTAAATCATATACTTATTTTGCCATTTCTTGATTTAAATAAATTTCTAATTAAAAAAGTTCTTTGACCTCCTACTATGGGACATGAGAATTAGCTTTTTTAATATTACTCCAATCCCCACCCCATTGCATTCTTCTTCCTCTTCCGTCAGTCTCTCAATACAGTTATATCACAATTTTAAGTTAAATAGTTTTACATTATTATGATTATGAAAATACTGTTCTCAGATGAACCATAAGGTGTCCTATGACCATAGCTCCTTTCTTTTTATTTTTCCAGGAGTTAATAATTGCCTCTTTTTTTGTTGGTTGGCTTATTTTTCTATATATGTATTGATTCCCAAATTATCCAATAAAACTCTCAAAACTCAGTGTCATCAACTGTGTTAGATGAGTTTTCAGATTCATGTGTGTGTGTGTGCATGTGTGTGTCCCCAGGAATTCTCCATCTCCTGCTCCAGTTTTGAGTGTCACTCCTTGGGCCATCTATACAGATGTTATCCTGGAACTTCACCCTGCAAACTTTCTTGCCCTGTTCTTTTGATCATGTGTTTCCTGGGCTTTATGTCTTTGTTTTCCTTGTTATTACCTTTAGTGGCTTCTGCGATAATGTGAGGGGAAGCTAAGTGTTTTGTGACCCTGAATATCTACAACTGACTTTATTATGCTCTCACAAATAACTTTCTAGTTTGGCTAGAAACTTGGAGTTGGAAATTATTTATCCTCAGACTTTTTTTTTTTTTTTTGACAGAGTCTCACTCTGTTGCCCAGGCTGGAGTGCAGTGGTGTGATTTCAGCTCACTGCAACCTCTGCCTCCCTGGTTCAAGCAATTCTCCTGCCTCAGCCTCCCGAGTAGCTGGGATTACAGGCACCCATCACCACGCCCAGCTAACGTTTTGTATTTTAGTAGAGATGGGGTTTCACCATGTTGCCCAGGCTGGTCTCAAACTCTTGAACTCAGGCAATCCCCACCCAACTCAGCCTTCCAAAGTGCTAGGATTACAGGCATGAGCCACAGCACCTGGTGGAGACGGGGTTTCATCATGTTGGCCAGGCCGGTCTTACTGCTGACCTCAAGTGATCGCCCACCTCGGCATTCCAAAGTGCTGGGATTACAGTCATGAGCCACCATACCTGGCCTTTTTTATTCATTATTCTGAAATACCATCAAAACCTGCTTTGGTATGGGTCTTCATTCATGGTGATGGGTCCTAAGAGGGTAATTCTAAAAAACTCAAGTCCTTCAATTATTGGGAAATTTATTTATTTATTTATTAGTAATATCCTGCCTCATGTTTCTTCTATCTGGAAATGCTTTCAGGTGAAATATGCATTTTTTTCCCTACATTGATATGTACCAATGCCAACAGCATACAGATACATGCTTTATACTTCTCAAGATCCCAAGAAAGTATCAGAAGGGCTCTGAGATAAATCATGGAGCACACACTGAGCAATGTGCATTGGGATAGCTGGATTTGGTAGGGAATTTTAAAAGCTGACAAACCCCATAGTTCTCAGGGAAGTCTTCCACCCATCTACCTCTCTGACTTGGACTTGTTTATACTCTGGAGACACATATTATTAGACAATGGTCAATCAGAGCTCATCCAGCAGGTTAGCTCTCAATGGATAGGACCTTGTTAGATGTGGTGATGACATTTGGATTTCTGCAGTCATTACTGTTGTGCCTCTGAGTTTCTCATATGTGTGACTCCACCTGAAATGAGTTTCCCAGTTGAGCTTATCCTCCAGCATCACTCTATAAAAATCCACTTAAACTCCTGACTCAGGATCCTCCTCTAGGACTTCAACTATAGGGTCCTGGTTTCCAGAGGGCATGCATATTCAAACCTTGAGAACTGACCAGGCCCCAACACATAGAAGAAATGCATGAGGCTCAGAGTCAGTGGGTGACTGTTTTCCCGTTGCCTTGACCCTGGGGTAGGATGGGTCACATTCTGGAGTAGGTGAAAGCATAACATCTCCTTTCTCACACTCCTGCAAGGGAAGCCTCTTAGGGAAAGTTGGGGATGGGTCAATCTTATTGGAATCAATTTCCCACCCCTTTTAGACTTTGTGTTAGTTAGAAGTCATGAATTTCTTTCCAGGGATAAAATGCAGCTTGCAAATGTATTTTGTTTGGCTTGTATAATGTTCAAAACAGTTGGCAACATTTTAAAATGGGAAACTTCACACACAAATTTGGATTCCTAGCCTTGTTTCTGCATGGCAACAATTAGTTAGGGTTCAGTAGTGGCTGTCCCCCTTTGCGTGAGGCACGTGGTCTCCAGCTGGCCCACTTCACTCTTTTAGATTACTGCCTGCATTCTATGGGCATTTGAGCTTGTGTTCCTACGTCCTTGCTTTAACCTATCATAACATGTGTACAGCAAATCACTGAAACTGAGTCTGGGCTATCCCAAAGATTTTGCAGCTGTGTCCAGGCTTTTCTGCATAGTCTCTGACTCTTTCCTATCCTTGACTTTATCTGTGGTTTGTAGGTTTGCTCTAGCTCTGTGGGTGGGGCATTCACACCTGGTATCTCTGTATTGACTTCCAGTTCTCTCTAAATTTACTGGCCTTCATAAACACCCAGGGTCTTCTCACTCCAAGCCACCTTCAGTAGGTAAAGTATTCTGTCTGAGTTTAGCTCCTCCGGACATAACATTTTGTATTGGTCTGTTAGGTTGGCATCCAGTTTGGGTCTGCTTTGGTTCATCAGAAAGGGAAATTCAGGCAAGAAATCTATTAAAGGAGAACCCATGTAAATCCAGGACCCTATCGTCGATATCCCGGGGGAAGATCCTGAGCTAGGAGTTCAAGTGGTTTCTGATAGAGTGACCCTGGAGGCTGAGCTCACCTGGGAAGCTCATCTCAGGTGGGGTCACACATGTGGCTTTTATAAGGATTGGCCAGAGGGGCCCAGTGGAGATAGGAGTGTGGCAAAAAAGGAGTTGGGTGACAAATTAGACTCTAACTGGACCCAGAAAAGAAAAAGGGCTTTGTCTGCTGATAAGGTTGAAGGTTAGGGTCTTGTCCAGGAAGGCCAGCTCCCGCCAAATTCTGAGTGAAGCTAGTTGTTAGCATTGTGTGGCAGCCCAGGTCTTCAAGGGATAATACTATCACAGGCCCTTTTGTGTTTTGGAGTGTCTGATTTTCATAGAAAATCGTCATATATTTATGTAGAAGCAGATTGGCAAGTATCTTCGATATCTGGCCTAATCCTATACATTTCACAGTATAGTCGTAGCGTAATTTGTAAAACTAATTCATGTGTATTATAATTCTATAAAAGTTAAAAGCCCCCACCCAATGATAACTACATTACCATTTTTATATTCCTCACAGTATGCTTTCTATGCAAATAAGCATTGATTTGTTTTATTTGATTATTTTACAAAAGAGAAATCATACTGTATTTAGGTTTGTATTTTGCTCTTATTCTGATAGTATGCGAGCATTTGTCCAAGTTATCAAATATTTTTAAAAATATGTCTTAATGCCTGCATATTTTGTCACTTGGATCTAAAGTAACATGTTTAATCACATCCTCATTGTTAGATGTTTAGATTATTTTTGTTTTTTTCACTAATAAAAATAATTCTGGGATGAGAATCCTTCTATCACTTTTTTTTTTTTTTTTTTTTTTTTTTTTTTTTTTTTTTAAGACACAGAGTCTTGCTCTGTTTCACAGACTGGAGTGCAGTGGTTCAAACATACCTCATTGCAGCCTCTGCTTTCTGGGCTCAAGAGATCCTCCCACTTCGGCCTCCTGAATAGCTGGGACTACAGCAAATGCTACCATGTGCAGCTAATAATTAAATTTTATTGTGGAGAAGGGAGCCTGTTGTGTTGCTCAGGCTGGTCTTGAACTCATGGCCTCAAGCAATCCTCCTCCCTTGGACTCCCAAAACCTTGGGATTACAGGCGTGAGCCACTGTGCCCAGCCTATCATAAATCTTTGATACTCTCTGAAAGTTACTTTAGGTTAAGTTCTTAGGAAAGTAACCAGGGAACTCTTACGGGGGTTAAGAACTTTTTCAGTTTATTTGCTTAGATTTTCCAGGTGGATAATCACGTATGCGAATAATGAGAGATGTTACCACTTGCTTTTCAATAATTATACCCTTTATTTATTTATATTTCTTGTCTTATTGCATTGGCCAGACATTTCAAAGCAATTTAAAATAATTAGGTCATTGTGGGTATCCTTATTTTGTTTCCGATTTTTAATGGAAAAGCTTTGTGTTATACTGCCACATTGCATATGCTTATATTTTATTTAGGGATTTTGCATTTATATTCATAGATAAAATTGGTCTGTAGTTTTCTTTGTCAGGTTTTGTAATAGGGTTATGCTAGCTTTCTGAAATATAATAGGTTTCTCTTCTGCACAGACATTTTCTGTGTCAGGAGGAGATAGCAATTTCCAACAGGCAAACATGCTGGATATTTGACAGGCCAGTTGGGTTGTTTTCTTTCAAAGATGCAGACAGAAGATCCATAATTGAATTCCCACACTCAGCTCAAACTGGTTATCCTGTCAGGGAGCTGGCATGTAAAATGATGTGCAATTGCTTCAATTACAAGAATTGAAGCATTTAGACAATTCTCCCTCTTCTGTTTGAGATGCAGGCTCTGCCTCTGAGTTTAAAGCTGTCAGGAGTCCAATTTAGTCACTTTCAGACTCCAGGAGTTTTCTGTGGGCCATCGCTGGTCCTGTTTCTGCAACAGTGCTAATGCATCAACTGTCATCCCTGTGTAGAGACCTTGCTCCCCATCATACACTTTTGTGCCAGCCCCTTTGCTAGGAGACTTGACACTGTGTTGGTGGGAAAGATGCTTGACAGTCAAACTCATCTTGTTGCAGGATCTGGAGAGTTGACCCTTAGTGCTCCTCTCTGGTGGCTCTCCAAATTCCAGGTCAGATCCGGCAGGGCTGAGCTCTACTGATTTGCTCAGTGCAGGTATTAGGTCAGCAGTAGAGATGCAGAATGTGACCAGTTTAACGATCAGTTTGCCCATGATTGTTAAGGCTTTGTCCTACGTATCTCAGGAATCCATCCTTTCCCCCGTCCATCCTCGCTGCTCTTACCAGGATTGTCGCAAATAACACCACAATTGGTCTTAACTGTTTCTAGTCTTTCCCTTGATCCAGTGTCTCCATCCTCAGGCCTGCCACATGATGTTTCTCAATTATCAGTGAGCCAACTAATAACCTGATTTGATTAACTCTTCAAAATCTCTCTATGGGCTGGGTGCAGTGGCTCACACCAGTAATCCCAGCACTTTGAGAGGCCGAGGTGGGCGGATCACCTGAGGTCAGGAGTTTGAGACTAGCCTGGCCAACATGGCCAACCTTGTCTCTACTAAAAATACAAAAATTAACCAGGTGTAGTGGCAGGTGCCTGTGATCCCAGCTACTCGGGAGGCTGAGACAGGAGAATCGCTTGAACCTTGGAGGCAGAGGTTGCAGTAAGCCAAGATCGTGACATTGCACTCCAGCCTGGGTGACAAGAGTGAAACTCTGTCTAAAAAAAAAAAATCTCTATGATTCCCTAGGGGATTTCAGATAAAGTTGAAACTGTTTGGCATGGCTTATAAAGCAAATCTGAAGTACCCTTGTCTTTTCTTCTCAGGCCTGACTTTCTTCTTTTGCCCTTTATGTAGTTCAGCTTCACAGTGATTCTATTTATTCCATGCACCATTCTCTCTCCATGCTTTCCTCTGTCTGAACAGCTACTATCTGGTTAACATCTGCAGTTAACCCTCGAACAATGCAGGGGTTAGAGGTGCCAACCCCCATGCAATAAAAAAATCTGCACATAACTTTCGGCTCTGCAAAACTTTAACTACTAATAGGCTACTATTGATGGGAACCCTTACTAATAACATAAACCATCAATTAACACCTGTTTTTTTATGTTATATGCATTGCATACTGTATTCTTACAATAAAGTAAGCTAGGGGAAAGAAAATGTTATTAAGAAAATCACAAGGAAGAGAAAATATATTTGCTATTTATTAAGTGGAAGTGGATCATCATAAAGTTTTCCATTCTCATCATCTTCAGGTTTAAGAACTTCCTCGAAAGTAACATTCAGAGAAACAAAGATGTGTGATAGGCTGGGCATAGTGGCTCATGCCTGTAATCCCAGGGTTTTGGGAGGCCAAGGGAGGAGGATTGCTTGAGGCCATGAGTTCAAGACCAGCCTAAGCAACACAGCAAGATCCCTTCTCCACAATAAAATTTAATTATTAGTAGGCTGAGGAGGAGGAGGAAGTGGAGGGGTTGGTTTTGCTGTCTCGGGGAGGCGGAAGGGGAAGAGGTGGAGGAGGCAGAAAGGGAGCCAGGAGAGGCAGGCACACTCAGTGCCACTTTTATTGAAAAAAATTTGCACATAAGTGGCCCCTTGCAGTTCAGATCAGTATTGTTCAAAGATAAAATGTACTTATCATTCTAATCTCAACTCAAACGTCATTTTCCATAGATGTTTCTTGACCTCTCCAGGGTGAGTTGGTGACTTCTTTTTTTTAAGCTTTATTTTAGGTTTGAGGATACTGTGCAGGTTTGTTGTACAGGTAAACTTGTTTCATGGGGGTTTGTTGTACAGATTATTTCAGCACCCAGATATTAAGCCTAGTACTCAACAGTTATTTTTCCTGCTCCTCTCCCTCCTCCCAACCTCCACCCTTAAGTCTGTTGTTCACTTCTTTGTGTTCATGAGTTCTCATCATTTAGCTCCCACTTATAAGTGAGAACAGGAAGCATTTGGTTTTCTGTTCCTGTGTTAGTGACTCTCATTTTCTCTTCACAGCACCTGTATCATAAGCACATTTAATAATGCTTTGCATTCTGGTGCTTCCCTGGACATCTTAGAGGCAGAGAGGAAAAAGAGACGTGTCTGCTGTTTTCCCAACATGTAGCATATTTATCTGCATACAGTAGGTGCTCAATAAATACCTATTACATTAACAAATGGTAGTATTGCCTCTTAGGGAGGTCTTTTCAGTCACTCATTAGTAACTTGATTTTTTAACTGGGAGGGTGACCCCTGAGTGAGAAGAAAATTGAACTCAACTTCCACTTTTGAATCTGAGGGATAACTTTGTAGATGTTGGAACAATGAATGAATGAATGAATGAAAAGGTAGTGTATAATGTGTTCAATGCCCGACACAGTGCAATAGAAATTATTCTTCATTTGAAACCAAAAGACTGGGTTGCATCCCCAAACCTTTACTTACTACTTGTGTGATTTTGAGTAAGTGTTATTTTTCTCTAACATCTCAATGTCATAACCTAAAACAGGGGTCCATAATTCTTGCCTTATAGGTTTACCGAAATAATGTATTTAAACACAATGTGTAAATCATTAATCATGATACAAAAGTGAGATGTTAGTACAGTAAGGCAGCATGGTATGATAATTCTCGCTATCATTTGTTGAGTGCTTGCTGTGTTCAAGAACTTAACTTGCATTATTTTATCTTGCTGATCATCTTGGTTAAAATATGTCTTTTTTTTTTAACCTATGTGGTAATTGAGCCTTTGAGAGGTTGAGTAACTCATCCCAGGTCACGTGGCTCATAAATGGCTGAGCCAAGTGTCAAATCCATACTGGAATGGTGGAAAGATGGCAGGAGTTGGTCCCAGAATACTTAGGTGCAAGTCTTGGTACCTTTATTTACTAGTTCTGTGATTTGGAGGCATATCTCTTAGGTCCCTAAGCCTCGATTTTCCAATCTGTCAAGAGGGGATCAAATATTTACCTCATAGGGTTGTTGTGAGGGTTAAAAAGGGTTTTGCAATTTATTGGACCATACTTTATAGCTCTGTCTCACCATATATCATTTTCTCTAAAGCCCAATAGAAAAAACAATCATCTCAGTACTAATAATTTTGGTTCCCTCCTAGTTTCTTAGCTTCTTCTCTGTTTTTGTTGTTTGTGTTTTGAGACAGGGTCTTACCCTGTTGCCCAGGCTGGAGTCCAGTGGCACGATGACAGCTTGCTAGAGCCTCGAGTTCCCCAGGCTCAGATGATCCTCCCACCTCACCCTCCTGAGTAGCTGGGACCACAGGTGTGTGCCACCACACCCAGCTAATTTTTGTATGTTTTGTAGACATAGGGTTTCACCATGTGGCCCAGGCTGGTCTCAAACTCCGGGACTCAAGTGATCGCCTGCCTTGGCCTTCCAAAGTGCGGAGATTATAGGCATGAGCCACCTTGTCCCACCTCTTCTGTGTTTTGGAGAAGACCAGAGATTATCATAGTGTAAGAGCATGGACTTGTTCTACGATAGGCCCAGGTCCAAGTACTGGTTCTGCCACTTACAGGCTTAGGGAAATTATTTAACCACTTTAAGCCTGTTTGCTTACTCCCCAAATGGGGCCAATAACAAGTCCTATGTCCTAGAATTATTTGTGAGGACCAGATGAGATACTGTGTGTAAATCCTTCATCAGTCCTTGTTACATCAGAGAGATTTAACAAATGATACCAAAGGCAATACCTAGATAAGAAATAATAGCACATTCTACATTACACACATTCGAAAGCACTTTAATATGAACTAAGTCAATTTTATTCTCAAATTAGCCCTTGACATTGATATTATTAGTTTCCCATTTTACAAATGAGGAAACCATTGCTCATATAATTTTAGTAATTTCTCCAGAGTCACCCCACCAGGGCCCATTCGCGCCTAGGATTTCTTACTTTGGGAGCGGTACTTCATCTACATTGGCAGAGTGATAGAGGCCAAGGAGAATTTAGAGGCTCCAAGGGAAAACGGTAGGAATAAGTGAGGTTCACCTGCAGTCTCCAAGAAACAGCTCAGAGGTCAGAGCTTCTGAAAAAGTTCAGGGCAGTGAGCTAGCTGGGGAATATTAGTTTCTTGAGCATGCTGAGAAAGTTATTGAACCAGTGAAGCTGAGAGTACAATAGCTCTATTAAATGACCTCTCCTCTCCTCTCCTCTCACATTTGTGTGCTATGACCCAGAGACAGTTGAATGGCTGGGATGGTTCCATGAGTGTCCATACGGCATTTTGCAGATACATACCTGGCCATCAACCCTGCTCCATAAATCCCCCAAACTGGGCTAGGTCATACTAGAAATGGAGGAATTTCAAGGATTGCTAAAAGGCTATTTGTACATTGTTCAAAGCCACTAGGTCGAGCTTCACATATGGATTTTCTAAGGCATTCTAAGGCAAACTCTGTTGCCTGAAAGAGGTCCTAAATCTCCCTTATATTATGTGTTTTTAAATATTATTTGATATCAACAATCAACAAAGTTGAAATCTTTTTATATATATATGGCAGCTCAGAGAGATTGCTACTTTCTCAGTGTCTGGCCACTACATAGTGGCAGAGCCGGCATTAACCTTCTGCCTGCAAATGCCCTCTCTCCACAGATGGAAGGGTAGGGGTTGAGTCTCTAAATCCATTTGTGATGGCACTGACAGGTGGCAGCACCTTGATCTTAAACGTCTAGCCTTAAGCGATTCTCCCTCTGCGGCCTCTCAAAGTGCTGGGATTGCAAGCCTGAACCACTGCATCCAGCCCTGGCAGTACCTTGAGACTCTCTACTTAGTGGCTGGAACTTTGGGCAAGCGAACGAATCCTCCAAAGCCTCATCAGTGAAATAGTGGTACCAGTTTCCTAGGTTTGTTTTAAGTATTAAGTGAGCAAATGCATCTCAGATGATCTTGATCACTTCGAATCCCACCGCCTGAGCTGCTGAACTAACAGTCAGGATTCAGACCAGGAAACCCATGCAGTCTGGCTTCAGAGCTCTTAATCACCAGGAGCATAATGTATGAGCAGGACTGGGAAGATTTACGCAGAGGATGGGCTGGAGAGTGGGCTTACAATGTGCATGACTTTCTAATACATCAATGGCAAACATTTATTGAGCTTTTGCTAAATGCCAAGCCCTGTTTTAAATACTTTACATGCAGTCACTTATTT
This sequence comes from Homo sapiens, assembly GCF_000001405.40. Taxonomy (NCBI): domain Eukaryota; kingdom Metazoa; phylum Chordata; class Mammalia; order Primates; family Hominidae; genus Homo; species Homo sapiens. Next base: position 25,409,499 of record NC_000016.10, read on the forward strand.
CACCTTCACAAAAATCCTAGGAGGTGGAAACGACAGTTAACCCTATTTTACAGATGAGGAACCTGAAGCAGGGGGGTGTTAAATGACTTGCCCAGAGTTACACAGTTGGTAAGTGGAGTTGAGCAATGTAGCTCAGGAGTCGCCTAGCTTAACCATTATACTAGGCAGCATATTTAATACTCATTAGAGAAGAGCTTCTCAAACTCTGCACTATCGACATCTTAGGCTGAGTAATTCTTCACTGTGTGGGGGCTGTCTTGGGAACTGGAGGATGTTTAGCAGCATCCCTAGCCTACACCCATTAGACGGCAGTAGCATCAGCACCATGCCGGTTAGAATAACCCAAAATGTCTCCAGATACTGTCAAATATTTGCGGGTGGTGCAAAATTGATTTGAAGCTTGGCTCAGCCATTTGCCACCTGTGTGACCTTGAATGAGTTGCTCAATACCTCTGGAGCTCAATCACTTCCTATGTAAAAGGGAGACACATTTTAGCCAGGATGATCAGGAGGATAATATAAAATGGTGCATTAAAGTTCTTGTATGTAGGAAGCGCTCATCTTGTTCGTAGGAATTATTATGCCATGCTGCTTAATGGAGTAACACTTCACTTTGTGTCATGACTGACACAATGTGCTTTCATAAATTATTTCAACAAACCTATGAGAAAAGCAGGGATTATAATCTCCCTTTTCGGATCATGACATTGAAAACTCCTGCATTAGAGAAATGAGAAGCACCAACCAGATAAACAACTTCTCCTGGCCAGGCATGGTGGCTCATGTCTGTAATCTTAGCACTTTGGGAGGCCAAGGCAGGTGGATCACTTGAGCCCAGGAGTTTGAGACCAGCCTGGGCAACATGGCAAAACCCCATCCCTAAAAAAAATTGAAAAAATTAGCTGGGTGTAGGGGTGTGCACTTGTAGTCCCAGCTATCTGGGAGACTGAGGTGGAGAATCGCTTGACCCGGGAGGTGGAAATTGCAGTGAGACAAGATCATGTCACTGCATTTCAGCCTGGGTGATGGAGTAAGACCCTGTCTCAAAAATAAAAATAAAAATAAAAAGCCAAAAAACAACAACAAGCAACCAAACAAAGAACACTTCTCCTTCCAAAGGAAGGAGTGAGCAAGGGGTGTTGAAAGAGAAGGAAATCATTTTCCTCAAACTGTTTACATTTGTAAAGTGAAACAGAAACCCTCTCTCATTTATGGAAATCGGAGCAATGTTTCTCACCCTCCAACAAAAACAGCATGACAAATTACATTTATTGAGTCTTTACTATGTACCAGGAGCTATGATTAACTTTTTTCCCCCATGCATTAAAGTATATACTCCTTATAAAGGTCCTGTAATTATCCGGGCAGTGGGTGGATTTCAGTAATGCCCCAGATTTGTTTGTGTCTCAGGTCCTTTGCATCTGGGTCTGCTCATGGCAAGTGCTCAATACATGTTAACTGGTGCTCATTTTCTTCTGTATTTGCATATACTTGATTGAAAGATCCAAGAGTTAGGTTAGAACTTAATGGCAAGGTGGAGATATCTTATTTTGGCACCATTTCTGGATCCCACCCTTGGAAGTCAGGCCCGCCCTCCGTACTTAGGTACTGACCTCAATTTTAACTCAGTATACTACATCGTAATGTAATTCTCTGTGTGCCTGTTTCTCTTCTGGACTGTTATGTTCCCTGTAGCTTTAAAATGCTATCTTTTTGCTTTTGTGTCTCCATTATCTAACACAGGATCTAGATAGTATAATACAGAGAGATAAGAAATATTTCTTAAATGAGGAGGCCTGTGTTCAAATCCACACCCTCTCTTTCCTTGTCACATGACATTGAGCAGGTTCACTTTTCTGAGACCAATTTTTTCAACTAGAAACTGAAGATAATCATGTCCATCTGATAGGGTTATTGTGAGAATGAAGCAAAATAAAACATGTAAAAGTCCTTGGAATATTGTAACCGTTGAAAGAATATTACGTTCCTTCTTTTCATGCTAACCCATCTGTGAATGGGGGATGAGGGCTAGGCTGTATGGAAGGCACAGGATCATTGGGCTGGTTCTTTTGTAATTCGACCCCAGATCTGCCTAATTTACATGTCTCTAGCCCTGCAAAAAAATGGCTTTAGTACCTGCTTTTCTCTTTTAGTTATATCAAGTATCAACCTTCCCCAGGTGGTGTCTGTACAATTAATGGCTACAGAATCGCTAGGGCTAGGGCAGGCTGGTTTTTCTTAGATTCTTTTTTGAGTTTGTAATCTTAGCTGTCATCCCTTTGGCTCTGAAGATTATTAAGCATTCCACGAGGAAAGCAGTCCTCTTTAAAATGGTTCGGAAGCAGCCATGATTGAGGAAAGCCACTTACCTTGCATTGCACTCCTGCCCCCTTGCCTGATATCCAGCCAATAGTCACCCATGACCTTGGCAAAGAGGAGGCAGCTTGCCTCGTTCCAAGCTCAATTATCAGGAGATAACCTCTGAAAGTTGGTTAAATAGGATTTCTCTTTCTTATTTCTTTCGGTTCTTTCTTTCTTTATTTTTTTTTAAGCACAGCAGAAAAAGGCTTTCCTGGAGACAGCAAGGACAAATATGAACAATGATAGAGGAAGGTTTTCAGTTTTGTTGGGGAGAGAGATTGTGCATCAACTTATAGCTGCACACCCTCCATCTCTTCAGAGAGAACTTCAAAAGCTTCACTCCAGAGATTTACTCAAAGACTGCATGGCCCGTTGGTTAGTGTATAATGTAACATTTGCTTTTATCCTTATAAATATTTTAACTCTTTTTTGCACTCTGGATCTCTTGTTTCAAAGCCAAATTTCTTTCACTTTGTTAGTAGAATTGCACCTTCTCCCCAACATCCAAGCAATTTTCCTTCTTCCGAGGCTTGTACTAAGGTAAAATGAGTCTTCCCCTCTCTGCCCTCCACAACCTCTTTCAACTGGGCAGCTCCCTGTGAACTTTCAGGTGATATTCAATCTTAGTTTATGTTTTTATTTCCCCCCAAATGCTCAGTTCTCAAGCCCCTTTTTTATTTGAGTAATATTTTCTTTTTTTCCTGCTGTGTTTCTACTTTCTTAGAAGTGTTAATTCAACAAACATTAACGCTTTCTCAGACACTGTACTAAGATATATATATATATATATATACCCAGACATATATGCACACACACAGAGATAAATATTCAGATATAGATATACAGATAAAAATATAGAGATAGAAATACTGTGGAAGGATTCATAGAGAAAAATTTAATAGAAACTTACTGAAGACTGAGTGAAGGGGCTCATGGAAGACTTCTTTGAGGAGGTGCCTTTGGAACTTTGTATTGATGTATGCATAGGAGATAGGTGTTAGCTGCCTGTATATATAGGAGAAAGACACTCAAAAGTAGAATACATAATATATGGTTATAGGAACTTACAAGAATATAGCATATAATACAGGGAGAGGGATGAGAATGTGGTATGCCTGAAAACTAGGATTTGTCAGAGAAAAGGTTGGTAAATGAAACTGGGAAGATAATCGGTGTTCATATTAGGAAAGTCTTTTCACACTGAACTAAAAAATTGAGCTCAAACTTTTCCCTGCAAATTACATGACACTACTGGAGGTATTTAAGCAAATGAGTACCTTATTCCAATATGTGTTTTGAGAAATTATTATGACTGTGAAGATCAGGCTAGTTCAATAAGAAGTTGGGGCATAATGTTCCTTACACTTTCAATTTGCCAAGTCCTGACCAAAATTTCTGGTAAGTTCTTGAAAATCAGCCAATGCAAAATCAATCAACCTGTGTCCTAGGAACCTAAAAATCAATGGCAGACTAAATGTCACATGGAAAGGTCAGCAACACACATACACAAAATGAAAGACTGAAACAAGCATACAATTTGAATACCAGGACCACAGGCCTTTATTTAAGAAAGGCTTGGCTTGAAATCCTGATTTGGTAGGGCCTGGCTTGAAAGCCCAAGATCTTTATGGACATGCTGTTATTTATATGTCACTTACTCTTATTTATGGTTACAATTAGGCCATAATGATCATTAATTAGAAAAAATGCTTTTACTGGCTCACGCCTGCAATCCCAGCACTTTGGGAGGCCAAGGTGGAGGATCACAAGGTCAGGAGATCGATACCATTCTGGCTAACATGGTGAAACCCTGTCTCTACTAAAAATACAAAAAATTAGCCGGGCGTGGTGGCGGGCACCTGTAGTCCCAGCTACTTGGGAGGCTGAGGCAGGAGAATGGCGCAAATCCAGGAGGCGGAACTTGCAGTGAGCCGAGATGGTGCCACTGCACTCCAGCCTGGGTGACAGAGCGAGACTCCATCTCAAAAAAAAAGAAAAAAAAAAGAAGAAAATGCTTTTACTTCTTTGTGTTCCAAAATATTGCTTTGAATTTAAGTACATATTGTTCAGGATTGTATCCTATCAGCCAGTACTTAGGTTGTTTATGGTAAAGTCTCCCTCACTTCTCCCAGGAAGAAATGATCACTCTTTCCTCTGTACACACATAGCACTTTAGGAATATGTATGTTACAGAATTTATCATGATGCATTGTGATTATATCTTCAAGAAGCATTATAATGCAGTGATTAAAAGCACATGTCTGGAACCAGAAAGTCTGGCTTTAAATCCTGGCTGTCATTTACTAGCTGTGCAAACTTGGGTAAGTTACTTAAGCTTTGTTTGACTCAGCTTCCTTATCTGCAAAATCAGAATAATGTTGCATGCCTCATAGGGTTGTTATGAGGAGAAAATGAGGTAATACGTGCAATGTGCTTAGAACAGAAACAATGATGTTGTAACCACTCATAAAAGTTGTCATTATTTTTTCAATTTTTATTGAATATTTTTGCTTTTTTAAAATAACATTTAAATTTTTTTTTGTAGTGACGGGGTCTCACTATGTTGCCCAGGCTGGTCTTGAACTCTTGGGCTCAAACGATCCTCCCAACTTGGCCTCCCAAGGTTCTGGGATCACAGGTGTGAGCCACTGTGCCTGGCCTATTATTTTTCTAATGATCTGGTTCCTCCAGTGTTTTCTGTTCTTTTTTGTGTCACAGTGTACATGAAAAATGATACAATTTGTGTAGCACATTGGGATAAATGAATGAGACTGCTTGTGTTTGAGATAACCAAGCTGAGGGGCTTGTCCCGAGTCAAGACCTTCCTGGCTGCCCTGATGGCTAAGGAGATTCAACTTGCAGTGCACCTGTCACTCATTCGTGGGAAACTGATCTGCCAGCCTGTGTTCATCAAAGGTGGAGATTACCATGCCTCTTTGTATCCTGTGTGCCCAGCACAATCTTTTTCACAGTGCAGGCACGTAATAAGTATTTGTTTCAATAAATAGATGAATGAATGGAGGGCAAGAAGGAAGACCTTACCTCTCTTTGTCCATCCAAAGTAATGTGTGGGAAAACAATGTTCACTAACTAGATAGTTTTATTTTCTATCCAAATAATGCATTTTGACATTCCAAAATGACTGCAGATTCTGCCAAATCACTTTGGGGAAACGGACAAAAAAAGGCGTCTTGAAAGATGAGTTGTCATGGAATACTTGGGGAGGCTGGCAGAGCTTCATACTTAAACCACCAGGAAATGCTTGATCATTCACAGGTTTCAGAATAAGTACTGCTGGGCAAAAATATTTATTCCTTAATCAATGGCCTATTAGTGGTACATACTTTTTATTTTCATTTTTACTTTGCTTTTAGAGATAGGGTTTTGCTCTGTCACCTAGGCTAGGGTTGGAGTAAAGTGGCATGATCATAGCTCACAGTAGCCACAAACTCATGGGCTCAAAATATCCTCCCACCTCAGCCTCCTGAGTACCTGAGACTAAAGGTGCGTGCCACCACGCCTGGCTAATTTTTTTTTCTGTAGAGATGGGGTCTTGCTATGTTTCCCCAGGCTGATCTTGAGCTCCTGGACTCAAGCAATCCTCCTGCTTCAGCCTCCCAGGTGTTGCGATTATGGATGTGAACCACTGCTCCAGGCATACTTTAAAATGGGGAGAGGGAAGTCTTTCTGTTCATCTGTGGCAAGAAGCCAACAGTAGGTCAAGACATTCTTGGAATGAAAGTCTTCATATGATCCATATCCTTAGAAAAGAAACCAAATTTTACTAACTGGCAGGCCTCACTTACAATTAAAAAGAGCTCATATAATTGAAATGGCCAAAAAAAATTTAAAAAGTAGGAGAAAATCTGTATCAGTGAGATGTCAAGGAAAAGTGCCATTCACATGCCAAAATAAAGACTTTCTACAAGATAGAACAATGGTTTCTAAAGTTTGTATCATGCTCATTTCACAGATTGAAAGCAACACACTTTTTTCAGTATTTAAAAATTTTTATTTATTTTAGTCATATAGAAAAATTACAAAAATTGTGCAAAGACACCTGTATATTCTTTATTCAGATTCATCTATTAAATTTTGCCACATTTGCTTCATCATTTGTGCTTTCACTTTCTATATATCCATCTATTCATCCATCTGCCTATCTATTCAATCATCTTTCTATCCATCAATTATATCTATCTATCCATCCATCCATCAATTATCTATCTATATCCATCCATCCATCCATCCATCAATTATCTATCTATATCCATCCATCCATCCATCCATCCTTCCATTCATCTATCAATTATTTCTAAGTTATCTTTCTATTCATCCATCCACCAATCTACGTATCCACTTATCTTTCCATCCATCTATTTATCAATTTTATCTATCATCTATCCATCCATCAATGATATCTATCTATCTATGTATCTATCTCCATCAATCCATCCATCCATCCATCCATCCATGTATCTACCCATCGATCTGTCAATTATATCTATCTATCTATCTTTCTATCTATATCTATCTATCTATCTTCTCTATGCCAGGATATACTCCAACATACTAATTATAATTATCTGATTATTCAGATTATGGGTGATTTTACTTGTACTATTTTGTTTAGATGCATTTTTTTTTACAAAAGTATATTTTACTTGGGTAATTTTAAAAGTTTAATTTGTTTTTGCCAAGCTTCTTGTCTGCTGATGAGGTTGGAGAGGGTAACCCAGCTAATGAGAATCCTGGGGTCAAGTGAGAGCATGTTTTAAACATTATAACTGCAGACACAATGTAACTTCTGGCAAGTTTACGGGGCTTGGTGGATTGCGGAAAGAGCAGAGGTAGAATCCAAGATAATGGTGGAAATGTCTGTTCCTATTTATCCTTGGTTGACTCAACCATTGGAGTTCTCCATTCCTTCATGAGGGCAGTAGCTTTACTATGTTCATGGTTTAAACCCCAGTGGGAGCCTCCATAATTCCCAGGAATCCATGTCCTTGTCCCTTGGCAATTCGGGCTCCTATTCTCACTAGTGGCCACTTCAACAGTTTACCTCATGCTTCACACTGTCTACCATTTTCTGATTTTTCCCTAAGGAAACCAAGATCTCTTGGGTTGGAGAGACTAACCTCATTCTTCTGCTAATGCCTTTAAGATGATTTGTGTCTAAATTTTCTTTCTTCCTTTCTGTTTCAGAGAAAGCAATGTAACTCCTCTTGTATAACAAGGATCCTGCAATCTGGGTTTTGGATCCCAGACCCTCTTGTCAATGATCATCTCTCCTTTATCTTCAATGTATCTTCTATTGGCTCTTTCTTCTAAATCTAAAACCATGCTCAAGTTTCTGCCATAGTGGAAAAAAACCCTAACTTTCCTAACCTTCCTGAGATAGCATCCTATATTTTCTCTATTTTCCCTTTTTGCTGCTTGAAAGAGTAGTCTACACTTCTTGCCACATTTCTCGCAATAAGGGCTTGTTGAATGCCCTGCAATCTGACTTCCCTGACTCCACAGAGATTGTTCTTGATGAGATCAGCAGTGAACTTCATGGAGCCAAATCCTATGGACAGTTTTCCATCCTTATCTTTTTGACATTTCTGGGGTATCTAACCCCCTGATTGCTCACCCCTTAAATTCTTATAATCTTTTTCTATCCATCCACCTATCCATTCATCTTCCATCTATCTACTTATCAATTCTATCTGTCTGTCTATCTATCTATCTATCTATCTATCATCTACCAATTCATCCATCTTTCCATCCATGTATCTATCACATCTATCTATCTATCTATCTATCTATCTATCTATCTATCTATCTATCTATCTATCTATATATATATATATCATCTATCTAATCCATCCATCCATCCATCCATCCATCCAGCCAGCCAGCCATCCATCCACCTACCTCTCCATCCATCCTTCCATCCATATAGCTATCAATTCTATCTCTCCATCTCCCTATCTCTCTATCCATTCATCCTCTCTATGCTGGGATATACTCCAATATACTAACCATAATTATATAGTTAGTATGGATTGCTTCCTACTTCTCTGTCCAACCCTCTTCCATGTTCTTCCTTGTTCTTCCTAGACTGTTCTTTAGACCCCCCAAGGCTCTGTTCAATACTACTTTGGTCTCAGTCTTTCCAGTCTTCCTGGCAATATCCATTCCATTCATGGTTCAGGTTCTCACCTATGCTGATGATTTTCACATCTCCAGCTTCTTTACTGGGCCTATGCCTTAGGATATCAATCAGCTTATGTGACTCAGACACAGCATGAGAGAGCTGGGCCTCTTTTCATGGCTCTTCTTCCAAACCACTTCCTCCTGGCACATTCTCTATTTAGTAAATGGCACCCCTTTCCCCAAGACACCCAGAAATGAAATCTAGCAGTTGATATGGACACTCAACACTATGGATCTCCCATATTTAATCAGTCACCAAGAATTACAATATCCGCTATTGAAACATTGCTTGTATCACCTTTATTCTCTCTAGCTTTACTGTCTTAGGTGAGATCAGCACCATCCCTTGTCTAGATAATTGTAGAAGCCTCCTGATGGGCTTCTTTGTCTTTAACATCTTCCCTCAACAATTTATCTTCCTCTCTGCTTCTAGACTACCGTAGAATCAAAATCTGACCATGTCATGTCATATTCCTTCAGTAGATTCACTTGGCTTCCAGAATTTAATTCCAAACAAAATGTTCTCCTATAACCTAGCTCTCATGCAGTTTTCCTGCCACATTCGTTATTATTCTCACAGAATACACCTTCATTCCCCCAACATACTTTTATCATGACTCTATGTCTTATTAAATTCTATACTCTTTGATGAGATGCCTTTCATCTCTTTTTTATTTCTCAGTACGATGTTACTTCCTCTGGCACAACTTTGCTACCCTCCCTCTAATTCAAAAGCTCCCTGCTCTGTGCCTATGCTCCAACTGTGCATTTGTTCATGGTCTTCCCCAGTAGACTGTATGTGTTTGAAGGTAAGCTTATCTTACATTATTTTGTATAGTGTCTGGAACCTAGTAGGAACTGATCAGTAAATATTTGTGGATAAACACATTCATGGAATTAATGAATTTTCCTTTTGTATGTATGTGTCTTATCTAATTTTACATTTCAGGCTCTCAAAAAGCAAGCCCCAACATGGAGCCTGTGAGGGTTCTTGGCTTTGCACAGGAAGGAATCCAAGGGCAAGCCAGAGGTAGAAGAAAACAGCTGTATTGAAGAGGCAGTGTTATAGCTCCGTGACTGCTCCTGCAGAGCAGGGCTGCCTCATAGGCAGAGAGTAGTAGCTCAGGACAGTTTTGCAGTCATATTTATACCCACTTTTAATTGCATGAAGATTAAGAGGCAGTTTATGCAGAAATTTCTAGGGAAAGGGTACTAACTTTTGAGTCATTGGGTCATTGCCATGGAAAAGGGCAGTAATTCCTAGGTGTTGCCATGCCAACAGTAAATTGACATGACACACTGGTGGGTGTGTCTGATTTAAAGCTGCTTTCACCCTGGCCCATTTTTAGCTACTCCTCAATCTGATCTGGTGTCCAAGCCCTGTCTCTGGAGTAGAGCTCCACCTCCTACCTCACTGATATTGGAGAAAACTGACCAACTATTGAGTCAATTCCATCCCACCTTTTTTTTTTTTTTTTTACAAATGGGGAAACTGAGGCCAGAAAGACAAAGTGATTTTTTTCCTACTGGTAAATGACTTGTATACGGCAGATCTAGGCCTAGAATCCTTGGCATTGGAAGTCCAGTTCAGACCCTGTTCTTACATTAGGTTTGCCTAAAACTCTGTGCTTAGTAGGTGCAGCAAATGCTGGTTAAATTGAATGAAATTACTTAAATGTGACTCACCATAAATTGTTACTGACCCTGAACACATGGGCTACTGGCAAAGCTGCTAATTAATCCGACAATAATTCTGAGGCAATCAGGCTTCATTAATGTGGGTCTGGCCTCATTTTCAGAAGCACTTTTGGATTGATCACTCTGGCCTGGCAGCTGGAGCAGATACTCCTGGCCAATGAATCACAGGGCCTCACGTACCCTCCACTCCCTGGGAATTTAGAAGGAACAGTTGGTCCTCTTTCCCAACTAGCTTTCTTACTTGCAAAGAAAGAGTCTTTGCCAAAGTTTCTGGCTCCTGCAGCAGCTTTCTCACCTGGGCTCTCCCGAGCCAGCATCTTCTGCAGTTTCAGGGACAAGGGGAAGCCCCAAGGTTTGTGTATTTCAGTTCTTCACCACCACAGCGCCTGGAGGCAAAGAGTTCTGTACAAAAGGACAAACAAATACTTATTTGGACACAAAAATTAATCACTACAGCTCAAAATAAGTGATCCTTATTTTCCCAAGACAGACATAAACTTGAAAGCACATGTCTCAAGGCAGAATGACATTGTGTACAACGTGCATGTGGCTTCTGTCTTCCCATTCTGGCTGGGCATTTAGGAGGAATGTACTCATTCCTCATAGCCATATGGTATTTGTGCACATCAAGCTAAAGAAAAAATTATCCTTTTTCCATTTCTGGTCCTCTTGCAGTCTGAACCCATTTACTGAGAGCAGCCTTATTATTATTGAGTTCTCTGTTAAATGGGGTTTGTTTTTGGGTAATATTAACCCAATGAGACAGCTTCTGTGTGGAAGTTACACACAAAAGAAGAAAGAAGGGGCACTTGTGTTATGTCCTTTGTTAACCACTGTGTAAAATCCTTAGTAAAGAAACTCCCCTTTTTTAGAGTTGATGTTTCTGAAACTCACATCTACTGGGAATGGGGCAGGGATGTTTCCCTAAAAGAGATACTGATTAGCTTAAAATTCTGTGACCATCACAAGACATGGTCTTAAGACTTGGAAGATGGAGGAAGATTCCAGATGACAGCACTTTTCAGTGTCCCATCAGGAGCTGCACACAAGTTGGTACCTAGAGACCTCAGGATTACGCTGATTCTGGGGTGATTATGCCTGTTGGTCTCTAAGTAAGTCTGCCAATTTATCTGTATTTCTTTTTTTTTTTTTTTTTTTTTGAGATGGAGTCTCACTCTCTTGCCCAGGCTGGAATGCAGTGGTGCAATCTCGGCTCACTGCAACCTCCACCTCCTTGGTTCAAGCGATTCTCCTGCCTCAGCCTCCCAAGTAACTGGGACTACAGGCACACATTACCACGCCCAGCTAATTTTTGTATTTTTAGTAGACATGGGGTTTTGCCATGTTGGCCAGGCTGGTCACAAATTCCTGACCTCAGGTGATCTGCCTGCCTCGGCCTCCCAAAGTGCTGGGATTATAGGCATGAGCCACCACACCTGGCCCATTTTTCTGTATTTCTAGAACCAGTCACTGAGGCTGGGCTGCATCGCCCTGCCTTGCTGTCCTCAGTCATGTTGGTCTCCAGGCATCTTGATTCCTTTCCTTGGCTGCCTGATATGGCTCAGAGAGGACCTATGTGCTCATGTCAGCATTCCACAAAACACCTGTGCACTTATTTTATAAATCATGAGAAACAGTGATCTAGAGTCAGGGGTACAGCCATGGATGGATAAACATGTGTTCCACCATATTTGAAGAGTTCCATCTGGATGACATACTGGCTGTTCTGGGCAGGGAGAAGGAAGAGGGTCAAAGATGGTTATAACAAAGGCTAAGGGAAGTCAGTTTTCACCATGGTTGGCTTAACAATTCCAAGGCAAGCAAAATGAATTTCAGGCCAACACTAGTAAAAATGGATAGCTATGATGTCTGTGTTAGTCTGGACTCTTTTGGCTCTCATTGACAGAAATCCATCTCTAGCTAGATTATATAGCAACAATAAGAACAACAAACAAACAAAAAACAACAAGAGGAAATTGTATTGGCTTATTTAGCTGTAACATTCAGTGGGTTACTGACATCAGGAATGGTTGGATCCAGGTACTCAAACGATGGCCTTTGGCTTTGCTTTCTTTTACATATGGTTCATTTTCAGGGATTTTCATCATCTCAGTTTGGGTTCCCTGACCACCACCATCACCACCAAAAGCAGACCCTGTGGTACAGTACTTTATTTGGGAGATATGGTGGTCGTGAAAATGAACCACTCAGATGTTCTGTGGCAGGAGGCATGATTGACTAATAGCCCTGCTCTTACTCTTCTGGGACACCACATTTACACCAAAGCCATACTTCCCTCAGGCTGTACCCAGCTAATGACAGCACAGTGAGGCCACTAAGGGAGGCTCATGCCTACAAGATGTGGTTCTCCTCTGACAGGTGTCTTTGAGAACCCCTCACTGGCCTGGCCAAACTTGTCTTCGAATTAGGCTGCAGTCTATGTCTCTTCCTGCCCAATTATCCCTCCTTCCCTCTCTCTGCTGCAGTGTGAGTCCCGTATTGGAGTCTGAGCTTCTCCCCGCCTTCTCCAGCTCCCTCTCCTTTTGCCTTCACAGGTATTTCTCCAGTAAACTTCCCACATGTCTAATCTCAACAGAAGGACCAAACTAACACAGGAGGTGATCTCAGGAAGCACAAGTGAAGAAATGGAGAGGATAAGACAGATGGGAGAAAAACCAGTAAAAAGTGTACTGAGGAGCAGGTGGCCCCATGGGCAGGTCACACTGGGATCTTGTTAGAGACTACGTTGAGAATACTCAGGATTGTCTCAGCCAAGGGCAAGGATGCTAGGGAATTTATTTATGGTTTTCCATTTCCCACTGGCTGAAGATCACCTGAGGGCATCAGCTCTCCCCTACTTGTAGGTGGCAGAGAAGGGTCCTGGGTACTAGCAAAAGCCTTCAGGCAGAGAGGAAAGATGCAAATGCTTGAGGCTGGAAACTGTCTATCAAAGCTGTAGGTAAGCTCAGGTGAGCCAAGGGGATATGGCACAGGGCACCAACAGCATATGCTATACCTGTGAAAAAAGAAAGGTAGGGACCACTGGTAGCTTACAATATCCCTAGTGTAGCAATTCCAAATAATGTATCTTTCCCAGGAATTTTAGTCTGGGCATGGTGGCTCATGCCTGTAATCCCAGCACTTTGGGAAGCTAAGGCGGGAGGATTGCTTGAGGCCAGGAGCTGGAGACAAGCCTGGCCAACATGGCGAAACCCTGTTTCTACTTAAAATACAAAAAATAGCTGGGAATGGTGGTGTGTACCTGTTATCCCAGCTACTCAGGAGGCTGAGGCATGAGAATTGCTTGAACCCAAAAGGTGGAGGTTGCGGTGAGCCTAAATCATGCCTCTGCACTTCAGCCTGGGCAACAGAGCAACACTCTGTCGCAAAAAAAAAAAAAAAAAAGAAGAATGCTTCCTTCCCAAGAATTTCAGATCGAGCATGGTGGCTCATGCCTGTAATCCCAGAGCTTTGGGAGGTCAAGGCAGGAGGATCGCTTGAGGCTAGGAGTTCTAGACCAGCCTGGGCAACATAGTGACATCCTGTCTTTACAAAAAAGTAAGAAATTAGCCAGTGTGGTGGCATGCCTCTGTAGTCCTAGCTGCTTGGATCACTTGAGCCCAGGAGATCTGGGCTGCAATGAGCTATGATGGCGCCATCAGACTCCAGCCTGGAAAGAATTTTAACTTGTCTTGGGAGTGCCTCAGATTGGCCAAATTAGTGTCACCTGACCTTCCCTAAACCAATTACTGTGGCCATGGGAATGGAATATTCTGTTACATTGCAGTATATGATCGGGCCATCTCTCTGATTATGCCTGTTGGTATCTAAGTAAGTCTGCTTTTTTTTTGAGACGGAGTCTCACTCTCTTGCCCAGGCTGGAATGCAGTGGTGTGATCTTGGCTCACTGCAACCTCCACCTCCTGGGCTCAAGCAATTCTCCTGCCTCAGGATCCCGAGTAGCTGGGACTACAGGCACATACTACCACAGTCAACTCACATCTACTGGGAATGGGGTAGGGATATTTTCCTAAAAGAGATGCTGATTAGCTTAAAATCCTGTGACCATCACAAGACATGATCTTAAGGCTTGGAAGATGGAGGAAGATTCCACATTATAGTGCTTTTCAGTGTCCAGTCAGGAGCTGCATAGAAGCCTAGAGATCTCAGGATCACGTGGGTTCTGGGGAACTAAGTTGACCCTGGAGCACACTGGAAACAATTACCAGATATCACTTACTGGTGGGGCTGCAGCCCTTTGCCACCTCCATGCTGAGCTTTCATTAGCTGAGTCTTCATTGGCTGAGTCCTCCTGGGCTGAGGGCACAGCTATCTGGAGCCTGCCAAGAGCATCTTCTCACTGCTACACTCTGCTTGTTGCTAGCCCTGGAGAAGGGCTGACAGTCTTGGGGATGCAGGTCCCCAACTGCTTTCCATGCTTTTCTTCAGCCAAGAGCACAGCCCACATTTGAGTTGGGTTTAGGACGTGGTCTCTGCCCCAGCGCCCTGGGGTGGGAAATGGGAGAAGTGTACAATTAGCAATTAACAGCTTTATCTCTACTCACATGTAAGAGACATAATTAGCTGGTTCCATCTGTTCCTGATACCTGCTGGAGTCAGCCATTCACACCTCAGCCAGATATTACAGGGAGTGGGAGGGCCTGAAAAAGAAACATTGCAAAAATAACTCACGTTTTGTTGTTTTAGACATCTTGCCCCTTTGGAGTCGGTCTCCAACTCTGCTCCCTTCAGGTGCATACAATTTGCTGTCAGTTGGCAAGGAAAGGTGTGAGCTAACGAATATGGAAGCTGAAGATCTGTGTGATTTTTCCCAGGAGCTGAGAGCTTCAGTTTAAAGAGACAAGACTTGGTGTCTCAATTGGGGTCACATCACAAATAGGAGTTGAGCCTGGAAACTGGCATGGGAAATTTTTTTTTTTTTGAGATGGAGTCTCACTCTGTTGCCCAGTCTGGAGTGCAGTGGCATGATCTCCGCTCACTGCAACCTCCGCCTGTAGGGTTCAAGGAATTCTCCTGCCTCAGTCCCCCAAATAGCTGGGACTACAGGTGCCCGCCACCACGCCTGGCTAATTTTTTGTATTTTTAATAGAGACGGGGTTTCACTGTGTTGGCGAGGATGGTCTTGATCTCCTGACCTCGTGATCTGTCTGCCTCGGCCTCCCAAAGTGCTGGGATTACAGATGTGAGCCACCGTGCCCGGCCTGGCATGGGAAATATTTTCAGAAGGAAAGTCCAATTTTAGAAGGACCAAAAAAAAAAAAAAAAAAAAAAAAAGTCAACAGCTGCAGTCTCTACACCCACTGGAGCAAGCAACTTGTCCAAAGTCACACAGCAAGGAAGAAGATGAGCTGGGATTTGCATCTAAGTATATCTAATTCTAAGCCTGTTTTCTAAATCATTATCCATCACTGCTGCTTTGTCGACATCATGGTCTCAATGGGCATTAGGAAAGGCCAGGACAACTTTTAATTTTTTTGAGGCCAAAACAGCCATGCCCCAAAAATGTGGTATTTAAAAAGAAATGTGCCCATATACATAATTAATGCATTTAATGTAAAAATGTGTGATGCAATATAGTTGGGTTATTCACAAGATAATTACAGGGCTCATAAAATATTAATTCATAGTACTCTACAAATGGCAGAGCCTGGATGAGGGACATATATTTATCAGGGTCTCTATGGAAAGAAGATGGCATACTCAGAAGAAGATTATTCAAAGAAAGTTTATTTACAAAGGGCTTATTTACAGATGTTTGGGTGTAGAAGAACCACAGAAGACAGTGTAATTATCTAGGTTAGTAGCAGACAACAGTTACCACCTCCAGGCTCTAAGGGACAAGTTAAAGTAAGAGCTTTGTATGGCAAGGGCATTGGGTGCAGCACTGATGTGTCAGGAGCTGCAGCCAACCAGGGAAACAAATAACCTTAAGGTAGGAGGCAGAACTCAACCCTGGACCAGAACTAAGACTGGCTGAAACAGGGAAGAGGCACCACCACCACCTCTCCATAAGATACGCCCACCAGTGCCATGACAGTTTATCATTGCCGTGGCAACACCTGAAAGTTATTGCCCCTTTCCATGGCACCCTGTTTCTAGAAATTTTGAAATAACCCATCTCTTAATTTGCATGTAATTAAAAATGGGTATTAATATGGCTGGAGACCTGCCCCTGAGCTGCTGCTCTCCACACACTGTCTAGGATGGGGGAGCCCTGCTCTGCAGGAGCAGTCAACGGAGCTGTAACACTGCTGCCTTCATACAACTGTCTTCTTCTACCACTGGCTGGCTCTTGAATTCTTTCCTGAGTAAAGCCAAGAATCTTCCCAGGCTAAGCTCCAGTTTTGGGGCTTGCCTGCCCTACATCAACCTGACTTCATAGTTGACCCTGTCTCTGACTTCCTACCAGAAGGAAGTCCCCACTGATAGAACCAATAAGGATACGGTGAGTGACACATCTGGGGATCAACAATTAAGGAGGCCTTCACTGTCAGGACTGGGCATGGAGCACTTGCACAGCCCTGAGAATGACAGCCTTCTTAAATGTTCCACCCTCAATGCCTCACTCTCCCTACCCTAGCCCCAGCCTTGGTCTCGGGGTCTGGTATGACATCTACACAGCTTAGCCTTTAGCAGTCCTGACTGGGTGGAGAAGGGGAGAGAGAATTTACAGGAGAATGGGAAGATATCCAGCACAAAGAAACAAGTTTAAAATTTAACATAAACATTTTCCTTTCCACCATATGCTTCTTTCCAAGACTGTTTATTAACCTTATTTGAAGAGAAAGCCCAAAGTTGAAATATGATCCCTCCTTTTCACCCTGTGATAAGCCGTGGTGGATCTCAGTTTATTGTAGTGATTGGAAATGAAGCTGTTTCCCTTTAGGGACATAGACAACCAGAGACAAAAGAAAGCTTCCCCATAGAAGGCTCCTCTTTGGCTTGTATTGCATTCCAGGCAAGCATATTCCCGTTTTCCCACTCTTTTGTGGATCTCAGAATATTCATCTTCCCTTTCAACCCAGCCCACTCACTGGATCCCACTGGCTTTAGCTCCTGCTGCTTCAGCCATTCCTGTGACCAAGACATTTCAGACAAAATGAGCTTTTCATTCAGTATCATCAGAGGCAAGGAGCTGAATTCTCCTGCCTACCTTTTTCTGCCCACTGTCTTTGGCCTTACCATAATTTGGTTCCCCTGCCAGGCCATCTGCATAATGAGTTCCTCCTATGGGTTTTGCTCTGTCAATCTGGATGCCCCACCACCCCCCATGGTGCAGTTTGGCCACCACCACCCTGACTGTCAGCTAGATCTTGGCAATCATTGGGCCTCTCTTCCATTCATGCTCTACTACTATGCTACTTTTTTTTTTTGAGGTGGAGTCTCACTCTGTTGCCAGGCTGGAGTGCAGTGGCAAGATCTCGGCTCACTGCAACCTCTGCCTCCTGGGTTCAAGCGATTCTCCTCCCTCAGCCTCCTGAGTAGCTGGGACTACACGTGTGCACCGCCATGCCCGGCTAATTTTTGTATTTTTAGTAGAGACAGAGTTTCACCATGTTGGCCAGGATGATATTGATCTCTTGACCTCGTGATCCACCTGCCTTGGTCTCCCAAAGTGCTGGGATTACAGGCGTGAGCCACCGTGCCTGGCTAGTACTCTGCTATTTTAATTATTGAGGGCCTCTAATAGATTTCAGTCATCTGGTGGAAGTAGTTGTTGATCTCCCATTACATTTCTTTTTTTTTATATTGTCCAAGATTAAAAGTTTTTATGAAATTCTGTACCAAGAAAGACATTTCATGGGGATGTGACATGGATTTGGAAGGCAATATGGCAGAGTTCTTAAATATACATGCTCTGGTGTCTGACTTAATCCAACCTTTACTACTAACTGTTCTAGGCAACTTACTTAATATCTCTTAGCATCAGTTTTATCCCCTGAAAAACAAGGATAATGAGAGTATCCTTTGTTATGAGAGCTGTAAGAATAATAATTAAATTGTCTCTACACTTTACTTTGTTATAAATTTACATTTTATAATATTTTTAGCTTTCTTATCCAGGGGTATAATTTGTAGCTACATTTAATAAGGGTTATTTACACACATAACAAGAAATATAGTTTTATAAGTAGCATTTTTTGGGGGGGTAAAATTTATTAACTTTTTTTTTTTTGCTGTGGTTCAATTATGTTGGGAATAGAATTTCTCTTTTCCTTATATATACTTTTTAAGTGGTGAGTGGGGATATGATTTATTTTTATATATTTACCCTGCATCTATCCTTTTGGTTCATTTAAAAATCAATTATAATGTTCTTTAGACTTCATAGGTATGCAAATAAATAATTTACAAATAATCATAATTTTGTCACTTCCTTTCTAATATTTAGGTCTGCAAACATGTTTCATGTCTTATTGCATTGGCCCAAACCTAAGTCTTAGATGCATGAACAACTCCAAGTCTTGTTCTGTTGTTTCTTCTTCTTCCCACCACTTCAGACTTTTGCAGAAGATCTTTGGGGACTAAGCTTAACTGAGGCACTTTTAATTTTATGGCAAAATAAGCACACTTTGTTTCCAGTTTAAAAGACTTGTGCAGAGGGTATGGAGCCAGAAAGTCCTAGACATGCCATGTGACTTTACATTCTAGTGGAGGGACCCATTCCCTTATTGCTTGCTCTTTCTGTAGGCAGACATGTGAGTGGGGGAATAAACAGAACACAAGTTGCTCCAGCTGTTGACAGGAGTTTGTCTGGCAATACCAGCCCTCAGCACTTGGAGACCCTGGGGACTCCAAGTCATAAGTCCTTTCTGCCAAGGTTGGGGAAGACGCTGTTGGTCTTGTGGCATGGCCCTTCGTTCTCACCTAGAGTAGGTAGGTGTCTGGTCTTAGTTATCTCTTTGTCCAAGGCAATCCAGCATGAACTTCTGGGGTCACTTTGAGACAGTTTGGCTGTTTTCATCACAGTCATAGATTATTTAGTGTACACCTATAAGACCCAGATTTGACAACAGGAAGTATACAGAACAGTGCTATTGAAATGCAGCAAGTTAATGAGGAACAAAAATATGATAATCAACCTGCACATTTACTTCAGACTGACCTTCACCAGATTTGAAAGTTGCATTTATCTGATAAAAAGTCTTATAAGGTATGCTGAAATATCCTTCAACGCTAATGTTAAAAATAGAAAATATAGTGACAATTATATCCAATTTGGCTTTTCATTTATTAAGAATAATGGCTATCCACACCTGCAATGTGTTATTTGTAGAAAAGTGCTTGCAAATGTCATCTGGAACGTTTTCTTGCATCTTATCATTTAGAACAATTATGTGTTACAAAAAATCAGCACAAAATTTAGAACTCCAAACATCGGTTCATAAAAGGAGCTTTTGTCTTTTTTAAATGTCTTGCAACATAGTAAAATTCCTTCCTGAAATAAACTCAAACATTTTTCTTTCATAAATAATTTAAACTAAATCTGCCAGCTTTACATCACATGTTAAATGGGGACAAGTCAAAATTTGTCTTAATATTATAAAGATTGTAACATGATCTTTACAGCATACTATTTGATAATATAGTGCTATAATAGAACCTTCTATTAAAAGTCGCTTCTTTGTCAATGCTGAAATGATCCAAAAATTCCTAAAGGCCTACAATAGTTTATTTATTTATTTATTTTTTGAGATGGAGTCTCACTCTGTTGCCCAGGCTGGAGTGCCATGGTATGATCTCAGCTCACTGCAACCTCCATCTCCTGGGTTCAAGTGATTCTCCTGCCTCAGCCTCCTGAGTAGCTGGGACTACAGGCATGTGACAGTATGCCTGGTGAATTTCTTTTTGTATTTTTAATAGAGGCGGGGGTCTCACCACATTGGCCAGGCTGGTCTCGAACTCCTGACCTCAAATGATCCACCTTCCTCAGCCTCCCAAAGTTCTGGGATTACAGGCATGAGTCACCACACCCGGGCCTACAATAGCATATTTATTTATGAGAGAGGTTCATGAGTCAAAAAGAAGTTGGAAAAATCTGAGGCTGTGGGAAAAGTTTGTCCATTTGCTAGCTGTTTGCATTTGGGCAAGTTACTCAACTTCTCTGATCCTTAATTTTCCTCACCTTTCAAAAGGGAAAGTGACACCAGCTTTGCAGTTTTGTTTTGATGATTACATAAAATATGTAAAGTGCTTTGCACAGAATAAGTTCTCATTAAATGATTGTTATTATTATTGATTCATTCATTTAACACATTTATGAAGTACCTGCAATGTATCAGGAATGAAGTTACATATCTTAGTTGAAAGAATGAACAAGATAAAATTTCAACACTCTGATGTTAAATTAAAGATGACAACAGTTTGTGAAGTTTGATAATTGAACAGGCTAGGCACAGTGGCAGATGCCTCTAATCCCAGCACTTTGGTAGGCCAAGACAGGAAAATCACTTAAAGCCAGGAGTTCCAGACCAGTCTGGGCAACATAGTGAGACCCTGTCTCTATAAAAAATTTTAAAAACTTAAAATATTAGCCAGGCATGGTGGTGTGTGCCTGTAGTCCCAGCAATCTGGGAGGCTGAAGCAGGAGAATTGCCTGAGCCCAGGAGTTTGAGGCTACAGTGAGCCATGATTGTGCCACTGTACTCTAGCTTGGGTGACAGAGTGAGATCCTTTCTCTTAAAAAATAAATAAATAAAATAAAATAGATAATTGGACATTGCTTTTTGGCTAGTTGATTAGGGAAGTGAGATTTTTCTGATATTCCTATACCACAGTAGTGGCTAACATGTACGGAATGCTTCTTATGTGCCTAGAACTGTGTTGAATGTTTTATTTAGATTGTCATTTCAAGCACACAAAAATCTGCATAAAATATCATGATGATTAGCATTATCTCTATTCTACAGATGAAGAAACTGAATCCCAAAGAGATTCAGTAATAAATAAGAAGTACAGCTGGTACTGAACCCTGGGAGTTTGTCTTCAGAGAGCACACACTGGGCAACATAGCAAGACCCTGTCTCTAAAAAAAAAAAAAAAAACTGAACAATGAGCTTGGCATTGTGATGTACACCTGTAGTCTCAGCTCCTTGGGAAGCGGAGGTGGGAGGATTGCTGGAGCCCAGGAGTTGGAGGTTGCAGTGAACAGTGATTGCTCCATTGTACTCTAGCTTGGGTGACAGAGTGAGATCTTTTCTTTAAATAAAATAAATTAAAAAAAAAAAGAAGTTGACCGGGGCAGAGAGGCAAGAACAGGATGGAAGGAGTTTGAGAAGGTGAAGGAACACTGATGATGATGTTACAGTATTTTCGGAGTAAGATACAGAGAAATTACACTAAAGGAGTCCGAGAGAGGGGCTGAGACTAAGGGGCTACAGTTTGGAGAGCAACAGCAGGGTTAGCAATATATTCAGCATAAGTAATAACAGGCAGCAGATGGAACTTTCCAGAAAACACTGACCTGGGGTATCAGAAACATGGTGTCCCTCCTATTTTGATGTTGGAAGTTGGTTCTAGGGTTGGCAGGTGTAGGTAACATTAGAAGTATTTTACCTGGGAATATGCTCTAGCATGAAAAATAATTCAGTGTATTCCTCCTAAGGTCAGGTGAATCAGATCCATCTATTCAAGATGAACTTGTTGTCTTCATTGCCCAGGGCTGTGGCATCCTGGAACCTCACTCCCGGCCAACTGAAGAATTAAGGAGTTGTGTAGTTGGTCTGGCCCAGAGTGAATATGAGATCGCAACCTGGACAAATAGGAGTGTTCCTTTTAGGAGAGCCATTCTGAAACTCAAAGGCTAAGGAGCATGGGCCTGACAAATGTGGAATCTGAGCTGGGATGAACAAAGCTGGACTTGGAGAACCACGTCACGGATAGAATTACAGGCCCTTGAGTCAGGATATGTGTGCGTCTTTTCACCCAGTGCTGATGTCCTTGTCGGAAATCTCAAGTTAATGATGTTTTTATAGACGCTGAAAGGAAAGCGTATCAGTAAGGAATCTGTCTGTTCTAAGCAGAAACACCAACTCAAAATGTTTCAGATTTAAAAAAGGTGGGGAGCAGGGTGGTGAATTTCTTGACTCACCAGCAAAGTTCTGGGTCTACTAGTGTTTAGGTGTGACTGGCTCCAGGGGTTTCTTTGGACAAAATTGTCAGATCTTTCTCATTCCTTCCCTTTCTCCTTCCTTCTTTCCTTTTCTCTATATGGTTCTGTGTTAGTCTCCTTTCAATGGGCTACAAAGAAAGGCACTTGTAGCTTCAGAATTACATAGTCCTTAGCACCAAGGACCTTGGAAAGAAGGAAAGAGTGTCTCTTTGCCAACATCTACGTGGGCTCTGATTGACCTCAAGCCCACTATTGGAGGAATTTGGGTTTTGTGGGATAGGGTTTGCTGATTGAACAGCTTGGCTCATGGCCCACCCTTCTAGTAGAGTAGGCAGGCACCCTAGTTTGACAGTCCCGGTAAATGTCAGGGAGGGGCAATCCTCAAAAGCCACACAGTAAGAGTGGTCTACGGACCGCCAGTATCAGAATCAGCTGGGAACTTGAAAATTCCTGGGCCCTAGGAGTCATTGAGAGCTGGGTGCAGAAATCTGTATTTGAACACCCTTCCAGGTGAGTTTATGTGTGCTAAAGTTTGAGAACCTTTCTTCCATTTGTTGAGTCACTTTTACATTCTCCCTATCTAGTTTCTTCCTCATCTAGTTTCATGAAATGTGGCCAGAGTTCCAGGAAGACATCTCTCCTGTATACTCGGGTGAGACTGTTGTCTCTATCAAGTCACCAAAGCCGGATAACCCAGAAGGAATTATCCACTAGAGAGAATCCTTTACTAAAAACTCTATTATTTCATCTTGGTGGCTGAGAAAGAGCAGGATGTTTTTTAGTATTTGTGCCTGGTAACAGGTACCACTTAGAAATCCATCTTATAATCATTTAGACTGGTTTGCTTTGGGTCTATTTACGTAATTCCATGAGATGCACGGAAAGAGAGGCGGCGTGTTATTTTTCTGCAGCCGAATACTGGGAAAAACCACTTTCTAAGGTAATTACCACTTCAGTGCTCCCCACACGGTTGGAAGGCGCTGTGAAGAAGTGTGCCTTCTGGGCCCGGGGCCACCAGAGTGTGGAAAGAATGTGCTTTCTGCCTCTGAAAGGGAAACAACACCCTTTGTGGGAAATCTCTTTGCTTATATGCATAATTTGCATGAAGGCTATGGCACAGTGACTTCAGGTGCATGGAGAGAACTTACTTGGAACAAACAGAACTCTTTCAAGTCCATCCAAGTGCAGCATCCTGGGGAGGAAGACTTGACCTCCCACCAGCAATCCTGGAGATGAGAGTCACTCTTGCTGAGCATCAAATCAGAGAGAGTTCTCTCTCCCAGTGGATATCAGTGGGTAATTTTAAGGTGAAAGATCTACTTCTTCAGTCCCAGATGTGCAGAAGTTTGCATGTATGTCACACTTCTCCAGGAGTGGTGAGCAGAAGCTTATTCCTGAGTGCTCTGTTTTCTGCATTCATCTAGACTTTAGATCTCTGACCCCCTTTTTCCATCATGCAGATTTCATCATTTTCCTGCCATTTTTCAGCTGCTAATGCTTCTAACTCTAATCCTACATAAAGCCCACGTTCTGGTACCCTGTTCACACCCTGCCAGCATCTCGAACACTGCATGTATATCCCTGCTATGTTCACTGTGCTCCTACCATATGCTATGTGCTAGTTGGGTACCAGTGACACAAACATAAATAAGACACTAACTTTAACCTCATGCCACTCAACAAATAGGCTTATTTTAACACATGGTCTTGGAACAAATGACTTGGAGTGGCTCTGCAGTGCCCGCATCTAAAGCAGGGGTTTAGATGGAATCTCCGCTTGGGGCTCATGGACCCTAAAGGGATCAGTGGATAGAATTCAGGTGTTCATAAGGATGGGCAAAATTCCATGTTCATTGTTACTTATCCCTTGCCCTTGTGACCTTTCTGGGTGGACTTGTTTATCTGTACGGATTGCATTCCATGTCTGTCTGTCCCTTCCTTCCTTCCCTTCCGTCCTTCCTTCCTTCCTGCCTGCCTGCCTGCCTGCCTTCCTTCCTTCCTTCCTTCCTTCCTTCCTTCCTTCCTTCCTTCCTTCCTTCCTTTCTTTCTTCCTTTCATTCTTTCTTTCTTTCTTTCTTTCTTTTTTGACAGAGTCTCTGTCGCTGGGGCTGGAGTGCAGTGGTACGATCTCTGCTCACTGCGACCTCCACCTCCCAGGTTTCAGTGATTCTCCTGCCTCAGCCTCCGCTGGGATTACAGGCACCTGCCCCAAGGCCAGCTAACTTTTGTATTTTTAGTAGAGATGGGGTTTCACCATGCTGGCCAGGCAGGTCTCAATCTCCTGACCTCAAGTGATCTGCCTGCCTTGGCCTCCAAAAGTGTTGGGATACAGGAGTGAGCTACTGTGCCCAGCTTTGCATTCCATTTCAAAACAGCGATTCACAGCTGTCTCCATAGATTAGGTAGATTAGGGCAGCCTCCCTGGGCTTGCTTATATGAGCTGTGGGGCTAGTTGCCAGGATCTCAGGCTTTTATCAAAATGCTACCCTACCTCGCCCACAATTCCTTCTCTCACCACAACTAATTACCATCCTAGCCCCTTGTTATCTTGTTCCTCCTATCTTCTGATCCAATCAATATTTTCACTTATGTCTTGTCGGCTTATTTTTGTTCATACTTTGAGGTCAGCTTTGCCCATGAAATGTTGAATAAAATCTTATCTCATTGGCTCAGTGTCCACTCATTCTTGCCCCCCGAGCTGTCTACTGAAGGAGCCTAGTGAATATCACCCCCAAATATGGCACCTTGGTTCGCTGATTGTAAAGACACTTGGGGTTCAGCAAAAGGGTGGATGAGGTTGTTCTCTAAAGTTCTCTCATCTACCTAGAGACCAGGTCTTCCATAGAAGAAGACAATTGCTTTTGATGTCTTTCCTGCAATTTTATTAACCAGGGAAGGTTAAACTCATATCACAGGAAGAAAGACTGAGGAATGTCATCACACCTAGGCAGGCTTTGTCGTAAGCTATTGTCTGTTTTTACCATTAACTTTCCAATGAAAATTTATAAACTATTGTCTGTTCTTGGGGCCCATTTTACTCTTTAAAAATAATTTACTACCCATCTAAAATTGCCTACATCCCCTACTTTCCTCTCCCCTATGAAGAAGGGTATACAACCTTCTAACCTCATTGGATTATTGGGTACTTACTTCCTGTGATGCTCCTGTGCACATTAATAAATCTGTATGATTTTTCTCCTGTGGATGTCTTTTGCCACTTTATTTCAACAGACTTAAAGACTCCAACCTTCAAGGTGGGAGGGAAAAACTCCCTTTGCCCTCATGCTCTGTAATGCTCAGGACCATGTCTGCCACAATTTTGGGCCTTAGCTGACTCCACTGCACTTGCCCCCCTACCCCCAGCTCGCATGCCTGACTTACAGAATCTGTCTTTTCACCTTTGAGTCTGTCCTGCCTAAACCAACTTTTCCTTTGGGTCCATGTAGAGACACACTTGATTCAAATCCCGACGATGCCACTTTCTAGCTGTGTAGCATTGTGTAACTTCTCAAAGCTTTATTTTCATAATCTGTAAAATGAGGGTAGTAACAGTAACTACCTTATAGGTTATGTGGATTAAATGAGATAGTGCCCCGTCAATCTTCACTATATATTAGTTATAATCATTTTTTTTTTCTTTGAGACAGGGTCTCATTCTGTCACCCAGGCTGGAGTGCAGGTGTGTGATCATAGCTCACTGCAGCCCCGACCTCCCAGGCTCAAGTGATCCTCCGCCTCAGCCCCACCTGAATAGCTGGGACTACAGGCACGTGCCACTACACCCAGCTAATTTTTTGTATTTTTAGTAGAGACGGGGTTTTGCCATATTGCCCAGGCTAGTTTTGAACTCCTGAGCTCAAGTGACCCTCCTGCCTTGGCCTCCCAAGGTTCTGGGATTACAGGCGTGAGCCACCCTGCCCAGCTACTATGTGTTAGTTATAACCATTATTGGTGTTTTTAGTTATAATAATTATTAGTTAGATGTACCATATGTGTTAGGTGTAATAATTATAATTCGTGACCTGAGAAGACTGGATAAAACACATTAGTATATTAGTACCTATAGCTTTGAATAAATAGTTCTGAGTAATACATGAGGTATGTGATTAACAAAGACAAGTTTTAGGGAATACTACATTGTTGCAAATGAGAGCACCTTGTGGTACAAGGAGGCTGGAGTGATAGCTTGTGGTCTTTTGGGGTCGTAGCAGGCTCAGGCTGCAATGGGTTCTATCTGCAGAATTAATACCCACTTTGGAAGGGACTTTTTGTGTTGTCTTTAGCTGAGTTCAAGTGTCCAGGCTTTTGAGCTTCCTGCCAAAAACTCATGAACTTTTAAAGTCCCTTGTTTATTGCTTCAGTGCTCTGTGATATCAGAGGCTAACCCACGATTGATAGCAAAAGATATGTAAAATTGATACATCACCACTACCTCCATCATCATCCCCAATCAACATAATCTACTTCTCTTACTATTTCTGCTTCATCACCTTCACTGCTGTTGTCATAATCATCACCATCCTCTTCCTCCTCATCACTGCCTCCTCTTTTTCTTCCTCCTCTTCCTTTACCTCTTCTTTTTCTTTTCACCCTTTCCCTCCTCCTTTCCACATGGTCCACTTTTATCATGGGATGCTTTTCTGTACCCTGTCCCCTGATATGAGGAATAAGGATGCATGCTTATGAGCACTCCATGAATGACGTTGTATCTTTATGGAACATGGAACTCAGAGACACTTTATAAAATTAACTCTTTGGCCAGGCGTGGTGGCTCACAAATGTAATCCCAGCACTTTGGGAGGCCGAGGTGCATGTATCACCTGAGGTCAGGAGTTCGAGACCAGCCTGGCAACATGGTGAAACCCAGTCTCCACTAAAAATACAAAAATTAGACGGGCACGGTGGTGCATGCCTGTAATCCCAGCTACTTGAGAGGCTGAGGCAGGAGAACCACTTGAACCCAGGAGGCTGAGGTTGCAGTGAGCTGAGATCACACCACTGCACTCCAGCCTGGGCAACAGAGCTGAGACTCTGTCTCAAAACAAACAAACACTCTTCACCTTCACCATCTTTCTAAAGGGAAAGATTTGCATCTGAGCTCTCGTATGTTTGTTTTCACCAAAAAGTAATTGGAGGTGACAGCTGCTTATGCTTTCATTTATCTTTTGACCCGAAGCCAGAAAGGTTTTTCTTAGCAGTGGTAGGTGCAATTTGCTGCTACCTTTGGCTATATATTTTTTCAGTTGTTAATGATAAAACTACACAAGAAATTCATGAACACATTCTTTTGGTAAAAGACTTAAGTGAGACCGATGTACATATAATGTGAGTCTTCATTCAAATCCCTTCATCTCTGAGTGCATCCCATCCCCAGAGGTAACCATTGTTAACAGGTTGACATGGATGCTTCCAGTCTCATTTCTTTTAACATGCATGCATATATCTCTATATATTTTTCTATAATCAACATATTATTTTTAATATGTTTATTGAGGAATAATTGACCTATAATAAATAAACTACATAAAATGTATGATTTGATGTTTTAATTTGCATTTCCCTGGTGATCAGTGATGTTGAGCGTTTCTTCATGTTTCTTGGTCATTTGCATATCTTCTTCTGAGGAATATCTGTTCATACCATTTACTCACTTTTTAATGGGATTATTTGCTTTTTTTTCTTGCTGATTTGCTCGAGTTCCTTGTAGATTCTGGATATTAGTCCTTTGTCAGATATATAGTTTGAGAATATTTTCTCTCATTCTGCAGATTGTCTACTTACGCTGTTGATTGTTTCTTTTGCTGTGCACAAGCTTTTTAGTTTAATTAAATCCCACTTATTTATTTATTTTTTGCATTTGCTTTTAGGGTCTTTGTCATAAATTCTTTGCCCTGGGTCAATGTTCAGAAGAGTTTTTTCCTGCATTTTCTTCTAAGATTTTCATGGTTTTAGGGCTTCCATTTAAGTCTTGAACCTATCTTGAGTTAATTTTTGTATATGGTAAGAGATGAGGATCCAGTTTCAGTCTTCTGCACGTGGCTATCCAGTTTTCCTAGCACCATTCATTGAATAGGGTATCCTTTCCCCAGCGTATGTTTTTGTCTGCTTTGTTGAAGATAACTTGGTTGTAGCTACTTGGCTTTATTTCTGGGGTTCAAGGCATGAAACAAAATTCATTTTATTTTATTAATATTAGCTTTTGCATATGAATATCCAGTTCAGCAGCATTCATTGAAAAGACTGTCCTTTTTCCCCCCAGTTGCTCTTGTAACCTCGTTGAAAATCAGTTGCTAAAATGTGCAGATCTATCTCTGGACTCACCATTCTGTTCCATTGGTTTATTATGCCAATACCATACTATCTTAATTATTATGGCTTTATAAGAAGTCTTGAAATTAGATAGTCCTTTAGTGACTTTTTTCCATGTTATTCTGGTTATTTGAAGTCCTTTCCATTTCCATATGAATTACAGAATCAGTTTGTCAATTTCTACATAAAAATCCTGCTGGGATTTTGAATGGGATTGCGTTAAATCTACAGATAAATTTGGGGTGAATTTACATCTTAAAGATACTGAATTTTTCAACCCACAAACACTATATGTCTCGCCATTTCTTTTCTTTAATTTCTCTTAACAAAGTTTTGTAGTTTTCTGTGTACAGATCTTCCACATATTTTTCAGACTTAAGAATTTCATTTCTTTATGGTATTATAAATGCTATAAAAGTCCAATTGTTCATTGCTGGTATATCAAAATACACATGATTTTTGTTGTTGGTCTTACACACAGCAACTTTGCCAAGCACACTTATTAGTTCTAGTTCGCTTTTCTGTAGATTCTGTCAGATTTTCTTTTTCTTTTTCTTTCTTTTCTTTTTTTTTGAGACGGATTCTCACTTGTCGTCCAGGCTGGAGTGCAGTGGCGTGATCTTGGCTTACTGCAAGCTCCACCTCCCGGGTTCACACCATTCTCCTGCCAATGCCTCCCGAGTAGCTGGGGCTACAGGTGCCAGCCACCACGCCCGGCTAATTTTTAAATAGAGACCGGGTTTCACCGTGTTAGCCAGGTTAGTCTCAATCTCCTAACCTCGTGGTCCGCATGCCTCGGCCTCCCAAAGTGCTGGGATTACAGCCGTGAGCCACTGTGCCCGGCCGATTCTGTCAGATTTTCTACATAGACAATCATGTCATTTGTGAAGAAAGGCAGTTTAAATTTTTTGTTTCCAATCTCAATGCCCTTTGTTGTTTTTCTTTGCCTTACAGTACTGTCTAGAACTTCCATTTTAATACTGAATGGAAGTGGTGACAGTGAATATTTTTGCTTTGCCATGATCTTAGAGGTAAAACATTCCATCTTTAACCATTATGTATCATGTTAGCTGTAGATTTTTGTAATGCTTTTAATCAGGCTAAGGAAGCTCCATTCTATTCCTAGTTTGCTAAATTTTGTTTTCTTAAATCAGGAATGGATGTTGGATTTTGTAAGTGCCTTTTCACTGTCTACTGAGATCATAATTTTTCTTTCCTTTTTAGTTTAGTTTTTTTCTTTCATTTTTCTTTCTTTTTTTTTAACATAGATTGATTTTTGAATGTTGAATCAATCTTGCACTCCTGGGAAAACCTCATTTGGTCATGATGTACTATCTTAATTATATATTTTTGAATTAAATGTACTGAAATTTTCTTAAGAATTTTTGCATCTATGTTCATGAGAGGTATTGGTCTATTGATTTTTCTTATGCGTTTGCCTGGTTTTGCTGTTAAGATGACGTTGGCCTCATGGAGTCAATTGTGAAGTATGTTCTCCTCTTTAATATTCTAGAAGAGTTTGTGTAGGCTTACTATTATTTTTCTTAAATTTTTGATAGTATTCACTATTAAAGACATTTAGGCCTAGCATTTGTTTTTGTGTTTTTTTTTTTTGTTGTTTTGGTGGCAAAGTTTCTAACTATAATTACACTTTCGTTCATAGATTTAGGGCTATTAAAATTGTCTATTTATTCTTAAGTAAGCTTTAGTAGTTTGTTTTATCAAGAAATTTGTCTATTTCATCTAAATTGTCAGATCAATTGGCATAAATTTATTCATACTGTTTCCATAATTATTTTTTAAATATCTGTAGTCTCGTTAGTAATTTTACCTCTTTCGTTCCTGATATTTATTTGCATCTTTTCTCTTTTGTCTAACTAGAGGTTTATCAATTTTATCAATCTTTTCAAAAGAACAAGGTTTTGGTTCCATTGAATTTTTTTCTATTTTTCAGTTTTCTATTTCATTAATTTTCATTTTGATTTTTATGAGTTTCTTTCTTATGCTACTTACTTTGAATGTAATTTGCTTTTTTTGTTAGCTTTTTGTTTTTTTTAATCTTACTCTGTCACCCAGGCTGGAGTGCAGTGGTGCAGTCTCAGCTCACTGCAACCTCTGCCTCCTGGGTTCAAGTGATTCTCCTGCTTCAGCCTCCTGAGTAGCTGGGATTATAGGTGGGTGCCACCATGCCCAGCTAATTTTTGTATTTTTAGTTGAGACAGGGTTTCACCATATTGGTCAGGCGGTTTTGAACTCCTGACCTTGTGATCCACCCACCTCAGCTCCCAAAATACTGGGATTGCAGGTGTGAGCCACAGTGCCCAGTCTTTTGTTAGTTTTTTAAGGTGGAAGCTAACTATGCCAGACAGTTCTAAATACTTTATACTCATAATCTCACTTAATGTCTACAATAATACTTTAGAGGTAAGCATTGCATTATTACTCCCATTTCATAAATGATGAAAATTGAGGTTAAAAAAGTTGGTACAATTCAATTGTGGGGTTGGCACCTAGACTTGTCTGATTTGGAATACTATTCTAACTGCTTCAGTATTTTTTCTCTCTACTTACAAGCAGCCGTATGCCTGGGCATTTTCCAAACCTATGTAATAAAGATTTCAACCTCTCTCTCTGTGAAAAAACAAACAAACAAACAAAAAAAAAACTGTTATTCTTAGAGGACATAAATTCAATATTCACCTGCCTGAAGGAAGATGCATACTTAAAGTTTTTATGTTAGGTTCCTTCTGTATTTTTGAGGATTCTAGCACACTTGAAAGGTTTGAAATTTAATATCTCATTGTAAAGTATGTATATTTTCTATCTTGCCTCCTTTAAAGCTTGTGTGTGTGTGTGTGTGTGTGTGTGTGTGTGTATACGTCTTGGGCCTTCCACTGATTTGCTATCTCTTGATGGAAACTAACTCACTAGAGTTCATAATCTTTAGTTGAACTAAGCCATCAGCCTAATTTTTGAGATTACAATAGTGTGATCCCTTAGCTTTTTCCCCCTGAATTCTCCTAATCTTTCTCCCTCTTTATACATCCCAGTTGCATGGAAATCTGCTGTTAGGGAGGTATTTGATACCAATAACTTAATTCATGGGGTATGTTTTCCTACGTGCATTGCCTGGTAGAGGGGATTAGAATAAGGCATGTCAATCTATTAAAGAGATCTCAGATCGACCAAAGTGGAAGGGAATTTTCTAAAATTATCTGTGATCAGGGTATAAAGTTAGAGGGGTAAAGCCCACCCCACCCAATATGTCCCTTCTTTGAGAACTTCTGCCTCCATCCCACAGGGATGGGATCAGAAAGCCATGTTGGAACCATGCAATTTTGCTTCTGTGCCATGACTTATTGAACCAGGGCTGAACACTTGACCCTAAATAGCGCAGTGATATTAAATGGACCAGTGATATTCTTTCTCCTAGGAACTTGGAACTGGATTTAGAGTTATGATTTATTTCCTGCTGGTTATTTTGAAACAAGAATATGCAAATTTGGGAGATATGGGGCAGCCATATTTGACTGTTTGCTCTCCAAGTTAGCAAAAGCCAATCTGGGAGACGAAATAAAGTGGACACATGGAAGAGACAAAAGGCCATCTGGCCCCAAAAAGGGAGTGACAAAGGGAGAGAAGGAGGGAGGCTGGGAAAGAGAAAAAAGGAAGGGACCGAGGGGAAGGAGTAGGGAGACAGGAAGAGAGAGAGGCATCCTGCAGGATTTCTGACCACTTTCCCACTCCTAGTTTCAGTCTCTTATTGGGAGGCGTGGCTGCACTCTCTCACCTTCAATTTCCAGCCTTTCCCCGGTAGCATTTTCATTTCTCTCTTTTGTTTTGAGACAACAAAAGAACCTTGATGGAGACATATTTGCTATTTAGCTCCTCTCCAATTGTGGAATGGCCAATACCCAGACATCAGTGAGCATGCCGGAGTCATTGTTGGATATGTGTGGATGGGGACTCCACACAGAAGCTTATATCAGAACTGCTGCAGTCAGTGTGTGACAACGTAGATCCCTTTGTAAAAGGGGTGTGTTGGGGAGTTTCTGATCCTCCGCAGACAGATGTGGTATCTATAGACACGTCAGCATTTCAGAGAGATGGCCCAGTTGGGGGTGGGGGTGGGACAGGCCCTAGATGTATCCACTTGGTGGGAGGGAGGGGGGTATCCGGAATGGGAAAATCTCAGTGTCAAGGAGGTTCAGTGATCTTGCAACACAATCGACAAAAATGAGGACTACAAAGGTCTGAGATAAAAGGGGACAGGATGTTCTAACAGGTGGGGCTGAAACGATGCTTAAAAGCCTACACATTAGTAAGCACAAAGACTCAACAGCACTGACCTGAATCATTGTTTCCAGAGGGGTGCATTATGACGTTTCATAGAAAGTATCTTATGTTGTCCAAAGGGAAGACCAATTTTTTAGCCCAGATCCTAAGTGAGAGGTTGCTTCTTTCTCCAAAGGGTGTTTTATCTGAACCCTGTCTACAGTAATGATCATGTAATATTGTTTATAGCAGAAAGAATTCATCTGGTAAAGCAATGAAGTTAAAAAGTTTTTATAACAGTTCCATGAGAACATTCAGTAGCACATAAATAATAAATTGTAGCTACTACTACTGTGATTTCTCTTTCTCCTCCTTCTCCTACCCCTTCTCCTTCTCCTTTCCCTTCTCCTTCTCTTTCTCCTTCTCTATCTCTTTCTCCATCTTCTTCTATTGCTAATGCTATTAAATATGGCGCCCAGAACACAGGAGATATTTGATGCCTATTATTTTTCTTAGACAACGACAAAAGGAAACCACTGACTTTTTCTTTTCGTATTCCCCTTGTTCCAATCATTTGCAACTGACCACACAGAGATGTTGCTTTTTGTTCCTTGACCACTAGAAATGGCATCTTTGTGGTATGCCCTGTAAAATGCCCCCTTTTGTGGTGTGTCTCCTAGCGGGATACCTGGAGAGAATCATTGTCATAGAATCATAGAATCTTAGTTGAAAGGGACTTTAGAGGTTAGTTCCTTTCTAAAAGCTAGCATCTCATCTAAGCCTCTTGGAGAGGTATTCTCGTTTATTACCAGTTACTCCAAAGAATAGAGAACTTCCTCCAGGGCTGACTATTTTATTGTTGAATGGCTTTGATTAGTTCCACTGACTTGAAACATGCTTCACTGGGAGCCTCTGGAACCACATAGACTCAATCTCATCTCTTCCTCACAATAGAAGCCAGCTCAGGTGTGTTCTACGAGTCTACTCTCTGCAGCGTACCTGCTCTCTGCTCTTCAGTCATCTACATCTTACATGATTTTTGGACTCTGACATTCTGCTTCTTCTTCCCTGGGCTTGTTCCAGTGTACCTGTGTCCCTTTGAAAAGATATGTCATTTAAAATTGGACAACTGCTTTCTGAGCTGCTCAGATAGTACAGATCAAGTGTGATTCTATTCGTCCCTTATCTGGACACTGCTCTGTTTATATTAATGCAACCTAACTAAGTTTGAATTAACTTATTTGTTTCTTTGAAGTCATGTAACATGCTGGCTCAATGAAAACCTTGAAGCACTTTTCATATAAAACATTATATTTTCTCTCATTCCTGTATAGCAGATCTTTTGAACTTATGGTTATTAATCCACTGATTTCTATTATAAATGATTTCCTTCGTGTGTCATCAAAATGTGTTATTAAAAACTTTGCATTAGTAGATCCAATGGTTCCCTGTTGCTTATAAGATAATATTAATACTATAATGCTCATGAATTATGTAAAAATTCTCTTATGAATTGAATTCTGGCATCATGACATAAAGTTTCCCCTCATCCTACGCTTCAACCATTCTAAACTATAAGTAGGTCACAAAGCATATTCTACGTCATGTCTTTATATCAGAACATGTGCCATCCCTTCTGCTAGGAATGTCTGCACTCCCATTGTGCACCCAGTGAACTCCTACCCATCCTTAAAAATCCAGTTCAAATGTCACCTCCTCCATAAAGCCTTCCACGATTTCACCTTCTGCACTGCTCAATAAGGCATAGAGTACGGTGGCCTTCCTTTTGCCAAATACTTGGGATCACAGTTGGATTCCCATGCTGAGGAAAGCTACTTTCCTAGATTTGTATATTCCCAGAAATGATTTTCTCAACTATTACTGATAGATGGACTTATGCTGTGCCAGTAATAGTACTAAGGACTTTACATGTACTATTGCTCTTTGACATTACAATGAAGCCCATCCCCTGTAGTGGATGCCATTGTGCTGTGCCATGTTGCTGCATGCACAGGGCTTTTTACTGAAAGCGGCCAGCTACTCTATTTGGAGGTATTCTCTGGCATCAGAAGGACACTCAGCCAGTGTTGTGGCCAACCTGAAGTGCCATAAAGTGAACACCCCTGGACCAGTAATGAATGGCAGTTGGTGGAGAAATGCCTAAGCTCCTTGCTTCTTGGGTGGGACAGCTCTGGTGAATGTTCTACTCCATCTCCCAGAGGTCCCCAGAGGGAATGAACACCAGTTGCCCACGACAGTAATCTGCTCCCGAATGCATCTCATATTTGCTTCTCCCATCCCTTTCTTGCTGCCTCACTGTCTTACTATCACTTGCTACTATCACCTCCCCAATAAACACTTGCACTCGAATCCTACTCTCAGCATCTATTTTGGAGGGAACTCAAAGCCAAGCAACTCTTTGGCATAAGGAAACGAAGGCTCACACAGGTTAAATGACTTATTCAAGTCTATTATTCCAGTAAGTGGCAGAGCCAGGATGAAAGCTCAGCCATGTTGAAAGTTCATTCTTATCCCTCCTGAGACCTGGGAGGAGAGGGATCTGGGTAAGTTGGTTCTCAGAAATACCTTGGAAGGAAGGTATTCATGGGCTTCAATCCTGACCAGATCACCCCTTTCTGCCTTTATCCACTACTTGAACACGAGCCAGTGCACAAGCCTCCGAAGGGCAGTAAACAGACACTGAATAATTGAATTCTGAACAAGCCACACTAATGCAAATATCTTACAAATTGATTTAATTGCATTCACATACAATAAAGCTGAGCGCTAAAAGGTCAGCTAGAAA
This sequence comes from Homo sapiens, assembly GCF_000001405.40. Taxonomy (NCBI): domain Eukaryota; kingdom Metazoa; phylum Chordata; class Mammalia; order Primates; family Hominidae; genus Homo; species Homo sapiens. The sequence goes on from NC_000016.10 coordinate 25,445,282, forward strand.
ATGGGAAAGGACCCCTGGGAGCTTTCAGGGGGAGGCTGAGTTTAATACACATTCATCACCTTTTATCATCTAATTAGTCCACACAATGCCAAACTGATAGACGGAGACTTAAGCCAGTGTATCGATTGATTATTTGCTTGGCATCTATCATATCACCTTAAGGCTGTCCCTGTCATGGGCAAACAGAAGTATTTAGTGGCTCAGCAAAAACGGTTGTGCATTTGGAGAAATTGTTTTCCTATAAGGGATTTGAGGCTCCAAAAACACTTTACCTAGATACTGAGGCTATCTCTGAGTGTTACTATTGAATAGTTTGCTACAAAGGCAGTCACCAGAAACCAAATTTCCCTTGCTTCCTCTTGCCTGCAGAATGAATATTTATAAATCATGTAGTCTAGCAAACCCTTTTAAGCTGTAAAATATTTAATTCAGGCAATTAACTAGTGTCATCCTTGCATGGAAATACCTGGGCAGGGAACATGCTCTGGAGGAGTTAATAGAAAGCGAACTGGACTCTGCAGTTTTATTCCATTGGAAATGAAAGTATGCATTTCAATCTAACAATTTGCATGGTAACTTTGGGCTCAGGTGAAATATTGACTCTATTTTGCGCTAAGGATGTGGAAACTGACTTTGACCTAGGATTTTTGTTGGTTTGTTTGTTTTCAGAGATATGGGTCTTGCTATTTTGACCAGGCTGGTCTAGAACTCCTGAACTCTAGCAATCCTTCCATCTCGGCCTCCTAAAGTTCTAGGATTACAGGCATGAGTCATGGCACCGGCCTTGACCCAGGATTTGAATGACGGGGTTGTGCTCAAGCTGGGGTCAAAATGATGTACTGGCCAGGTATGGTAGCTCACATCTGTAATATCAGCATTTTGGGAGGCGGAGGCAGGCATATCCCTTGAGCTCAGGAGTTCGAGACCAGCCTGGGCAACATAATGAGACCCCCCCGCCGCCTCTTCAAGAAACACAAAAATTAGCCAGGTGTGGTGGCATGCACCTGTAGTCCCAGCTACTTGGAAGGTTGAGGTGGGAAGATCATTTGAGCCCAGGAGGCAGAGGTTGCAGTGAGCTGAGATTGCACCACTGCATTCACCATTGGCCAACAGAGTGAGACCCTGTCTCAAAAAAAAGTACTAATTTTCTTATTTTATTCTTTAGAGAATTGTTTTTTTGTTATCTCTCTGAGCCTTAGTTTCCTCATGAATAAAGTTGAGATAATTTAGTGAGGTGAATTTGAAATGAGCTTAGGTATGCAAAAGCCCATCTGAACTAAATTTCTGTAGAAATATGATTTATTATTGCTATTGGGGCATCCTAAAGCTATGATATATGGCATATCATTATACGAGAGGTTTTCCTTGAGCTGATTCTACATTCTATTTCTATATTTACCTCCGTGTTTATAGTCAAACTTCTTTAAGAGTTTCCTGTATTCTTTAACTATACTTTGAAATGTTCTGTTCACACCTCAATCCCCTGATATCAGGTTTCCCTTTTCACTGTTATTGATACTACTCTCATAACAGTTACCAATGATGTTCATGCCATTAAATCCAATGTCAATCTTTAAGACCTTATCTTGCACCAATTCCTGGAATCACTGGGCACCACTGACCATCTCCCGTTTGGAAACACTCTTTGCCCTCGCACTATTGCATTATTTTCCTCTTACATTTTCAGTATCTACCTCTCATTGCCTTTTATAGGAGAATCTTTGGCTTTCCATTCCTAAGTGCAGAATTCTCAAGATTCAGTTTTAGCCCACTTCTCTTTCCTGCTTGTCTCCATCCAATTTTGTCACATAAATTGAGCTAGAAACTTGTCATCAAGTGTCATCAGTGGACGGATGACTCCAAAGACTTAGGTCTTCTTTCTCCCCTTTTCTTATCTTTCAGCCCTTGACCTTTCCTAGACCTCATCATCTCTCTTTTGCATAAATATATTAGTTTTCTTAATGGTCTTCCTGTCTGTTTCCAGGCTTGAGCAACCTCCAGTCTCATACATCCTTTCCCCAAACTGGTCTTCTATGATGTTTCTTGCTGAAGCCAATATGATCTTTCTAAAATACAAATGTAGATTCTCCAAAATCTTTTATGAACTAAAATTGTTTTTACCCACTCTCTTTCTTGAAATTGACTGAAAGCAAAAATAAAAAAGCAATAAACACAACTCTGTATTCAATAAAGCTATAAAAGATTTGCACCTCTAACGTATAACCCATGAAGAATATCTGCTAAAGATAGTTACACATGACCAAATAAAGACATTCCTTCTAGAGAAGATGTGTCTCTACACATCTCAGTCAGCATGCAGGGTTTTCCAAATGTAAGCACCACGTGATGTGTCTGTAAAGACTGGGAACATGAGTGGGCTGCAGAACCATCCATGAGTTCATTCAAATGCCACTCATTGGTGGGGGGTGATTTAGAAACTGTGCAGGCATATAATATTACCAAGAAGCAAGATATTGGTACAGAAGAGAGGAGAGAGGAGAGATGGACAGGGGCAGAAGAAAAATAAACACTGGACCTTAAGATAAAAGTATGGAAGAAAGAGTACTTCATTGCAAAATAGATAGGATGACCTCCCTCAACAGACATATGCAAAGCCACCACCTAAAGAAGGATAAAAATGCTAACAGCAGGGAGAGGAGACTAAATAGCACAGTGGAGAGGAAAGTGTTCTGAGACAGAATCCCCAATTCTGAGTGGTCAGCTCTCCCTGCTCACTTGCCCAGCTTGTCATACACAGTATCTTTTAGCTTACAGCTTCTCTGAAGAAATGACTCCTATTCCAAGATAAATAAAATTTAGAAAATAAACTAAAAGGCAAATGTAGACTATAGCCTAGAAAGTTCATGTAGCATTTCTGGGAAAAATGATACAAACACTTCTCTACAAAATCAAAGAAATGAAAGAGAAAATCAAGTAAGATAAAATGGCTCAAAGAAGACATTAAGAGTAGAAAAATGACTTAGTAGAACTTAAGAAATGTGGAGGAAAAAATAAAACAACATAAAATATATGAAAGTCATGATGGAAGTATTGACAAGAGTTAGCATTGCTGAAAATATAATTAAGAATATAGAATATAGGGTTTGGAAAGTAAAAAAAATAAATAGAAAGAACAAAGAGTTAGAAAGGATTGGAGGGCAAAGGAGTGGCAATACATGTATAATTGGCAGCCCTGGAAAATCTAACAGAACAAATGGAATGAAAAAAAAATCATAGAAAAGAACTTTCCTGAATAAAAGGGACTCTTTATTTGCAAACTGGAAGGAAACAACATGAACTAGGAAACATTGATACCAAATAATTAACACACATTCTAGTGAAATTACTCAACATCAAGGGTGAAGGAAAAAATTCAAAGGACCTGTAAATATAAGAAAAAACCCTAGTAACTGAGAAAGGGTTCAACTATTGCTATCAGCCTTCTAGCACATGATTTGACAGGCATATTTTGAAAGCATCCAAATGGAAAGATATGGAATCCAAAAACAATAGATTCACCATGTTTGGTGACAAAACCATTCTATTCACCATACAAAGCTCAGAAAAAGGGAAGATATGTAAGAAATATGAATATACATATGAATATGTGATGTAAAATAAACAAGAAGTAAAAGAGAGTATTATAAACCTACTGAAAGAAACAAGTCAGTTTTAGAAAGTTTCTATTTTGTTCATCCAAAATGTAAAAGTGCTTGCATTTTATGAAACATGAAATTCAAAATAGCATAATAAGAATTTAGTGAAGAAGAATCTGGCTGTGAGAAAGTTAGAAATAAAAGATTCAGCATAAAAGTGAGATACTACAAGATAGGGTAAATGTATTTTATTTTAGTTTTTTTTTTGTATTATACTTTAAGTTTTAGGGTACATGTGCACAACGTGCAGCTTAGTTACATATGTATACATGTGCCATGTTGGTGTGCTGCACCCATCAACTCATCCTTTAACATTAGGTATATCTCCTAATGCTATCCCTCCCCGCTCCCTCCACCCCACAACAGGCCCCGGTGTTTTTAGACTTAAAACCTTTTATTTTATTTTTTCTTTTTTGAGACAGGTTCTCACGTTGTCACCCAGACTGGAGTGCAGTGGCACAATCTCAACTCACTGCAACCTCCACCTCCTAGGCTCAAGTGATTCTCATTCCTCAGTCTACTGAGCAGCTGACATTATAGGCGTGCACCACCATGCCCGGCTAATTTTTGTATTTTTAGTAGAGACAGGATCTCACCATGTTGACCAGGCTGGTCTCAAACTCCAGAACTCAAGTGATTTGCCTGCCTCAGCCTCCCAAAGTGCTGGGATTATAGGCATGAGCCACTGTGCCCAGCCAAAAACTTTTATTTTAACAAACACACTACAATAGCACCATAACTATACAGCCAAATTTTACACATACAGTTAATTATCTCATTCTCATTAAATCAGATATGGCTGGATTCAGGAAAAGAAAACAAGCCAAAGCAGTTGAAGAGAGTAGTATTAAGAGAATGTTCAGGCTTAGGAGTTGAGCCAACTCAAAAATTTTTTTCTCATGCATTTTGAAGCATAATTGACAAATAGAAATTATATATATTTAAGGTGTGCAACATGACGTTTTGATGTACATATTCATTGTGAAATGATGAACACACTCAATCTAGTTAACATATTCATCACCTCACATAGTTGTCTTTTTTCCCCCTGTGTTGAGAACACTTAAGATCTACTTTGTCAGCATAATTTAAGTGTGCAATACAGTATTATTAACTATGGTAACCATACTGTACATTCGATTCTCAGGACTTTTCTGCATAATTGAAACTTTGTACTCTTTGACAAGCACTTCCCCATTTCCCCAACTCCTTAGCCCCTGGCAACCACCATTCTAATCTCTGCTTTTATGAGTTTGACTTTTTTAGATTCCACCTATAACTGAGATCACGCAGTATTTGTCTTTCTGTGAATAATATTCCACTACATATATTACATATATATACTTACTGCATTTTCTTATTCGATAATGGGCATGGAGGTTTTTTCTATATCTTGGCTATTGTGAATAATGTAGCAATGAAGATGGGAATGTAAATATCTCATTGAGATACTGACTTCATTTTTTTTTTTTTTTTATTATACTTTAAGTTCTGGGATACATGTGCCGAATGTGCAGGTTTGTTACATAGGTATACGCGTGCCATGGTGGTTTGCTGCACCCATCAACCTGTCATCTACATTAGGTATTTCTTCTAATTTTATCCCTCCCCTAGCCCTCCACCCCCTGACAGGCCCCAGTATGTGATGTTCCCCTCCCTGTGTCCATGTGTTTTCATCGTTCAACTCCCGCTTGTGAGTGAGAACTTGTGGTGTATGGTTTTCTGTTCCTGTGTTAGTTTGCTGAGAATGATGGTTTCCAGATTCATCCATGTCCCTGCAAAGGACATGAACTCATCCTTTTTTATGGCTGTGTAGTATTCCATGGTGTGTATATGCCACATTTTCTTTATCCAGTCTACCATTAATGTGCATTTGGGTTGGTTCCAAGTCTTTGCTATTGTGAACGGTGCTGCAATAAACATACATGTGCATGTGTCTTTATAGTAGAATGATTTATAATCCTTTGGGTATATACCCAGTAATGGGATTGCTGGGTTAAATGGCATTTCTGGTTCTAGATCCTTGAGGAATCACCACACTGTCTTCCATAATGGCTGAACTAATTTACACTCCCACCAACAGTGTAAAAGCGTTCCTATTTCTCCACATCCTCTCCAGCATCTGTTGTTCCCTGACTTATTAATGATTGCCATTCTAACTGGCGTGAGATGGTATCTCATTGTGGTTTTGATTTGCATTTCTCTAATGACCAGTGTTTCCTTTGGATATATACCCAGACGTGGGATTGCATGATCATATGGTAGTTCTATTTTTAATTTTTTGAGGGACCTCCATATTGTTTTCCATAATGGCTGTACCAATTTACATTTTGATAGGATATATTTTTAAATAGTATATTAGAAACAGTAAAGTATAGAACTGACAGAGAGGGAAATTTAATTGAAAATAAAAAGAATACATTTTAGAAGCTTTCTAGTTCTTAGAAAAAAATGATAAGGATTAAGAACTGAAAACAAGATAAAATAGTAAGAATATTAAATGAAAGTTGATAACTACAGTGGACAAATAACTTACTTTCAGCTGTTGAATAATTTTCAATTATCAAAGAAAAGACACAAACAAAAGAGGTAAATAAATACTCAAAAAATATAGAAGATTGCATAGAGCACAGTCAGGATGTAAGATTGAAAAAGACTTGTCAGAGATGGGGACACTATAACCCTCATGCATTGCTTGTGAATACTGTACTGGCACAGCCATTGAGAACACACCAGTGATACATCGTCATTAAATATACAGGTCTCATATGACCAAAAATTCTCACTTACGGATGTTTTTGCAGAGAAGTTATCACTCACACAGGTTTTTAAGGTGACAACTCTGAGAACGTTCATCAAAGTGTTGTTTGTGGTAGTGGAGATTTAAAGGCTATGATTAAATGAATCTAGGTTCAATCAACGAGACACGGATAAGCAAAAGGCATGGTATGCACACCGTGTAATGATGTTCAGGTCAGAAGCAACAGATGAAATGCACCCAGAGCAATGTGTAGTTGAGTGTAAAAATGTAAGAATCAAATGAGGTCCACAGCGTGATGCTATTTATGTGAATTAAAAATATGTATGCATAAAACAACACTACTAGTTTTACAAGGACATAGAAAATAGAAGACCGCACATCTAACACATTCAAATCGTTGCCAAAGGGAGGAAGACGTAGAGAGGAACTGAAGAGTATATAGAATAAAAGGCAATAAATAAACATATAATGTAAGAACCACACAAACAATGAAGGTCTATCATGAAATGAGGAGCATTAGTAACATTCTACATAAATTCCACTAGCAAAAATAAAAGACCCATTCAGACAGCAGAAAAATTATGAAGAGCCCAACTCCTAGATATAACCTGAAAGATAAAGAATACTTCAACTGTCAAGCAGGACGGGGAAATAAACTATCTGCAAAGTAAGAAATGAAGGCTGACCTCAGATTAAGTGCCAAAAAACAATGAAGGATTAATTTAGTTGTCTATGATAGCTTTCTTGTACAACAGGATGTTTTCAGACTTACACATTTCCTCCCTCAGATACAGAATCAACCCTTTCTCCGAAGATCAAAGATCTTTGGTTCTTTTTCGTGGGAAGAAAGACTACGATCTGGGTACCCGGGATGCCCCGTGCCCTGAGTTAGTTATTATTTCTAGGACTCTTTGGTGGACAGGGCTAGGACATATGTATTTTTTTAGATACAGTACATCATAAGTTTATATCCAATTCAAAATCAGGCTTAAGGGATTTTATTTGACCTCATCAATTTCATGTCTGTATCTCCTTCCCACCAAGCCCCAAATCTCAGTTCTTGATGACACCGATGTAATTACTCATTTGATTTATTATCTTACAATAACAGTATCAACACTATCACCTACAATGCTGTGCTATTACTGGAAACAATTTAAGACTTTCTTTGCCTTTTCTTTTGTTCTTAGGATCTATTCCATTAGAGACGCAGAGTTAAATTACTATGTTTTAGAGCCACTTGGGCTATTTCCTTTGCTGTGAGGTTAGGTTACCTACTGAGTTCACAACTTGGTTCATCTGTTTAAATGTACTTTTGTAGTCTGGGGATTGTATTTTTCTTTATTTAATTTTGTTTTATGATTATGTAAAGTACAAACATAGCTTCAAAGACAGAGCTATAATACCAGGTCCATTCAAAGGAGTCTGTTTTCAACCCCCGAATCTTTCAAAATATTTCCTCTCTTTTTTAATTTAAACATTTTAAGTGTTAAGGTTTATTCTGTTTTTAACATATATGTTAATTTCATACATTTAACAAACAATAATATAATATGCTATAATGTATAACAATAAATGTATAAAACAATATATTACTGTGTGATAACATTAACATATGCTAATTTAATATTATTCAGTATGCAACATGTAATACTATATTAACACATTATATTAATTAACACAGTTTAACATATTATAATGTATATGTCTTTAACACGTTAATTAGATATATTGTGTACATGTGTGCATCTCCTCTTTTCTTTTTTTTCCCCTGTGGTTTTCTTTTTAATTATCTTAAGTCTTATGATCACACATAATCTTAAAATTTGTGTATATCGCCTCTACTTTAATCCTTTTGAGTTGGCAAAAGCACCATTCCCGATCACACACAGCAGTTCTACAGTTTTATGTTTCTGAATGGCTGTTTAAAGACAACCCTAAATTATAACTTAGTTTGACTTAGATTGTAAAGAATTCAAGAGTGAAGTTTAACTTGCTACTATTTTAAATGCATGTGACCTTACAGATCTATAAAATGTGAGAAGTGTTAAATAATCTTTGATATTACACATAAACCACACTAAAATGCCTTTCAATAAATAAAAGGAACTATTTTAAATACAGGGAATTCTAATTAGATTGGCACAGTTAAGCCCAAAAATATAAAGTAGACATTGCTACCTTATTTATCTTCAACAATGCCTTTAAGAGGCAAATGAACACAAAACACAGGTGAATTTTCCTTGGTTCTGAGACAGTGAAGGAATTTCCCCAGTATTTAAATATATTCACATAACCAGTTATATAAATCTAAATATAAAACCAATCTCCAGTAAGTTTTAAGATGGCACTCACCATCTTTGCGAAAAGTTGAACATTACTAACAAAGTCTAGTTCTATCTTTAGTAGGGGTAAACAGTGATAGCATTTACTGAATTGGAATTACTATTACAATTCAAAAACTGAACATATTCATTTAACCACAACCCAGTCTTAGTTTTAAATCAGGACTGCCCAACAAAATATTCTGTCAGTCATTCATGATCTGAATTCTGGTGTATGAGATCTATTAAAGTATGGTACACATAAAAAAGTCACGAGACATTTCTGTGTTGTAATAAATAAGGCAGTGGCCAATTATTACTCATTAGTAGCTTTTTTGAGATAAGCTATCAAGTCTGCTCTTTCTGCCTCCTTCTTAATGCCGGCAAAGATCATTTTTGTTCCAGGGATGTACTTCTTGGGATTCTCCAAATACTCCATCAGTGTATCCTCTCCCCAGGTGATGCCTTTGTTCTTACTGGTGTCTGTGTAAGAGAATCCAATGGCCTGACCTGTCTTCCACCCGAAGAGATTAGGCCCTGTCTTATGCTTGCCTCCCTTTTCCACGGTGTGGCACTGGGCACACTTCTGAACAAAAATCTTCTTGCTTTTCTCAACATCACCCATATTTAGTTCTGTTTTTCGTTGCTGGCGCAACTAAGGTTCCTGCTCTGAAGCTGGACGTCTCCAGTCTCTCGTATCTCCCCTTTTTTTTAGAGAAATGGTGGTATGATATAGACACATTTCTCTACCTGGCTTTTTCATTTCACAGTATATCCTGGAGGAAACTGCCCATATACAATTTTGAGGAGAAAAGATTGTAACTCAAAAGTAAATTTGCTATTTAAATTTGAAAGCAATAGAAAGACAATTTCCAGATATGCAAGGCCTTAGAAGTATCTTACTAAAAGCAAACCAACAAACAAACTCTACAAAGAATTTGTTGTTCATTGTATAGATTAATTTAAAATGAATAAATCTTAGAAAAGAAAACTTGAGGCCTAAATGACTGCCAGAAAATGATGGAATCAATTGAACATAGAGTGAAGACATAGAATTGTCATTTAGCAGGATGCAAATGTGAATAAACTTGAAAGATTCCTATGATAAAGGAGTAACATTATGAAAATACAAACTTGAGTTTAGAAAACCCTAAAGGCTCATCCAATAAGCTCCTAGAATTCATAAATGAATTCAGTAAAGTTTCAGGATACAAAATCAATGTACACAAATCAGTAGCACTGCTATACACCAATAGGGACGAAGCTGAGAATGAAACCAAAAACTCAATCCTCTTTACAATAGCTGCAAAAATAAATAAGTAAATAAGCAAATAAATAAATAAATAAAATACTTAGGAATATGCCTAACCAAGGAGGTGAAAGACCTCTGCAAGGAAAATTACAAAACACTGCTGAAAGAAATCATAGATGACACAAACAAATGGAAACACATCCCACGCTCATGGATGGGGAGAATCAATATTGTGAAAATGATCATACTGCCAAAAGCAGTGTACAAATTCAATGCAATTCTCATCAAGATACCATCATCATTCTTTACAGAACTAGAAAAAACAGTCCTAAAATTAATATGGAACCAAAAAAGAGCCTGCATAGCGAAAGCAAGACTAAGCCAAAAGAACAAATTTGAAGGCATCACATTACCTGATTTCAAACTATACCATAAGGCCATAGTCACCAAAATACCATGGTACTGTTATTAAAATAGGCACATAGACCAGTGGAACCAAATAGAGAACCCAGAAATAAAGCCAAATACTTACAGCCAACTGACTTCCTTTTGTAATGATCAAAGACATTGTTCCTGAGACCTAGAACTATGTGTTTATGCTAGTCTGGCCAATTTCAGTGGGGTAGGCATGGGAAAATGTAGGTGATATTCTGCTGCAACTCTGCTTGGCTGTTCCATTTTCTATTTCTTTTTCCTTAGCTCTCCAGTGTTTCAGTACACACATGAACAACACAACATTTTAAATCAACATTAAACCTTCGGAGGCTAATAAAATCCAGGCTTCTAGCTTCTCTAAAAAAAAAAAAAGTCACAGGCCGGGCATAGTGGCTCACGTCTGTAATCCTAGCACTTTGGGATGCCGAGGAGGGTGGATCATCTGAGGTCAGGAGTTCCAGACCAGCCTGTCC